>NC_000014.9:58702622-59005652 GCF_000001405.40 Homo sapiens
AGAAGTTTGGTGTTGGTTACTATGACAGCCCATCTTCTCAGGAGAGACCTAGATCTCAGAGTTTCTTTCTGAATATGAGTTGGGGGCAGGGGCAACCATTGTGTCTCTGGCTGACTCAGTCAGGGATGTTTTTGTCAAGTCTGCTTTGGGCTAATGTGTAAAATTGATCCATCATTTCCCACACAATAACAACTTCTTCTGATAGCATCCAAATAGAAAACACATGTTGCTGTAAGATTCCATTAATTCAGCTAAAAATTATTGCTCATTTCTTATATTTAAGATTATACCACATGCTTTCCAGAAGCTTCTATGAGAGAGGAGAGATAAGACATGTATAGATACCAGACAGCCTATACTGCATATAAATGATATAGATGTGAAATTCTACAGCAATTCAGAGGAGGAAGAAATTACTCAGACTAGGGTGGCATTCGTTGGCTTCTGAATAGAGTTTTGATAGATAAATTTGTCCAATTTCAGAGCTAAAAACAGTCTTAACACAGAGCTCAACACAAGTGGGAAAGGAATGGGGCTTTGTTACTTTGGTAGCATTTTCTAAGCATGCTTAGGCACATGTGGAGACCAAAGAGAGTTAACCTGCTCCATGCCCTCTAAACAGAAACCAGACAACCAAGGGAGGAACCTCCCTGCAGCCTATGGAAGGCAGCCTGGAGTTGGGCCAATGTCTGAAACAGCAGTAGGTGTGGTGGTTTCTCTGCTATAGGTTTGCAGGTCCCCTGATGGGTGGGAAGGCCTGGCAGAGGAGCAATCCCAGCACATTTTGAGGAACAAAGGTTCAAATATTCATTGTGGGGGGGTGCGGGGGGTGGTGTTGAACAGCACATGTCAATTTCAGCTCTGGAGCCTGCAAAGGTTCTCAGCAGGGAAGTGGTTAATGTATCACAGCACACTTTTCAAGTCTGAAGAATCTCACTGCCCCTTCCCCGCATCTAGGGCTGGCTTCTAACTGGGTTGAGGGGATTTGGAAGGGATTTGAGGTAGGTGTGGTTCTGCCGTCTCAGTTTCTAGGAAATAAAACAATCCTTTTTTTGACCTTTAATGTGATTCAGATCAATGTCCCCTTGGCAGTTTGCTGTGAGGTTATGAGTATAGCAACTCGAGACCTCAGTTTTATGCTTTTTCTCTCTTTCACCAGCAGCCTGAATTCTGAGTGGGAAGCTGGGGGATTGGGAGCTCAACCTTTGACTCTTGTATTGCTCAGGAAGTTCAAATCCCAGCTCAAATCCTGACTCTTCAGATAATTGCTTCTCCTCCATTATCTGTAAATGATGGAGGGGAATAGGCCTCCTTTAACACTTGGTGAGTGACAAAATTGCAGGGGCTTAAGGAAGGACTTATAACTGGTGATTGGATGGTCAGGAGCCACACTTTGGAGTTGTCACCTGATCCCAAATGGCACACATTGTGCTCTCCGGAGGGAAGTTGAAAAGCAAGAATCAAACAAATTAGGAAACAAAGGAATGTACAATAAACTCCCTCACAAACCAGGGATTTTATGAATCCCAATGGAGTCTTGAATCTGGCAGTGGCAAGTTCTGTTTTTCGTGTACCCTGTGGTGCCTGGTGCCCCTCTGTTGAAATCCTACTGTATATTGAGTGCTCTCTTTTTTCCTCTGCTCTGGTGTCATAACACACTTGACTGTGCAATTTGTAGGTAAGAAAGAGCACATTTTAACATAGCATGTAAAATAAAAATCTAGACTAGGTTACCAGGTAGCTTTTCAAATCTGTAAAGACTCAATGTAAGAAAGATAAAATTTTTCACTGTTAGGGAAACAGATTTTGCTTAATCAATGGAGTTAAACAGGGTTAACTACAGCATCAACAGAATGTGAGGTGAATGATCCACCTTAAGTGATAAAGACTGTTCAAACGGAACAATTAATTTCAGAGAAACAGTGTAAATAACGTAAAGGGCTGCAGTGGTTCTCAGATTTCAATGGCCATAAGAGCCTCCATGGGGACTTTTTAAAGAGGTCAACTCCCAGAGATTCTGATTCAGCAAATCCATTTTGAGAGCAAGAAATCAGAATTTTAAATAAGCACCTCAGGTAATTCTGATGATCTGGCATCCACACATTGATTGAAAAGAGTGGACTAGTGCAAAATAGAGATTCAGAACCCAGGTACTTTAAACCATGGTCAGGATCAATCCCTAAAATACTCCTAACTCCTCCCTGAGTTAAACAATCTATTATTTAGGGGATGTATTTGGCTGTGAGTTACAGAAATTTGAAAAATAGTAGCTTAAACTCATAAGAAGCTTTATTTTTTTTGGAGGAGGATGAATGGGGATACTTGTGGTGGGTGATCCAGGTGTCATGGGTTGAAAAGTGTCATCTCCTCTGTCGACAAAAAGATATGTCCATGCCCAAATCCCTGAAAACAGTGAATGTTACTTTATTTGGAAAAGGTTCTTTGCAGATGTAATTAAGTATCTTGAGATCTTCCTAGATTACCTGGGTGGACCCTAAATTCAATGACAAGTGTCCTTAGAAGAGTGAAGGAGAGGAAGAGTAGATAGAATAGGAGGCAGCAATATGACTATGTGGACAGAGATTGGAGTGATTTGGCCACAAGCCCAGGGGCGGCCACCAGATGCTGAAAGAGGCAAAAAACAGATTCTTTCTTAGAGCACCCAGAGGGATCTCAGTCCTGCCTGATTTCAGATGTCTGGCCTCCAGGACTGTGAGTGAATACATTTCTGTTGTTTCAAGCCACGAAGTTTATAATAATTTGTTACAGCAGCCTCAGGGAACTAACACCAGTGTTGGTATAGAGGCTCCACCAGGGACCACATTTCCTTCTGTCTTTTTGCTCAGCCATCCTTAACATGGGCTCATTGTCTTGTGGTCATGAGATGGCTTTTCTATCTCCTGAATGGTATCTGCATTTCAGGCAGGAATAAGAGGAAAGAGCAAAGGGAAAGGCATGAGCTAGTTTGGTTTGTCTCTTTTTTCACTTTACTGGAAGCTCAATCCGTAATTTTTTATTAATTATCTGGCCAGAACTGGGTCAAACAGCTGCCCTACCTGCAGAAGAGGCTTGGCAAAGTATCTTTTTAAAATGTTGGATAAATTGCCACATCCAACAAAATTGGAGTTTTATTAGTAAAGGGAAGAATAGATAGATGAATATCCTGTTGGCAACCAGAAAACTCTGCCAAGGCAAGTGTGCCCAATATACCCCAGTATCCTGGTACCATGACACCTCTTTGGAACCTGGACAGTGAGAGACTGAGACTGGCTGGTCAGAGCTACCTGAAAACACTAAGTGAGGAGCTGAGATTCTTTTTTGACCAATCTGTGGTGATTAATCCTTTCATATTTTAAATGAGTTAGCCTAAGATTGAAGGCAATGTGACTCACTGACTTCATTTTGTACTTAAAACAATTTTTCTTTGGACCCCAAACTGACAAGTTTCTTGCCTGGGACCCACAAGCTTTGCATACTTGGATCCCTAGAATTATTAATAAAAACAACTCCTTTTAAGAATTCATTTTAAAACACCATGATTTAAAGAATTTGTTTTCTTTAAATTAGAAGATAATGGGCTGATGATGTGGTTGGAAGCAACACTGTAGTCTTTGTTCCCTAGCTGTGGGAGTTTAGAAAGGACTGAATATGGCTAAGGAACTTGTATTTTTTTTTTTATTTCCAACTTTTAAGTTTAGGAGTACGTGGGCAGGATGTGCAGGTTTGTTAACATAAATGTGTGCCATGGTGATTTGCTGCACAGATCATCCCATCATCTTGGTATTAAGCCCAGCATCCATTAGCTATTGTTCCTGATGCTCTCATTAAGGAGCTTGTATTTTTTAAAATTAAAGTTTGAGTTTTCTTGGCCAGCTTTTGGTTAACAAACACTCCACTTCCAAAGGGGCCATTGCAGTGGTGGTAGGACCTCTGGCCCCATCATTGCTGGACTGTAAGCAAAACTGTCCACTCAGTGCCTACCTATAGGCAATGGTGCTGATGGGCTTCACTGCCTCCATTTCCTATTTTGACAGCTATATTACTTTGCTGTAGAACATACTTATGTGAAACAGGACTCCTTGAGCCAAGCTCTTGCATTTAGTAGTTCTCAATGGGGAGGCATTTGGCAACATCTGGAGACATTTTTGGTTGTCACAATTTGGGAGGCAGGTGTGAGTGGGAGGAGGTGCTACCGATATCTAGCAGTTAGAGACCAGAAACATTCTACAATGTACAGAACAGCCCCCTACAACAAATAATTATATCACTTTAGAGATCGATGTATTTGAGCTTGAGACACTTTGGCACAAATGAACAATAACATTTAAGGGTAAATTTTTAAAAAAATCCTTAAGTTAAAAAAAAAAAACCTCTTTTCCTAATATCCTTCCAATTTTTCCATGAAGGCAAAAGAGTCAAGAAAGAACCAAGTTGGCTGCTTGCTATGAATGAAATTATTATTATTATTTTGTTTGATTCTACTTTTAGATAAGACAGTAATAGGTAAAGTTTTTCAAAAATAAAGTTAACATTTTCACTGTGTTGTCTTGCTTGACTTTTGTACAGGTTTTAAATGGAAAACATTTGTTATTGCCATGAATCTCTGTGTTAGACATTCTGACAGCACTTCCAGGTAGGCAGACAGCTGAGACCAGCCTGTCAGGATCTCTGACAAGTCCCACACCATCTCCTGACCATCAAGAGTAGGCGATTTGCCATTTAGCATTAGGTATATCTCCTAATGCTATCCCTCCCCCTCCCCCCACCCCACAACAGTCCCTGGAGTGTGATGTTCCCCTTCCTGTGTCCATGTGTTCTGCTTGTTCAATTCCCACCTATGAGTGAGAACATGCAGTGTTTGATTTTTTGTCCTTGCGATAGTTTGCTGAGAATGATGGTTTCCAGTTTCATCCATGTCCCTAATTAATGGGTGCAGCACACCAACATGGCACATGTATACATATGTAACAAACCTGCACATTGTGCAAATGTACCCTAAAGCTTAAAGTATTAAAAAAAAAAAGTAGGGGATTTGCTTCCTATGCAGTGAAAATGTTATAAAGTATTTTAAGCCAGGCATTTACTAGTGATTATAAATGCATCAGAACATATTGGTCAAAGGACTAAGGCTGTGGTACAACATGGCCAGATATTTTTGAGAAAACTTGTGTAACATCATGAAATAATGGTGTTAGTCTATATTGTGTGGTTATTTTCCTTTCCATTTACTGGCCTCTATAGTTCATGTCCAAGTGAGGATCTGTTAAGTAGATCAACTTAAACCCAAGAGAGATAACATTACTAATTTGAAGCATTCCAAACAAGCATGGATGACTTCATCTGTTAATCTTCAGTTAATTTATTTAAAAAGCTGTTTTCCAATGAGTTGACTGTATATGAATCAAGTGCATCAAATAATGTTCCTTGAGAGTTTTTAAGTTGCTTCATCATCTTTCCACTCTAGCTTTTGTCCATAGTCCTCTGGGGTTAGCAGGCAGACTACTCATTCAGATGCTTATTAATAGTTACACCTATTTGGATGCTCCAAGAGAAAAAGTTGGTGAAAGCATCTGTCGAGAATCCAGTCCTTCACTGCCTGGAGGGATTAGCCACATGAGAAAACTCTTAGGAATCATGTTTATTTCTCTTCCAGGCACTATTTGTATCCAAGCTTTGCATGAGCCCAAATTAAATAGATAAATTTCTTTTTCTGAGTATTGTTATTTACATAACTCTCTAGACTTTGGAGTTTAAGCCCATAAAAGCTAATATGTAAATGTCTTTAAGCTTTTTAAAAATTGTAGATGATCTTTGGCTACACTAGAGCATTTGCCTTTTGAGAAGAGAAATCTATTAAATGTCTGCTTTTACCTGTAAAATATAACTGAGATTGGCTAACAGCTTGATGATTAAGACCGAATTCTCTCTAGGCAAACAATCTGTTCGAGTCTCGGATTCATGGTCAAGAAATGCAAATACGTATATGTGAGCTTGTATGGAAAATCATTTCTGTGCCCATGGAGAAGTATGTGGAATTAATTTTGTTTGTTTCTTGGCCTGAAAGTGGATGCGTGTTTTCTATTTCTTCTCCTTCCTTTCTCCTTCCTACCTCATTTCTGCTAATCTATTGACCTGATATTGAGAGAATTCCTAGCTTTGAACAAACAGACCACATTGCTGCTTCTAGTTGCAGAGGGACTTATTCAGCCACGTTTTGATTCTGGTTAAAAAAGCAATTATGCTTTGGAGGGCTTTGATTTGATAGGAAAGCTTTCTTAAAGTCCACAGAATTTTATCTTTTGGTTGTCTTAGAAATTCTTACCTGGAAATTTTACAGCTTCAATTATTTGAAAGAAATGAGACAGTTTGTGCTGATTGAAGACATCTATTCTCTAATTAACCACAAAAGGCCTGAATCTTAATCCCTAATACTTCAATCAGGAAAGATTTTCACAACTTGCACAGCTAGAGCCATGTAATTTGGGCAAATCGTTTAGCCTCTATGGATCTGTTTCCTTATCTATAATATGAGAGAAATTGCACTGTGACCTCTAATGTTTCTTCAAGGTCTAAAACTGTACGATTCTATGATTTCTTATTCCATATGCAGATTGTCGTTTGTTGAAGTGAAGTTGAAGGTCTGTGGCACATACCACAAAGAAAGAAAATCCAAATTACAGGTCTGGAATAATATCCCAGCTCCTCACCACTTATCTGCTGTGTGAACTTGAACTACTTATATACCTTTCTGAGATGGGTTCTTTTATCCATAAAACGGGCATAGTATCACCTATCTCATAAGATTCTCATGAGAATTATAAGAGATAATTTTACAAGGTGCCTGTAATAGTGCCTGGCACTTAGTAGATGCTCAATAAATGTTAATTTTCTTCTCTTTTGGAGCTTTATAATAAAATTCTCTTAAATGCCCTGATTTCTTCCAAGTTTGTGAATCATTCCTCATCAAATAAACAGTGGCATGGCTGCCCCTCCTTATTAAGGGGGCCCAAGTGGGGCAAGGTGAAATCCAGCCCTAGAGGTCTGCCTTTTGCTACAGATGCAACTTCCTCATTTTTGTTATTAAGAGCTCTCAGCAACAAAAGCAATTTGGAATTTAACAGGAAAATGATATTAGTCAGATTGACTCCTGTCAAAAGCTCTGTTTCAATAAACATTTACAAGAAGGGAAGCTTGATAAGTGTGGCCCCAATCCAAGAAACATGTGGCAATGACAGCTTTGAGTCTGGCATTGAGATCCTTCCAGGTTATTTTTCCATTCTGCATGAGTTTCCTTCCACTACAGAAGTACTTGAAACCGAATATCTATGCAGTTTATAGATAGTAACACTGTCTCGTTTGAACCAAGAAAAACAGTAACAAAGAAAGAGATGTGCTTCTAAAATAAGACAGATTTCCTTCTGCACTTAAGGCGGAAAATCCCTTGACTTCTTGCTGAAGATGGACCTGCCATTCTTCATGGTGATTAAACACAGCAGTGGTTTATTTTGACCAAAGAAAACTTTATTTGTTCAGGCTTTTGTTATGTTGATGGAATCTTAGGATTCTGGAACTGAAAGAAAACACAGAAATGATTGTCTGAATCTTCCTTCCCCAACTTTCAAGTGACTGGTGTGGGCACAGCTGGGATGTTAGTCTAGCAGACCAAGATCCAAGCTAGAGAGTGGTTATTTGAGGATAAGCCAATCTCATCATCCTTTTTGGAAAGCCAAGAGACAAAACAGCAAAGTCAATCACCAATGCGGGCAGCAGGGGGTCTGGAGATGGCTCTAAGAGAAAGGAACCAAGCAGGAGCTGGAAGAAATAAAGGAGAGCCCTGGATCATCGCACCCAACAGTAGGGATGTATGTGCTTACAGTGTGGGAGAGTCAGGCTGCTTGAAAAGCCAAGCAGACAAGAAAGGCCAACCCCTTCATTTCTAAGGGAAAACTGCTGCACAGAGCAGTTAAGGGACAATGCTGACATGGACACAGCTAGTTGGTGGCAGAAAGGACTAGCTCTGGAGTCTCCAGTGTCGTGTCTCTCTCTTCCCATAACTCAGTTTTTCTTTGGTATTGAGTTGATGGGCCCCCCTTTATAGATGTTACATTCTGTTTATCACAGTGATTCTCTGTTTCATTTACAATTCTTGTTTAAGGTGGGTGGAGGATGTTATTCTGTTCAGGGTGGACTATCATCTCTTTTTTAAAAGACAAAGTTGTATTCAAACTATGTATGTTCAGCAACCTACCTGTTCAGAAATGCATTCTTCACATGGCACTGCATTCACAAAGATGGAGTGAGAGTAAATTTAGGACTAAATTGCAGAATAAGATGATCTTTTTATCAATTTTCCACCAGCTTTTCCCTATTAATTTATTATTTCTTTCTTTCTTTATTTTTTGAGATGGGGTCTCGCTCTGTTACCCAGGCTGGAGTGCAGCAGCGAGATTGTGGCTCACTGTAACCTCCACCTCCCGGGTTCAACCGTTTCTCCCACCTCAGCCTCCTAAGTAGCTGGGACTATAGGCGCATGCCACCATGCCTGGCTAATTTTTGTATTTTTTGGTAGAGATGGGGTTTCACCATGTTGGCCAGGCTGGTCTCGAACTCCTGACCTCAAGTGATCCACTTGCCTCAGCCTCCCAAAGTGGTGGGAGTATAGGCATGCGCCACCGTGCCCAGCCTCCCTATGAATTTAAAAGAGGATTTTATTTTATTTCTGTGTAATACTTTTCTGGTATCAAAGGTAAGTTATAGAAAATTACTTAAAATTTTTTTTGACATGGAGTCTTGCACTGTCACCCAGGTTGGAGTGCAGTGGTGCATTTATGGCTCACTGCAGCTTCGTTCGAACTCCCAGGCTCAAGGGATCTTCCCAGCTCAGCCTCCTGAGTAGCTGGAGCTGCAGGCACACACCATTATGCCTGGCTAATTTTTTGTATTTATTTATTTATTTATTTATTTATTTATTTATTTATTTAGGTAGAGATGGGGCTTCACCATGTTGCCCAGGTTGGTCTCAAACTCCCGGGCTCAAGCAGTCTTCCCACCTCAGCCTCCCAAAGTGCTAAGATTACAGGGGTAAGCCACTGCACCTGGCCTAGAAAATTATAAAAAGTTTTATTAGAATATTTTCCTTAAATCATTTGTGTTGATATGTATTTTATTAATGCTGACTTAAAACTTTACATGATAATTTTACACTTATTAACACATCACTTGTCAAAATAATTAGTTCAGAGAAATCTGATAAAACATGGGTGAAATGTATACAAGTATTTATATTTTATTCCTTTGGAAATGTCACTAAAATGAGAGGGATATTAAGCGTTAAGAAAGAGCTAAATCCAAAGAACAAAGATTATGGGTGAGGCAACTTCACAGGTGAGAGATGTCCACAACATTTGGATGACAGAAGCAGATGGATAAGTGGGAACTGACTTAACAGAGTATAAAACAAAGACTCTGATGTGGGTGGCAGAAGAAGCCACCAAAAAGCAGCCCAGAGTATGCTGCAATGCCCTAGAAAGCCCACAGAATTGGAATCGCCAGTTACCTCTGAAGGCAAAGGTAGCGGGTGGCGCTGAAAACAGAAAACAGATTGGCTGGATCTCCACCAGCTCCAACCTTGCTACCTCTTTGTTAAGAAGAACTGCTACATGTCCTTTTTTTCCTTTTTAAAATGTTTACAAAGATTCACTTTACATTTTCCAATTGGACCAGGTTTCCACACACAAATTGAATTATGGAAAAATTGGATTTAAAGATGCTTATTTTGGAATTAGTTTAATTGAGTAGACATCTGTCTACTGTGTTGAGCTGATACAAAGATGACTAAGCCAAAACCGCCTTCCCTCTGGGTCTCAGAATCTAACTGGGGAGACAGATAGCCCAGCTAACCATAAACATGACAGAATGTGCTCAAGGGCTGTGAGAGAGGCATGGACAGAGGGAGGAGCCGTGGCCAGGCCTGTGGGAGGCACGGAAGGCTTCAGGGAGAAGGTGGCGGTTGACTGGATCATGAAGTGGCTTGTGACTGGGGAGTGACAGGCTTCCAGGGAGCAAAGGCCCTAGGGACTCAAAGAACGTTTCTGGGCATAGTGAACTGTCAGATTGTGTCTGACGAGCAATGTGGGGCCGTTGTTAGAAAAAAAAGTACACGTAAGGCTTATATTATGAAATAGATATAAAAGTTTATCACACTGGATTTGGAAACGAGAAAATGATTTGGGTTTTAGCTTCTCTCTCAGTGCATCACTCTAACACTGAACGTAAAGCTCAGATAAATGTAAGGAATTACATTTTTATTGCAAGTGGGTTGTTGTTGCTATCATCATTTAGTCAGAGGATTTAAAGGGATATTCTAGGAGAAGCAGGCTGATAGTCACAGGTAACCTTCTGTGAGGGGCCCTCCCCTGGATATCCAGATCTTCACTGGAGGATGACTCCACTGATGGAACCATCAGACATCACAAAAGTCTTGAGGGAGATATTTTGGGGTACATGAGGATAAGGGGGGCTCAGTGAGTAGAGCCCACTTGGGCATCAGATTGGTCATAACCTCCAAGGCTCCTTTACCTGTTGTGGTGGAGAAAAGCAATAGAAAGACTGACTGAGGAAACTCTACCTGTTATGGTGGCTCCTGGAAAGCGAGGGCCATGGTGTACTCTGCTTGCCATCCCCAGAGCCCATGGTAAACTGCCACCTAGGAATCAATGGTACTGAGTCTCCCCTTCTCACTGGTAGAAGTTAGTGCTGTTCTATCAACTTAGCTACTCTACAGCAATTAACTAATTAATTCAAATAATTACCGAATAGCTTCCATGTGCAGTTGAGCTCCTTACCTCTTGCAAACCACACCTGTCTCCGTGGGTTTCATGGATTTGCAGGGATGAGCTCTTTCCTCAATTATCCCACTAAAAGGGCCCTGAGTCCTGGATAGCATAGACTCGGGTCACCTATATTACGTTTGCCAGATTTTATGATCTAAAAACTTATTATTTGACTTTTAAGTTCTGAATTTTATTGGCTATTTATAATGATTTATGTTCTACTTATTTACCTAACCATTTGGAGTTATAAGAGTTGTTTTATAAGCATCATAACTTACTGTCCTGGATTAAATATCCATTTTTAAAAGTTCCTAGTATTTGCTGCAAATCCAAAACTTAACAAGCGCAAGGTTTATTTTGAAATCACAGCAGAGAAATTGTATGGTTTTTAATGTCCACGAGGGAACAGCATTCCCCCCACATTCTGAACCACAATTTATTATTGTTTAAATGAATGCATGACTCTTTGCATACCAGTCTGTACTGTGGGTCATACGAAGTAACCTCAGAACAAAATCACTTTGTTCAATAAAAAACAGGGCCCCTCTAGTCCTCTGGACCCCTTTCGATGTATACCGTATGAAAAAAAGTTTATTTGACTGTGTGATAACCTCAAGCATAATTCCTCATAGAAATAAACCTGACAAAAGTCTTACCCACCCTGCCACAGAGGGGAACTTAATGTCATCTTCAGCATTAACTCCTGCAAGGCAGGTAGACAGTACTTTTAAAGACAGTAGTCTAGGAGAGTAGACCCAAATGCTTAACAAAATGCAATATAAAAATTCTCATATTTGTGAGAAGTTCTTTTACATATATTCTCTATTTTATCCTCCCAATAATGCCTCCTCTCTCCCAATTATTATGCCACCAAAAACATTTCCTAGAATTATGGAAATGACTTCAGTTTTTTTTTTTGTTTGTTTGTTTTTTGTTTTCTTTTTGAAACGGAGTCTCGCTCTGTCGCCCAGGCTGGAGTGCAGTGGCGCAATCTCAGCTCACTGTAAGCTCTGCCTCCCGGGTTCACATCATTCTCCTGCCTCACCCTCCCAAGTAGCTGGGACTACAGGCGCCCGCTACCATGCCCAGCTAATTTTTTTTGTATTTTTTAGTAGAGACAGGGTTTTACCGTGTTAGCCAGGATGATCTCGATCTCCTGACCTCGTGATCTGCCCACCTTGGCCTCCCAAAGTGCTGGGATTACAGGCGTGAGCCACCGTGCCTGGCCGATTTCAGTTTTAATTTCTCTAAAAACTAGGTGGTTAGAAGGCGAGCAGTGTTTTTAAAGTTTCTGGCATGTCTGTGGTTTAGCTCCCCTTTTAAGAAAGACATTGGTCCAATAGCCCCAGTATTTTGGTGTCATCTTAGAGATGGAGGTGCTGCTCCTTAAGGGGTCACTGCATGAATCTGAGTCTACCGTGGTATAATATTTTAAAATCTTGCTTGGTTGAGGATATCTAAGACACTTAGGAAAAGTGATTTTACTTAAATATTTGAACTTTGTGACTTGGCAAGTCCAGGACTCTGTATGTCTACTGTTGTCAGGTCTAGTAACCTCTGGGGCTGGGAAGCCAAGGATAGGAATAGTGCTACATAGAATTGCAATAAAGTCACAGCTTGCTCTCTCCCCACCCTCACCTCTGATATGGGTTATCAGTCCCCCAAGACCCTCCCTGGCCTGGTCTCTGTGGTCAGTGTCTGTTCTGTTGCTGTCCCCATTATTCAAGGTCTCTGTTCAGTGGGCTCTCAGCGTTTGGGTTGTTCAATATAGCCTCTTGTCTGAGACTAGCACCCCAACCCACACTACCCCACTAAATGTTTTGAGAGCTTCTCCTACCTTTACTCTTACAATGTGGTTCCAGTGAAAGCTGCCATGATCTTTTATGAATATGTACAGTGACCTCCACGGCCACAGCTGATTAGCCTAGAGTTGGCATTAAGTCTGGGGCAATCAGACTCCTGCCTTGAGAATTTTGCAAACTAGAGTAAAGAAGAGAGTCAGTCCCTCTCTGGAAGTGCCAGTGGTTGCAAAGCTCAGGGGAGCTCTGGGAGTCTTTATTTCCTGCCATGGGGAGGAAACTTATCTGCAGTGGTGCTGCTGTATTGAGAGAAGCAGAAATGCGGATGAAACCATGATACGTGCTTCTGGTTCCAAGTGCTCCTAAGCAAAGCTGGATCCTTGCCTTTCTCTCACTTTGATCCTTCAACCCTTCCTTGGTTTCTGTGAACTAATAAATTTCTCCTTCAATTCTGCTAGTTAAAATTGCATTTCTGTCACTTGCAGCCCAATGAGCTGCGTCCAACACCCTCCCACCTCTCCCTCTAGCATTTGAATAATACCTATCTTGCACCTCATCTTTTCTATGCCCCAAATATCAACTATCTAACTTGATTAAATAACTAGTTACTCATGGTTTAGAGAAAACAGAGGTCAGTTGCCGCTGGGCTCTGGAAAAACATTCCTGGTTTATTTTATTGATGATTGACCATTAAGGTGGGGATTTTCAGGCTTGGCAGAGGGTTTCAGGCTTGATGAGTCTGGGTACATTGGCTCAAGCCAGTAATCCCAGCACTTTGGGAGGCCAAAGCAGGAGGATCACTTGAGGCCAGGAGTTTGAGACCAGCCTGGGTAACATGAGACCCTGTTTCTACAAAAAAAAAAAAATAATAATAATTATATGGCACATGCCTGTAGTCCTAGCCACTAGAGAGGCTGAGGTAGGAGGATCACCTGAGCCCAGGAGTTCAAGGCTGCAGTGACCTATAGTCAACACCACTGCACTCCAGCCTGGGTGACAGAGAAGACTGGCGATATGTATTAGTTGCATGGAGGCAGCTTAATGGAGCCCTGCCATGCATTAACACCTTCTGCTCTTACAACAGGAGAGCCCTCAAAACTTTGCTGACTAAAGTGTTAAAGAAATATGAACTTGAAAGAGTGACTGTGATATTAATTGTGCTAAACTGTGTAGTTTATATCAGCACAATTTTGTGACATGATCTGGGTCAGACATTAAGGAATTTTATCTGATGGCTTCCTCAGTCTTGCTTTCCTAGTGGAGGGGTATTTTCTCTATTTGAATGTTGTAACCTTTTAGGCTGGCATAATTTTCTGGGAGTAAAAACATTAATGCCTCAAATGAAAGTAGTTCTTAGGAGAAGAGAGTAAGTAGAGATGAGGGAAAAATTTAGAAACTGAAAGAGACAAAAAGAATAGAGGAGTGTGATAAAGGAAATGGAAAAGTGAGGGGAGGAGTGATAAGCAAATATAATGAAGCAGGAAATGGGGTAGAAAGACCAACGAAATTAAAAAGAAATTTAAATGGGAAGCTTGAATCCTCTTCATCTACTTTGGAAAAATGGAGAGCTTCTTATGCTTCCAGAAGAGAAAGATGTCAAACGTGAAAGCAAAGTTCTAGCCTACGATTTCCTGTCCAGCTGGAATGAGTTGTTAGGTGAGGATGAACACCAGCAGTGTTAGCCGAGCAGCATTTCCCGCTTGCTTGCGGTCCAGGTTGGTTCCAGTTTTGCTCTGGACATGATGTTCTGAGCCAAAGTAAGTTCTGTTCAATTTGGGACTGGATCTGGTTTTACCAGGATCCTTTGGTTTGGGAAGATGCTGCCAGCAACAGTCTGGCATCCCAGGTGTCATTCCCTGGCCTCTCCTGGTGGGAATGACTTGAAGACAGGGATTCATGTAGCACACTGGCAAACCTTCTCCTTGACTTAGAACTCTGGGAATGCATGTGCCCATGTCTCTGGAAACACAGCTCCTAATTTGGATTCTTGAGTGAGTGAGCTGAGTACTATCTCCTGAAGATGATATGTCTGTCCTGTAATCTCATTTTTTCCTTTGTTTTTCTTTATTTGCCATCAAGTGTTGGTTAGCTTTTCTTGCATTTTCATTAATGCCTCTGATAGCTTGTAAAATGCAAAGAATCAGCTGATTCATCTGGAAAACAGCTTCATGCTCCCTACACACTGTGGATTCAGCATAAATGCAATTTAATCCTATTACCTCCCAGACAAAGTCAGCCTTTCAGTTCTTTCTAGAAGGGAGGACAAGAACAATATGAGTGTGTTTCAGTAGTTTCAGAATAGTTAGGAGCAAGAATGTTACAAGCCATGGAATATACAAAACCTTTGCCAGCCAATATGTTTGATAGATGATAAATATGTTTGTAAAATAAATCCACACTTGGGCAGGGACCCATTATCAACAGCTGCAAAGCTTAAAGAGGATATCCTGCAGGGCTATCATTCACAAACACAACAACACATAAATAAATACCAGGGTGGTTTCTGATGGACTCTGTCATGACTCAAAGTTCACTTTTTAGAGGAAAAAAAGGTCACCCTGAGAGTTTCATTGCTTCAAGGATGACCTTAGCTATGTTATTTATGGACTAGAATGGATGATATGTCCTTTCTTTCAATATGCAACTTTACTGAGCTGGAAATCAAAAGGAGCAAAGACGGTGGGAAGGAATTGTTTGTTTTGTGTGTTATGATGATAGAACAGCATGAGGATCCCAACTGCTAAAACAGCTGCATCATAAATAACCCATGTAGAACAGATACAATGTGGGTGTGTGTGTGTGGTGAGGGGAAGGGCTTCAGTGGGGGCTGCAGAATGAGTTCGTGAATGAAATGGTTAGTCACACAAGACTTATAAATACTGAAGAGTAACTAAGATTGCTGGCATGTGTTTTTATTAAAGTTCTGAGTTGGAAAGTTAGATTCAAGACTTAATGGTGATGGAATGGCCATTCTTTATTAATTTGGCATTTTAGTAAACCTGCATTTCATTTTATACAGTTCTCTAATTCAGAAACCTGAGCGAGAAATCTTCTCTTTCTCTTGCATCCTGCCTCTCTCCCCCAGTTCAGTCAGTCATCAGGCCTATCAGTTCTACTTCCTAGATAGTTCTTAAGTTTAGCCCCACCTCTTAATCCCCATGGCCAGTTCCCATGGTTTAGGTTATGTAATACATTTTTGACTGAGATTCCACTCCATTCCCACAGCCCTTGTGTCTCCAATCCAACACATCTTCCATGCTGCTCAAGAGATTAAATGCTTGCTCAACATATCTATCTCAGTGTTCCTCATCTCTCCATGCAGGATAAAATTCTGCATCCCTGTGTATAGCATATAAAGTCCAACACAATCAGCCTACTTGTATGCCTCAATTATTGCAACTTCCCACAGCACATCTATAGACAAGTTACTTGCATTTCCTTGAAAAAAATCAAGACTTTTTTTCTGTCCACTGCATTTTTGCATGGTGTTCTCTCGGCTTTGAATGGCCTGTTTACTGTCATTGCAGCCTTTGGCCTGTCAAACTCCTACTTATCCTTCCCAGCTTCCTTCTAAAATCTCTTCTAATTCTCTATGAAGGATTTCTTGATCATCCCTGCAGCGTTGGGGAAGTGTAATGAATGTTTACTAACTTTGCCATTCAGCACCTGCACAACCTTCTTGGGGACACAGTTTTACTTCGATGGTTCCCCTTTCCTATTCTCAGTCCATGTGCTTCCTGTGAGGCTGATTTCATCCCCGGGCCTGAAGGAGTGGAGCATGTAACTAGGTTAGGTTGAGCCAATCTGTGCAGTCCATTCTCTTGGCCACAGCCATGTTTCAGCCATGGACATGTGACTGAAAGTGGGCCAATGAGAGCCAAAAGAAATTCAATTTTGGCATTGGTGTTTGAGGTATTGGGAAGCAGATTTTCTTTTTGTTGGACTGAGGTTTCTGAAGATATAAGCCTGAATTTTCTAGAAATACTTTTGTGAAGTCATGGATTGGAGCTTATCTAGAGGAAGAACTGCTAGAAGGAGGAGCCCAGAGACATTGTGACTGATCCAAGCTCCTTCAATAGGCAAGATTGAACACGGACTTTTCAGTTTTTTTTTTTTTTTTTTAATGGAGTGTCACTCTGTTGCCCAGGCTGGAGTGCAGTGGCATGATCTCAGCTCACTGCAACCTCTGCTGCCCAGGTTCAAGCGATTCTCCTGCCTCAGCTTCCCAAGTAGCTGGGATTACAGGTGCCTGCCACCGTGCCTGGCTAAGTTTTGTATTTTTAGTAGAGACAGGATTTCACCATCTTGGCCAGGCTCGTCTTGAACTCCTGACCTCGTGATCCACCCGCCTTGGCCTCCCAAAGTGCTGGGATTACAGGTGTGAGCCACCATGCCCAGCCTAGACTTTTCAGTTTTATGAGCCCATAAAATACCTTTTTTTTCCCCCTGGTTTGCTTATATCAGGTGGGATTGGGTTGTTTTTATTACTTGAAAACCAAAGAATTCCAGCTTTAACTGTTTTTCTTCCCTCTGCTCCAGGCACCTTTTATATCCTTATATTTTGTTCTTGCCCCACTGTTGACTAATACCTGGTGTTTGGGTAAGGTGGAGAATGTAGGGCTTTCTTGTCTAAGGGAGGCATGGACATCAACTACCAGGGTCATCCTTCAATACTAATGATTGAGCATATTATGTATCTGGCATACAATTTGTATGCCTTGGGGAGAAAGAGGAAAAATGGAGAAGGCAAAAATGGAAGGAAATAGGGCAAGGAGAGAGGTGGTTTCCATACTAAATGGAGAGGGATGCGATTACCGCCGGGTCTTTACTTCTATTCAGATACAAAGAAAAGGAAGGACTGGGCCGGGCGCGGTGGCTCACGCCTGTAATCCCAGTACTTTGGGAGGCCGAGGCGGGTGGATCACGAGGTCAGGAGATCGAGACCAACCTGGCTAACACAGTGAAACCCCGTCTCTACTAAAAACATAGAAAATTAGCCAGGCATGGTGGCAGGCGCCTGTAGTCCCAGCTACTCGGGAGGCTGAGGCAGGAGAATGGCGTGAACCCAGGAGGTGGAGCTTGCAGTGAGCCAAGATAGCACCACTGCACTCCAGCCTGGACGAAAGAGCGAGACTCCATCTCAAAAAAAAAAAAAAAAAAAAAAAAAAAAAAAAAAAAAGGAAGGACTGACTTGGGAAGGAGGGAGATTGGAGGTTCTTACCCAAACCCCTCAGTGAGGACCAGGGAAGATGTTAGCTTCCTGTTTATATTTGTAAGGAATATGGAGGCAGGAGTCGGAGGCAGGAGTCGGACAAACCTAGACTTGACCTGTCTTAGTCATGATTTCCATAGATATTTGTCATGGGCATAGACATTTTCACAGCTTCCACAAGGAGAGTCCTTGATTAGAATTTGAGAGTGAAACCAAGGCAATATAGTTTCCTAAGGTGGCAACCTGGATACTGCGGATTGATATAATAGGTCAGTTTGCAAGTTAGTGATCATGCTAAACAAAGCCCTAATGGCCCTCTTCTAAAGATGGATTTACTCCAGACACCTCCAGGAGCTCTGTTTGATGAAGTCTTCATACTAAGCTCAGAATTTTCTTATTTGGAAAATATCAGTTTGAATGTATCCTCAACAGATCTTATGGTGGATGCTGGAATAGCACATGCAGAGGAAGTATGTTATTTCAAAATTCCCTTGGATTAAAGAAGAGGCCAAAGACTATTTGATTTCTGTGCTAAAATATCAATGAATGCTCCTTATTCTGGAAGGGAGAGGTACAATAGTCAATAATAAAGACCCCATAATAGCTAGTCAAGCACATACATGGAATCTAGAAACACTTTTAATCCACTATTTCAAATGCCTAATCCCAGTGCTACATTCTGTCTCCTTCCAAGTCTTCATGGTTGTGGAAACTGGAAAATTCAATTTGTCTCTGACCTCTGCCCATGCCTCTGTGGTTTTAGTGCTAAATATTATACTTGGGAAACATCATGTGGTCAATCTCAAGGAAAATGAAGACTTTTGGACTCTCATCCTTTTTTTTTCTTTGCCTTACAGATCTTCAGCGCTCTGCTCTTCTACTTTATTCTTCCTTTTCTCCTACCCTCTTCCTGTCGAATTTTGTGTCTAGCCTTAGGGGAGGGTTGTCTGTCATCCTATGTTTTGCTAGGGATGGGAGTTGGAGTAAGGTAGGGGCTTTGGGTCCTAAATGCGGAGAAGGGATAGAAAACATTTTCTTTGAAGGTAATCTTAGAGTAGAAGATTTAAGTAATTGGATTGCAAATACTAGTTTTCTGCTAGCACTTCCCATTGTTATTATATTAAAAGAGTTTCCATCTCCTTAGTTTACTTTACAGAATACCTCATCCTTGGTAGGTATCAGGCTCCAAGAACAAGTGTAGGAAAGACCTATTGCATGAGAAAAGGAACTATACAGAGAAGAGGATTTCTATACCCCTGACACCCAGGGCAGGAGACACTCAGATATTCTTTTAGGCTTTTACTTGGTCGCATGGCAATTGCCCTGTGCCATGGCTTTTTTTGATTGGAATTCCTAAACTGAGAAATCAGACACTGAGTGGATTATATATTCTTGGCTGCCACTAGGAAAAGGAGTCATGGTCTCAGCAGGGATAGCGACATTGTTTTAATTTCTACCATCTCAAAACAGATGGAACCCTGGCTTAACTCTGGTTTTGGCTCTGCTAAACAGTTAGTATATGGAAATTGAATATTTAAATACAGTATATTTATCCCATTGTGTTTTAATTACCCATTTACTTGCTTATCTTTTCCCATGAGACTGTTGGTCCCTGAGTCTGCTTTTTCACCTTTATCTCCATTGCGTAGCACATAGCCTGGCACATCATTGGTGCTCATATCTGTTGAGTATGAGGGTGAAATAGCCCCATGGCACAGAAAATCCAAAATGTTTATTTGACGTGTTTAGAAGGTGGGTAGGAACATTTTCTTGCTTTTTGCATGTGTGGGACATTTTTACTGACAAACTTTGTTTTTAAGGAAGCAATGATAAAGACAAATATAAAGAGGTTGAATAAGCTGAAAAAATAGTCAGTGTTGACAATGTTTCTCAAAATGTGGCCTGAAGACCACTAGCTTCCTCCCGACAGCATGCTTATGGTCCACATTGCAATTTTTTCTTTTTCACTCTGTGTCCTCTGTCCCCCAATCTTCTACAATTTATTAAGTTTAATTTATTCTTGCTTCAAATCAAGGAAACCGTGTGGGGTTTTTAGTCTCCATTTTTAGAGGGAGAAATTGAGGCCAAATAAATGCAGTGGCTTGCCCTATCATGCCCCAGGAATCCCTGGACTCAGATGTGACTGTTTTTCAACCCCTGTTTTAAACATCCTGTTTGCTATTGGGCTCGGTGTCCCTTCCTGACCCATTTTGAAACAGATGGAAGAAAGGTCAGCAAGGAGGAAGTGGAGATATATGGGTTTGTTTTCTGGAAAACAAATGTAACTCAAGGATTTTTTTGTGTGTATTTTACTAATATGATCTTCAAAAATACCCACCAGGATCAACAAATATTTATATTGCGAACACGAAATGGCTCATCCTCAGAGATACCAGCTGTTCGTAAATTGTACCCAGAAAATAAAAGTATAAGATGTATATTTCTTTACAGAAACATATAATTTGTTTCTCTTTTCATCCTTTTAGTCTCTTCTAGATAGGCTATAGAATTATTTTGCTTGGCAAATTATGGAATAATTCTTGGCAAGCTTACAAAAAGAGAAGTTAAAGTAGAAAAGGATTAATTTCTAGACATAAGAATTTTGCTCTAAATCACAGTGGAGTTGAGCATGATATTTTAAGAATTAGCCATGATGAAAATTTGTTGTTGTTCCATCCGCTAAATGGTTGCTAAAAATGTGATAATATCTGGGGAAGGGTTCCCTTTATCTCTCCTCTCTCCCCTCCCTCCCCTTTCTCTCCTATCTTCTCCTCTTCTCTTTTTAAAATTTATTTCCAAGAATGCTCCATATATTAAGAAAAAACACCTATCAGGGTATTTGGTTGGAGTAACATCTTGTCATTTTTATTTTATTTATTTATTTTTTTTCAAGATGGAGTCTCACTCTCTTGCCCAGGCTGGAGTGCAGTGGTGCGATCTTGGCTCACTGCAATCTCTGCCTCCCAGGTTCAAGCGATTCTCTTGCCCCAGCCTCCTGAGTAGCTGGGATTACAGGCATGCACAACCACGCCTGGCTAATTTTTGTTCTTTTAGTAGAGATGGAGTTTCACCATGTTGGCCAGGCTGATCTTGAACTCCTGATCTCAGGTGATCCGCCTGCCTCAGCCTCCCAAAGTGCTGGGATTACAGATGTGAACCACCATGCCTGGCCGAACATCTTGTCCTCGATCCCACTTGGAGAACCCATTTGTGTGTGGCCCTGGGCAGTTAGGCTGCTTGATGCCTTTCAGCTTGCACTAAGCCACTCATGCTTTACATCCCGAGTTCCATATTTTATTTTATTTTTTTCCTTCAAACTTTTATTTTAGGTTCAGGGGGGTACATGTGCACTTTTGTTACATGGGTAAATTGCATGTCACTAGGGTTTGGTGTACAAATTATTTTGTCACCCAGGTAGTAAGCATACTACCTGATAGGTAGTTTTTTATCCTCATCCTCCTCCCACGCTTCACCCTCAAACAGGCCCCAGTGTCTTTTGTTGCCTTCTTTGTGTCCACGTGTACTCAGTGTTGAGCTCCCACTTATAAGTGAGAACATGTAATATTTGGTTTTCTGTTTCTGTGTTAGTTCACTTAGGATAATGGCCTTCAGCTGCACCCATGTTGTTGCAAAGGACATGCTTTCATTCTTTTTTATGCCTCCATAGCCATCCATGGTGTATATGTACCACAATTTCTTTATCAAGTCCACCTTTGGTGAGCATCTAGGTTGATTCCGTGTCTTTGCTATTGTAAATAGTGCTGTCACAAACATACGTGTGCATTTGTCTTTATGAGAGAATGATTTATATTTCTTTGGGTATATATCCAGTAATGAGATTGTTGGGTCAAATGGTAGTTCTGTTTTAAGTTCGTTGAGAAATCTCCAAACTGCTTTCCACAGTGACTAAACTAATTTACATTCCCACCAGCAGTGTCTAAGTGTTCCTGTTTTCTGACCTCCAGAGTTCCATATTTTATACTTTCAGTGTCTTGGTAGGAGTGAGGGGTGTGGAGTGTCCTTTGGCTGGAGATGGGATGGTGATGAAGGAGATGACAAATATTTCACCACTAATAATGTCAAAATGGAGGTGAAATTTTAAGTTTTCAATCAACATTTTTTGAAGTTGCTTGCTTAGATTTACTTTTTTTTAGAGAACTTTTAAAATTGATGCATAATATTTTACATACTTATGGGGCACCTGTGAGTGTTTGTTACATGCATAGAATGTATAATGATTGAGCCAGGGTATTTGGGGTATCCATCAACTTGAGTATTTACCATTTTTATGTGTTGGTATCATTTCAAGTTCTCTCTTTTAGTTTCTTTGAAATATACAAAATATTCTTAGTATAGTTACTCATTAACCAACCTCTCTTCATTCCTTGGCTTCCACTCACCCTCTCTTTCATTTCCAGTCTCTGGTTATGTATCATCCTATTCTTGATCTAGCAGAGATCAACTGTTTTAGCTACCACATATAAGTGAGAACATGTAATATTTGTCTTTCTGTACCTGGCTTATTTCACTTAACGTAATGGAACCTCCAGTTCCATCCATGTTGCTGTTAATAACAGGATTTCATCCTTTTTATGGCCAAATACTATTCCATTGTGTACATATATCACATTTTCTTTATCCATTGTCTGTTGATTCAATGAGCATTTAAAAAAAAAATTTAGTAACTCAAGAAAGTAGGACCTAAACTCAGGGACCTCACAGTTTCATTCTTTTCTGCTGGTTTTATGATTTCCTGGACCAGAGTTGCAGTAAAATGAATATACAGTTGACTTTCCTCCATGGGTATCTGGAGGAAAACAAATGAATCATAAAAGAGTTTTTCTATTATTGCATGAAAAGTACTAAAATACTACAAAGTGCTGCTCTGTTTTATAGAGGGAACCATGAAGTAGTAGTCTTTATGATGAGGTTTCTTGGAATTTTTTTAATGCAAGAGGATCTGAGGATGCAGATTGGATGTAAGTTATTAAACATCAAGACCATGGCAATAAAGATGCCACTGTTCTTTTGATAATGCACAGACCTTTGTACTTTTGTGTGTGGGCTTTCCTTTCAGAAGATAAATATATTTTTAAAACTTTGACAAATGAAGAGTGTTTTGACTGTTTGTGAGTTAAGGCAAAAAAGAATGATGGCATGAAATCAGTAATGTGCCCAGTGATTGATTCCACACTCATGTTGAGAATAAACCCATCTTAAGATGTTCCTTTTAAAAAAGTTTTTCCATATAATATATTCAAAGTCTTATAGGTCAGTATTTTTTATTTTACTTCTAATAAATTTTCTCTTGTAAGATATTTTTTGTTAGCTGCTGTTCCTTGGAATAATGTTTAAAAAGGGATTTGCTACATATGTATGAGATTTAAATATTTTGAAGTTTTCCCATCTTTTTTTCTTCTTGAAAGTCAAAACACCTCTGAAGATCAAAGAAATCTCTTTTCCCGATTATCCAGGAGTAGAATTTGGGATTTTATCTCAGGAGAAGTACACTTAGAAAATGTAAAAAGAAAAACAACAAAAGTCCCAGCTGGAGTGAGAAAAATCAATCCCTCACAGACGTTTTTGTCTGTGGCCAATTGGTGACTTTCCAACAGGGTCTGTCTTTTGAAATCTGGTTTCCTCTCTCCCAAATTAAACCCTGGTTGTATCTTAAAAAGAAAAGTCTCCACCATTCTGTCTACCATGACTCTCTATAAACTTTCCTTCATGAAGGAAAGGGAGAGCATTTTGAGAGTCTTGCAATAGTCAACATGGTGATTTCACAGTTGAGTTTACATTCTCTGCATTCTCTCCCGTAATATTTCTTTTACCTAAAGCAAATCCTATATTGAAACCTCAATAGCATCAGAAATCTTTCTTAAAAACAAGAAGTTTCGGTGACTTTTGATTATAACACAATATAACATTCACATAGTGTTCACAAGTGGCTACTTAAATTTATTTTTCATTTTTTTATGATTAAAACATTGTTTTCAGAGACAGGGTCCCACCATGTTGCCCAGGCTGGTCTTGAACTCCTGAGCTCAAGTAATCCTTCTGCCTTAGCCTTCCAAAGTGCTGGGATTACAGGCGTGAGCCACCATGCCTGGCACAAGTGGCTTTTAAGGTTCATAATATTAACCACACAGGTGATCTGTTTGGTTCATCACACTTTGATCTAGTGAAATAGTTGAGGATATTCAGTTATGAGGAGAAGACAAACCAATACAGATGAAGAAAAAAGTAAGCAATCTATTGGTATGTATCATGTGCATTTTTGGTACCTGCCAATTTAGAAGGCACTATGGCAAATAAAGCAGATGACATAGCCCCTGTGTACAGAGAACTTGGAGTCTGGAACAAGATGCAGAGGCAAAATGGTATTCCATTGTTCAGAGGCAGAGGTCTCGGCTGCAGTCACAAAAACTAACAGAAAGAGAGATGAAGGCAGGAAGACATATATAACTGTGAAATATTAGAGTCTTTTTTAGCATAACACTCTTTCAATTTTATTTTTCGAAAGTAATAGTCACCTCATTTTGCTTTTAAAATGGTTGTGGCTTCGTTTTGGCCTTGCCATGAGGTGATCCCCTTGCATTCCATATCTATCTCCCAAGGACCCAGGAGCTTAGATCATGAGTGTTTGCAAGTATCACCATAATTATTACCTTGCTCACTGGATAGGTTTGCCTTGCTGTAGGGCAGGTGAGGGGTTAGGGGAGACCACCGTTATCAGAAGTGCTTAGCTGCTTAGCCAGTGGGGAAGGCTTAGAGGCCTGACTATGTGCTTTACCTATCCAGGTAGCATCAGGGGTGTGATTCTCTAGGGGTGGGGAGATTCAGCATCTTTATCTCAGACCCAACAAGTTTGCTATCTGTGTCTTTTGGCTAAGGATTTTTCTCCTCTCAAAAATCTTTGAAAACTCACCAGGGTTTACCTGGCTAAGAATACCTGACTAGAGGGATAAGCATTTGCCTCCTTCATTAGGGTACTCAGCGATGTTGTCCTATAATTCCTCTGGAAGTCCCCGGTTTCCTAGTTCGACTGCTCCAACAGAGATGCTCAGGGAGCCCAAATGGCCACACAGTCATTCCTGCAAGAACAGCAGAACAAGGATAACAATGAGCAGCCCAGGAACAGCTGGAAGAGGAGAATGCCACATGTATTAAATCTCTGAGGATAGAAAAAATAAAGAGGAGGATCACATAGGAACCCCAAAGTGAAAGACATCAGGGCAGACACACTGAAATATGCTAGTTCACTTAGGACAAAGCTGTTTCTCACATGAATATTTCTAGGTAGGATGCTCCAGGGTGGGTAGTCCCAGGTACATACAGATTTAATGAACACTAATCATTTTTTAAACTGGTGATGTCCAGTAGAAATACGACGTTTGCCTCATATGTAATTTTTTTTTTTTTTTTTTGACACGGAGTCTCACTCTGTTGCCCAGGGTGGAGTGCAATGGCGCGATCTTGGCTCACTGCAACCTCCGCCTCTTGGGTTCAAGCGATTCTCCCACCTCAGCCTCCCGAGTAGCTGGGACTACAAGCTTGCATCACCGTGCTCAGCTAATTTTTGTATTTTTAGTAGAGATGGGGTTTCGCCGTGTTGGCCAGGCTGGTCTCAAGCTCCTGACCTCAGGTGATACACTGGCCTTGGCCTCTCAAAGTGCTGGGATTACAGGCGTGAACCACCACGCTGGGCCTATGTAATTTAAAACTGTCTAGTAGCCACACTAAGAAAGTAAAAAGAAACCAGTAAAATTAATTTTAATAATGTCAAGAGATTCAAAATACTATCATTTCAGCATGCAGTCAATTTTAAAAATTATAAATGAGGTAGTTTACATTATTTTTTCTTCTGTACTAGGTCTTCAACACTCAATGTGAATTTTACACTTACAGCACATCTCAATTTGGTCTAGTCACATTTTAAATGCTTGACAGCCATTGGTGGCAAGTGGCTTCCATAATGCACATTGCTGCTCTAGAGAATGGCCTAGTGGGCTAACTGGTCTCTGCATGAATAAAATCGTGTGTGTGTGTGTGTGTGTGTGTGTTTTACTGTATTGCTGAACAGCAATAGCCACACAAACTATTCTATTGCCCCTACTGAAGAAACAACCAACCAACCAAATAAAAAGCTAATAAGGACAGCTAGCCGGATTCTCACCAAACTTGAGAATTACTGGGGCCCAGAGGTGGGCCTTGGTGAGACTGGCAATTCTTCACAGAAGGTTTAGTGAGAATTTTGTGACTAAACATACTTACCAGCTGCACTCTGTGTGGTGTACTCTAAGGTAACATGAGCAATGCATTAATTTATTGCTGGTTAGAAGTTCTTGTCAGTGAGGTGGGAAAGGCCAGCTAGTGTTTTGATATGCCAACAGCCACGTAGATCCCTCACACTGGGACAGGCCGGTAGGAGAAGAACAAATTAAATTCATTCTCTTTTCCAGCCTGCACTGAGATTCAACCCAGATGCCTCGGTCTGTTGACCACAGTCTGTGTGCCCCAGTGCCTTGGTGGGGAGAAGGCACGTTGCTGGAATCGCTTGAGGGATGGAAATGGCCAGGGGTTTTGGAATAAAGGATATTTGCAGTAGAATGAAAATGATTGTTGACTTGCTTTGCTAGTTTTTCTCAATACTTAAATAAGAATATGGGTGTTTTTAACTGATTTTAAAAGTTTGGAGGAAGAGGAGCCTCACTAGGCACGCTGTTTACAGCGTTAATTTCCTGGGTACCATTGTTCTTCCTCAGAAAACCCAGATGATACAAACAAAATGACCATTTTTTTTTTCACTGTTGCTGAGAAAGAATTTGATTTGTAACAAGAAGTATACTCCACTTATAGGTGACATTTTTATTTTTGTTTTTCCCATTATACAAGTAATTTTATAGAAACCTGAAAAATTTTGAAAAGTATAAAGAAAACAATACAAAAATGCTCCTCTCACCATTCAGTGATGTACAAATATAACGGAAACTCATTATTTTCTTGAGTCTTTTTTTTCCTCTACAAATGTAAATATATTTAGGAGTTGAAATTATAAATATTTGTGTTCTTTTTCACTTGACATAGCATAAACATTTTACTATGGTTTATACATTCATACATTTACAGAATATAATCTGCTATAATATACCCATTCTTTCCCTTGTTGTTGGACTTTGAAATTTTATCTATTTCCTAAGTGACATGCAGAAAATTTTTAATTTTACTTGATTGAAATCCTACATAATATCTTGGTTTAAAAAAAAAATCACTATTTGGCCGGGCGCGGTGGCTCACATCTGTAATCCCAGCACTTTGGGAGGCCGAGGAGGGCGGATCACCTGAAGCCAGGAGTTCAAGACTAGCCTGGCCAACATGGTGAAACCCCGTCTTCACTAAAAATACAAAAATTAGCTGGGCATAGTGGTGCATGCCTGTAATCCCGACTACTGAGGAGGCTGAGGCAGGAGAATCACTTGAACCTGGGAGGTGGAGGTTGCAGTGAGCTGAGATGGTGATATTGCACTCCAGCCTGGGGGACAAGAATGAAATTCCGTCTCAAAAAAAAAAAAAAAGAAATCACTATTTGACATGCATAGTAAAATAATCAGCTACAAGGAGGAGCTGAAATTTAACAAAAGTTATTTCATGACCCTTTGTCTTGTATTCAGAAGCTCTTCACTGAAGTAGAGTTGTGCTGTGTGTCTTGAATAAAGCAACAAACAGTTGTGTGCAAATAACTTTTTTTTTTCTGGTCATGGACTGTTTGAGTTATTAGACACAACAACGGTGGACAATGGACATCAAGACAAAAGCCCACTCTTGCACTCCAAATCATGATACGTTCTTCCTCAAATTCAGGAAAAGCCATCCGATGGTATTTATTCTTATAGTGGCATTTGATTCCTTAATAAATGAGCTTTTTCCACAAAAATATTTCAATAAGAAATGTTGCCTGAAGTGCTGATGACACTGATGAAATTACAAGAGACTTGTATTTATTTATTTTTAGATTTCTATTATGAAAAAATTCAATTGATAGAAAGTAAACGGAATAGTATAATGACACTTATGTACCCTTCATCCAACTTCAACTATTATCAATAGCCTGCCATTCCCACTTCATCCATACTTTTACCCACTCCCCACACCTTCTACTTGATACACCACCTATGTAACTCCTATCCCAATCATGATATAAAACATTTCCATCTCTCCAGAAAATTCCTTCATGTCCCTTCCCATGTAATTCTTCTGCCCATCCCCCTG
Source organism: Homo sapiens (assembly GCF_000001405.40). Lineage (NCBI taxonomy): Eukaryota > Metazoa > Chordata > Mammalia > Primates > Hominidae > Homo > Homo sapiens. The sequence continues at coordinate 58,730,735 of NC_000014.9, forward strand.
TCCCAAGAGGCAACCGCCATTCCCATAAGTCTTACCTGAGATTTGTCTTGCCTATGTCTTAATGTCATGTAAATTGAATGATATTGTATATACCCTTTTGTGTCCAGCTTTTTCCACTAACATTATGTCTGTGAGATTCATCCGTGTGGTTGTGTGTATTGGTAGACTGTTCATTTTTATTGCCAAGTAGTAGTCTATTATAAAAATAGATCATATTGTGTTTACTCACTCAACGACTAACTGGTATTTGGATTATTCCCAGTTTGGGGCCATGAGCATTCTTGTATAAGCCTCTGTATGAAGACATGTTTTCAAATTCTCCTCCTAAATATGTAGGGGTAGAGTTTCTGGGTCAAAGGGTAGATATATTTTAAGTTTATAAGAAACTGCCAATGTTTTTTCCATTTCTGCCAACCACACCTGACAGTTCCGGTTGTTCTTCATCCTAGCTAACATTTGCTGTTGTCAGTCTTTTTAATTTTAGCTATTCTACTGGGTGTGTAGTGGGTATCTTGTTGTAGTCTTGTTTTGCACTTCTGTGATGACTAACAATGTCAAGCATTTTTTAATGTGGTTATTGTCCACTTAACTTTTTTTGTGAGATGTCTGCTCAAGAGACACTTATTTTTCAGGATCTGCTGAAGTAACCTCATGTCCTAGGTACTGTTTCTTTGGTTATGCCGGCGCACAGGATAAGAAGTGCATTTCTCAGTGTAGGGTGCATAGGAAAGTTCTGCAGGGTCACAGATTGCCTCTGCGCTTTATTATAGATTTCTCCTCTATTTGTGGCCCCTCTTTCAACTCTCTGGTATGATTCATTTCCTGCTACTTGCTTTCTGGACTTCTCCCTTGGCTGGGATTGTGATTCCCTTTGCCTTTTCTCTGTCTGCTTAGGGCAAGGTTTAATGGGAAGAAGCCATTACCAAATTCCTTTTGCTTTGTGGTTTTAACTCATAATGTGTCAGCATCTCCAAAGCTCCACTGAGAACTTAGGATCCCTTTCTAACCCAGAGTCATGAGAACTAAAAATATCTCAAATAACTCTATTTTGAAACATTGGAATTGAGTCAAGAAGTAATATATTTTGGGACTGCCAAGTGACTCCAACATTATTCATAGGAACTTAAGAGCATTTGGAGAAAGGCTGTGATTTATATCTAAATCACAGTGCTTATGTGATAAGCTAAATAAGGTTCCTCAAACTCTATGGTAAAAGACAAGAATGTTTTACAATTTCCAATAAATTATGGACCAATAGTTTTAGAAATAAAAGTGTTGCAGTGATGTTGACTTGCTAGAAAGGTTTCTATACATACACTTTCACTTTCTCCACAGAGACAGCTAATAGTTTGTAGACTGGCACCAGCCTGTGGGTCACTCTTTGAGCAACCTTGATTCAGAGCACTGAATCTGGAGCCAGACTGTTTGTGTTTGAATGCTGGCTCCATCATTGTTGGCTGGGTGGTCCTTTTTTTTTTTTTTTTCTCATCATTCAACTTGAAAGCTGGGTGGTCTTAAGGGAGCTTTTTGATTCGGTATTCTCATTTGTAAAATGGAGATGATGATAATAACAATGCCTGCTGCACATATTGTGGTGAAGATTAAATGAGTTCATATATGGAAAGTGCTTACAAGAGTGCCTGGCATATAGTAAGTGCATGATAAGCTTAGCTGCTATTATCATTGCCATATCCTAAATCCCAGGACACTTGCAGTTATAGCTATCAGAAATCCAGTTCAAGTTACTTAAACAAAAGGAATTTATTGGTTAGTTGTAACCAGGTGCTCATATGATGCTATCTAAGTCTGAGACTCCTTTTTCTTCTATGTTGGCTCTATTCTTACATGGACTTTCCCTATAGGTGTTGAGGTGGCTGGCAGTGCTCCAGCTTACATCTTACCAGTTCACAACCCAGTGGAATGAGAGTCTCATCTCTTACCTTTCCAAAGTTGTGGTTGTTACTTTCATTGGCTTGGCTTGGTTCTTGTCATGAGCCCACCAAAACCATAACAACTAAAAATTCAGAAGAGGTACTCCTCTTAAGAAAAGTGCAGTGCTGTTACCAGAATAAGAGAGAATGATTTTTTCTTTCAGATGACTGGGGAAACATGTTAGAATCTACTGGCTTTTTGGAATAAATAATGGTTTTGATCAATGATGGAGCTCTTAGGAAAAGATGTCCCAGAAGAAGAGAATACCATTTCTTTCCTGGGAGAAACTTCTAGCCTATGTGGTAGAAGGATGTGGGGGACAACTTAATGAAAACCATGATTTGGGCCTTCTAAAATGTGGTCTTCTTATCAGCAGGATATGGTGCTTTGGAAACTGTCTTAGTCTGTCTTGGATATAGCAGAATACCCAAGAATGGGTAACTTAGAAAGAACAGAAATTTATATTCTTACTATTCTGGAAGCTGGAACATCCAAGATCAAGGTGCCAGCATCTGGTGAGAGCTTTCTTGCTGTGTCCTCTGGAGAGGAGGAATGCCATATCCTCACATGGCAGAAGGAGAAGAGAGAGAGAGAGAGAGAGAGAGCGCAAGAGATAGCACAAGAGAGAGTGCAAGAGAGACCTCTCTCCCTTCATCAAGCCTTTTATAACAGCATTAATCTAAACATGTCCCATTGGGCTTCACCTCCCAACAGTGTTGCCTTGTACATTAAGTTTCCAGTTTCTGACATGTGAATTTCTGAGGGACACATTCAAGCCTAGCAGGTATATTTTTAAAAAATGACTTAATAAAATTAGCCAACATGAACCAGAAGAGCCTAACCTCTTACCAATAAGAAACTTAAGTAGATTAAACGTGGAAAATCTGAGTCCAGTGGCCATAGATGGAACACCTGCAATGTGAGGGAAAAAAAGGCATGGATGTTTTGCTCAAATCAAATGAGAAGGTGAGTGGGTGCCCCTTCCATTGCATCATTTGTTGGGACATTCTGTGCTGAGAACTCTATAGATTCTTTCAATGATGTGATGGAGGAAATGATTGGGGTTGTGAATGTTCTCATTTGTGCCCTTAATGCTTGCCAGGTTGTGAGAGGTTGGGAAGAAATTAGTTGATGTAGGATATGGAAACTTAGTTTATTTCTCTGCAGGCAGATGGCTAGGTCATGGAAACTTGTTGGAAAGATGGGACCCTTTGAGCTGCTTTCTTAGATCAAAGGCTTTTTTGAGTTTAAGGGGCTCTCAGAGACCCAATTTATTGGATCCCAGAGACTCACTGGACTGTACTTCCTTACTGAGGAGTGAAGACATCTAAACACATTCATTCTGAAACTGCAGAGAAAAAAACCCCAAGCCTAAGTGATATGGTTAAAGGAGTATAGGTGTTCACATTCACACCACAGGTAACTGGATACTTCACTGATTTTTAGTGGCTGAGCTGCTCTGAGCTCCCCAGAATCACAAGATTTGAAGAACTGTGTGGGCATTTAATAGAGGCAAAGCCCCTTTTGCAGATCAATTTTGCAAATTTTGATCCATGTGAATCTTACTTTAAATTTTTGTAGCTGTCTATTGGAGTTCTGTTATAACCTCAGAATGATCAAGTATTCATTTTTAAGATACCTTACTTTAAAGAAGAAGTGCTTAATTGAATTCCAATTCTGTTCACTAGGATGAAAAGTATCTTCAGAGTTTTGGAGATGAGTGTGTGAATTTCAAATAATCTAGAAATGCGGCCAAACTTTAGGAAATGTTTGCATCAATCTGGCTTTGTGGTGCAAACTGGCAGTTATGAATTTGAATATTCACTGCTACAATAGCATTAGAAACATGATATTGAGCCAGGCATGATGGCTCATGCCTGTAATCCCAGCACTTTGGTAGGCTGAGACAGGCGGATTGTGTGAGCCCAGGAGTTTGAGTACAGCGTGGGCAACACGGTAAACCCCTATCTCTACAAAAAATAATAATTGAAAAAAATTAGCTGGGGATGGTGGCATGCACCCGTATTCCCAGGTACTTGGGAGGCTGAGGTGGGAGGATCATCTGAGCCTGGGAGTTCGAGGCTGTGATGAGCTGTGATAGCGCCAGTGCACTCCAGCCCGAGTGAAAGAGTGAGACCCCGTCTCAAGCAAAACAAAACAAAAAACTGAAAACAAAAACAAAAACAACCCTGGTATTGAAATTGAGCTAGGCTCACACTGAAAATATTGAGTGATTTTTAAGCATGATTTCAGAACCCGTGCAAATCAAAGTGTGATCCAGAGAATCAGTATCATAGGCATAATTCAGCTTGTCAGAAATGTAGAATCTCAGGCTACCCTCTCTTCCCCTAGACCTACAGATTCAGAACTTGCATTTTAACAAGAGTTCCAAGTAATTCCTGTGCACATTAAAGTTGAGAAACGTTAGTGTATGCTTTTTTTCCCTTTCACCATCAGACACCAGAGATGATGATGAAAATTAGATTTTTCTGTCCTACCTGAGACTTTCATTCTGAGTTCTTCATAATCTCCAGGGGATTCCGCTGAATGGTCTGATTTTACTATTCAAACTAGAATCTCCAGTTAGTCTCTTAAATGGGGATTCTTATTCTTTGATTAAAATCATTAATGAATAGTCCAATATCCCTGTGTGCTTTTTTTTTTTTTATCTAGGCAATATTGATAGAGCTGATTTTATCTTACTGCCAAGATTACATGGTTTCAAATAGTCAACAAGTAATATTTTACTAGTGTTATCAACAGAAACTCATGTGACTCCCCTCTTTCCTACACACACACACATTCATGGATTTCTGACACAATAGTCACCAATGGAAAAAAATTGGGCTGTTTTGGCCACCATGAAACTTCTTTGATCATAGCTATTTAGATACATGTATTATCTTTGCTCCTAGATTCTATGGGAGATAAACACATTTTATTAAGTTACCAATTACTATAGATAACCTGAGAAACAAATTATTAAAGATCTTGTAGAGCACAAGTTCTGGAGACTCAAAGCTGGAAAGGAAGAAATTGCATTGCATGTGTGTGTGTCGGGAACAACTTTGCTGAGATTTGAGATTTGTGCGGAAAAACAGGGAACTGAGCTGGCTACCGGGAAGTACATTTCAGACAGAGGAACCATGAGTACAAACTCAGAAGAGGATAAGCACGGTGACTGTTCCTGGAATAAGAAGCACTCTAGTTTGGCATCTGCACTTATTTAGTTTATATATGCTAAGTACCTATGAGGTTTAAGGCTTAGAAAGTAAGTTAGGCTATAGTTTGGAGAGTAAGATGAGGAGAGGAATCTGGACTTCATTATTTGGGCAATTAGGAACTGGAAGTTTTAGGGAGAAACATGACCATATCTCTGTCTTTGGAAGATTTATCTGGCAAAAGGACTTTGGAGGGATGGGAGGTGTGAATAAATGGAAGAAGAAAAACATGGGGAGATTATAGAGGCAGTGGCAATGGGACTGGAAAAGAGGGAACAGATGGGAGGTCCACCAAGGATTTGAACTGTTATGGTGGTAGTAGGAATAAAAAGAACAGGGAGAAAGTGAAAATTCTAACAGAGATTCAATCTATAGAACTTGATGATCTCTTGGGTCTTTAGGGCTAAGGATTTTGAGATGATACCTCTCACCTTCCCATTCATCCAAATTATCTCTGGATGAATGAGAAAATAGTGACACCATTAAAAGAAACTGTAAAATTTTGGCTGGGTACAGTGACTCACACCTGTAATCTCAGCACTTTGGGAGACAGAGGTGGGAGGATCACTTGAGCCCAGGTGTTTGAGACCAGCCTGGGCAACATAGCAAGACCCTGTCTCTACTACAACTTAAAAAAAAAATTAGCCAGGTGGGGTGGTGCATGCCTGTGGTCCCAGCTTACTCAGGAGGTTGTGGTGGGAGGATTGCTTGAGCCTGGGAGTTCAAGGCTGCAGTGAACTATGACTCCACTACTGTACTCCAGCCTGGGTGACAGAGTGAGACGCTGTCTCTTAAAAAAAAAAGTCAAATCAGGGAAAGACTTTTTTAGTTTGAGGTAATATCATTACTTAGAAAATGATGGGTGGAAATGTTTAGTTGCCAGATAAAAATGTGAGTCTGGAGCCAAGAAGTTACGTACCCAAAATACAATAACCGAAGCCATAGCAGGGGAGGAACTCATCTAAGGAGGAAGTGTTAGGAAATAGAAATGGAACAATGATGAAAGTTAGGGGCCATCTACATTTAGGGGTGAATGGAGGAGAAAGAATCTTCAAGGTAATCAGAGAGAGACCGGAAAGGTGGGAAGAGAATTAGGCACTACTATTTTCTGTTTTGTTTTTTTTTTTTTTTTTTTTTTTTTTTTAGACAGAGTCTTGATGTTTCACCCAGGCTGGAGTGAAGTGGTGTGGTCTTGGCTCACTGCAACCTCCCCCACCTCGGGTTCCAGCGATTCTCCTACCTCTGGCTCCTGAGTAGCTGGGACTACAGGTATGCGCCACCACACCCAACTAATTTTGTATTTTTACTAGAGACGGGGTTTCGCTATGTTGGCCAGGCTGGTCTCGAACTCCTGACCTCAGTTGATCCACCCACCTCGACCTCTCAAAGTGCTGGGATTACAGGTGTGAGACACCGCACCCGGCGGGCACTACTATTTTCAAAAATCAGACAGAACCTTTCCAGATGAAGCAGGTAAGCAACGGTGTTAAACGGTATAGCAAAACAGAAGAATCGAGCATGAGGAAAGGCTGTCAGAGAGAAAAGGCAGGTAAGTGGCTCCCAGTGACCATGAAGGGAAATAGTTTCAGGAGAGCAGTAGGAACTGATGCCAGGACACAAAGCTTCACACAGTAACTAAGTACAGTTATGTGCCGCTTAAGGACGTTTTGGTCAATGACTGCATATATGACAGCGGTCCCTTAAATTATGATGGAGCTGAAAAATTCCTATCCTCTAGTAATGAAGCCAACATAATGTCACAGCGCCATGCATTTCTCATGTGTATGTAGTGATGCTATGTAAACAAACCTACTAGCTGACAGTCATAAAAATTATAGCACATACAATTGTGTATGCTACATAATACTTGATAATGAATGACTGTGTTTCTGGCTTATGTATTTACTGTAGCACAGTTGTTGTCATTATTTGAGAGTGTACTCCTTCTACTTATGCGGAAAAAAAGGGTTTTTGTAGGACAGCCTCAGGCAGGTTCTTTAGGTGGTATTTCAGAAGAAGGCATTGTTATCATAGGAGATGACAGCTCTGTGCATGTTATTGCCCCTGAAGACCTTCCAGTGGGACAAGATGTGGAGGTGGAAGACAGTGATATTGATGATCTTGCCCCTGTGTAGGCCTAGGCTAATGTGTGCGTGTTTGTCTTAATTTTTAACAAAAAAGTTTAAAAAGTAAAAAAAGAAAATAAAAAAATTAAAAAATAGAAAAAAGCTTATAGAATAAGGACATAAAGAAAAAAATTTGTTTGTACAGCTGTACAGTGTGTTTGTGTTTTAAGCTAAGTATTATTACAAAACAGAAAGTTAAAAAATTAAAAAGTGTATAAAGTAAAAATGTTATAGTAAGCAAAGGTTAACTTACTATTGAAAGAAAGTATTTGTTTATAAATTGAGTGTAGCCTAAGTGTGCAGTGTTTATAAAGTCTACAGTGGTGTACAGTCATGTTCTAGGCCTTCATGTTCACTCGCCACTCACTCACTGACTCACCCAGAGCAAATTCCCCTCCTGCAGTTCCATTCCTGGTACGTGCCCTAGACAGATGTGCCATTAAAAAAAATTGTTCTATTGTGTTTTAAATGTACCTTTTCTATATTTAGATACATAATTACTTATCATTGTGTTACAGTTGCCTACAGTATTCAGTACAGTAACATGCTGTACTGGTTTGTAGCCTGGGATCAATAGACTCTACCATATAGACTTGGTGTTTAGTAGGCCATATCATTTAAGTTTGTGTAGGTACATGCTATGATTTTTGCATAATGACAAAATTGCCTAGCAATGCATTTCTCAGAATGTATCCCCATCATTCAGCCATGCAAGACTGCACTTCAGTTGTGAAGGCTAGAAGCAAAGACTCCTCTTTCAAGAAACTGGTGGTGAAAGAAAGCAGAAAGAACGGACAGAAGAAGGAAACTGCAGGAAAGAAGAAATAAAGACCACCAAACTGATCTAAGTTATTATTATTAATTTTAATCAGATGACTACAGTTTATTTTAAGACTGAGACAATGGACCCAAACATAGGAGAAAAACTGATGTAATCATTTTTTGGGGTAATTTATGAGACATACGTCCCTGGAGGCCAGGAGGAATGGGAGAGGATGTAATCAAACACAAGGCTGAGCTGCTTCTCCTTCAGAGATGGACTAGTTTCAGCAACTGCCACTCCCTGCCCTCCAGATGTCCAAGATAGTAAAAGAGAAAAGAAGTGCATCAGATAAAAGTGATGCAGAGGGTTCCACTACAAACCACAGTCCCTCTATGCCGTGTTCCTGAGATTCTTTTTCTCTGTTTACATCCAAAGCCATGAGTAGCATAAAAAACAGTCATTCTCTTCTGAGTTGCATATGCTTTAACAACAACAACAACAACAAAAGACAGGAAGAAAAGCTTCATCCAAGGCAGAAGTTCTGCTTAGACTCTAGTGGGCTCCTCCATTTCTCTCCAGTGTTTTGTCAGCTTGTGTTATAATAGAAACCTGAGCTTGCAGTGGGAAGAGTGGGTTGAATCTGATTTTTGCAAATTGGTAATTATCTTGGGAAAAGTTAACCAAGTTACCTGAGCCTTAGTTCTGTTCATCTGTAAAATTGAGGGTAGTAGTGACCTTGAAAGTGGTCATGAACATTTAATGAGAAGACACATAGAGTATGTGGGACATGCACTTATGCTAGTGGGTCCTCAGTAACTGCTTTTTGAGAGGAGATTCAGTAAATTTCAAGATGGCAGAGTCTGTGTCTTATCCCCTGGGTTTGTGTCCTGGGGTGAGGGGGCTGACATCTTCCTTAATATGTCTGTCTTGAAGGCTTACCCCTATTGCGTTAGTCTCTTACTAGATTGCTTTCACCTTCAACAACTGTTGCCTTCTGTTTCACTTCCCTGAATAGGTGTTATTCTCTCTCTGTGCTTTCATTGTTCACAGGCTACACATTCTGCAACTGTTGTCAATTACATGCTGAGATGTCCATGGTGAATCTGTTGACCTTTCAACGGGTGTTTTAATTTTAGGAGAGGATGGTGGGAAGAAGGCAGCGCTCAACACTGTGGATCAACAGTCTGGTTCCAAACACAGGCCAAACCTGCAAATGTGATCCACAGATGTGCATCCTTGGCATCCCCTGGTAGCTTGCAAGAAATGCAGATTCTCAGGTCCTACCCAGAACCCTTTGAATTGGAATCTGTATTCTAGCAAGATCCCTAGGTGATTTATATGCACATTAAAGTTTGAAAAGCACTGTTTTAGGGAAATAACTATTTCATAAGGTGGTTTTGAGGATTTAATGGGAATACATGTACAGAACACCTAATGCATGTAGATGTGTAATAGAGTGCTTAATAAATACTCCTGGCAAATCCCAAGAGAGAAGAAAGAGCCCTCTGTCTCCAGGGCCAATGATGTATAAAGCAGATAAAGAGAAAGGACAAACAACGCAGCACTCTTTAGAGTACTAAAAAAGGAGGTGTGTGTATGTGTTTTGTTTTGTTTTGCCAGAGGAAAGGAAAATACTAAAGGCAGAGGAAGGAATGAAAAAACTGGCAAGTAAGAGCGAGAAAATATGGAATGGAAAAACAAAGTACTTAGGAATGAAATACCTTGAGGTGGTGAAAGAAGAAATAAACAAGGGGTAAAGAGCTCTTAAAATGTACCAGTGCTGAAAATTTGGATGAGGGGAAAACTAGATTTCTCCAGATTGGCAAGGAGGTGTGAGTGTGTGATGTGTAAAGAGAGACAGCCAAACTCAAGTGATTTAGCATAAGTCTGGCTTAAAAAGTTTAATAGTCCTCGTGTAACATGGTAAGCTTGTATTTTGAATTTTCACTCAAGGACATCTTTGTTCAGAGGAGCAGCGTGGTTTGGTTTTGTGCCCGGGTGACTGGAAGGAGTGGGAGGCAGGTGGCCAAAATGGGGACTGTGGGGTTGTGTTGAGGTGTCAGCAAACAGGCAGGAGAAGTGCTGGCCCTCAACAACAGATTCTTTTTGGGGTTCCAGGTGACTGGGTGAGTTTACTGTTAATCACATCCACACAAATGGGTGGGAACAAAATCACAGCCCCTATTCTACATCATGTGGATGGGATGGTGCCAGCATGTGGGCTGTGTTAGGGACACAGTGGCTTTTTCTAGGAAGTGAGGGAAGGTCTCAGCATTAGAGAGTGGAAGGAGACATTCTAGCTCCCTTCTATCCCACCTCAGCCCATGCCAATGAAGCATTTCAAAGCAGGAGGGGGAAGAGGGAGAGTCTGGCAATACAGGGATGAGAGAGAGAGACAGAGAGACATAGAGTGAGAGCGAGAGCTCAGTAAGCTTACTTAACTTTTGTGAATCTCTACTTTTCATCTGCAAAATGGGCCCTGCCTCTCTAAGATGTCATGAGGTAAATTAGTGTCAGTTCTTTAGAAAACGTTCTAAGACAAATCTTAGCCTTCGACAAAGATGGGAACTTAGAAATCTTATAGAACCAAATCCCTTCCTTTCACAGGCAAGGAACTGAGACTGGGGCAGCCAAGAGTCTTGCAGATCTTGCTTAGGGACACAGAGTTCTTAATAACAGATCTCCAAGTGGAACCCAGGTTTCCCAGTTCCCAACCTAAAGCTTAAAACATTGGGAAGCTCGTTTTACCATTTTCTATGTTAAATTCAGGAGATGAAGGGACTTGCACTTTAATTTCTGGATCGTTGACTTTGTTGACCTTCACTGCTAGGGCAAAGATCTATGCTTAATGATAAGTGTTTTAACAGTGGGTGATTCTGAGTCTGACTTTTTATTTTGCTGAAAGGAATAGCCTTTACATTTTACTCAAATTTTAACTTTTGGCGTGGCTCATTTTTATTACCTTTGTAATTACAGTGAATTCAGCATGCTTCACTGTTGTGGAATTTGTTGGTGTCTTGGAAAGATCACAGATAGGCTTTGACATACACAAACCTGGCTCAAATCCTACCTCTGCCACTTATTTGCGCTCTAACAACTCTGGACAAGTTCCTTAATTGTTTGGAGCCAGTTTTCTTTATAATAGATTCTACCTATTATGTTATGGAGTTATATTAATTATGAAGTTGTTTGATAGTATTAGAAATAATGTTTAAAAGTGCTTAGAATTAGAAAAGCGTCTGGAATATAATCAGAGTTCAATAAATGGTAGCTATCCACATCAATAAATACTCATTAAGCACCCAACTGAACAAAATATGATGGTTGATTGGGAGCTCAGTCTCCCACAAATAAAATATTTGCCACATGTCTTCACTGATCTGCCATAGTGTCTACATTGGAGGTAGCAAAAGTAGTAATTTAATAGTCTATTATCCAACCCCATCCCAAAACTGAAGTTGAACCCCTGACTGCAGATAATTGTTGAAATACTCAAATAATATTTCCTGCAATGCCTTAGCTACCCTTCTTTCCCACATTCTTTTTTTAAAGCCTTTGTGAGTTTTATTTAAATGTCTGAGATGAGAATGAAGCATATATTTCTGTGTTTATTCAGTACATTTCCCACATACACGGTAGGTGCTGAATTCACACACGTGACCCTAGAATCTTTTTTGGGTTCATCAACTGGTGTAATATCAAAAGTGGCAATTCAACAGAATTTTAACCTATCAATGGGCCAAACACATATATGACACTTTTAGTCGAATAACAACCATTGTCTCTCCGTTCATCACTTCTCCTATATTTTGCTTTGTGATGCTGGGTATAAGGCTCTGAAATTTACATTTCTCCTTTACCAGCTGGCTCTGCATTAGGCTCTATGATACAGGTACTGGAGGAAGACTGTAAGGCATGAGGAAAAAGGAGGGGCTTGTTCCTGTTGCATTTTTTATTCTTGCCAGTGTTGCCACAAAAATGGTCCTTTAATCTATGCACCTACAAATGGTACCAGTAGCATTTAGTTACCATTTCCAGATTTTTCCCACACTCTGAGATATATTAGCACACATGGCAGGTACCTGTACTCAAGAGGTCTGATCTAAGCTCCTCAGGGTCCCTTTTCCAATCTCTTAGGGTATCAGCATAAGCTGGGCAACATTACCTTCTCAGTGGCACCTTTCCCCGCTAATATATGTACTACTAATACATAGCTTTAGTTTTACATAGTACATACTATGTACTATCACCCATATAAATTGTAGAATACGCTAATATAAGCAGGGCCTGTCTTCGGGTTGGGGGGTAAGGGAGGGTTAGCATTAGGAGAAATACCTAATGTAGATGACAGGTTGATGGGTGCAGCAAACCACCGTGGCACATGTATACCTATGTAACAAACCTGCATGTTATGCACATGTATCCCAGAACTTAAAGTATAATAATAATAATAATAATAATTTCAAAAAAGACACTGGCAGACTAAAAAGGCACAAGAGGAACACTGGAGCACCACAGGTGTGAAGATCTGAATGTTTCTCCCCACCACTCCCCCTCCCTGCCAAAATTCATGTTGAAATCCTAACCCCTGAGTTGAGAGTATTTGGAGATGAAGACTTTGCAAGGTGATTAGGTATTGAGGGCAAAGCCCTCATGAATGATGTTAGTGCCCTTATAAAAGAGACCTTGGAGAGATCCCTTGAGCCTTCTGCCATGTGAGGACACAGTGAGAAGACAGGCATCTGTGAAGACGTGGTCCCTCACCAGACACTGAATCTGCCAGTGCCGTGTCAGCCTTCATAGCTGTGAGAAATAAATATCTGTTGTTCATAAGCCGTCCGCTCTATGCTATTTTGTTATAGTAGCCCAAATAAATCCCACATTCTTTCAGATTGTCGTGGTTGCTTGCTTGCTTGCCTTGTGGCCGGCTCTCACACCAGCCTGGGGACTGCTCTCCCATCAGGAAGTTTTCCTTCCATGGAGGTCTCTTGTTTTTCCTGATGTAGGTAGGCTGGCAGTAAATTCTAGGAGATAGGGTAAATCTACAGAAGCAGCTGCTTTTACAAAGAAAAAGGGCAAAGGTGGTCTGCTTGCCTGCTTTTTATTTTTTAAAGAAAGGACAATTCGCTTTTATTATTTTGCACAAAGTAGATAGTTTGGGCTTCATTCACATTGTAAGTGGTAAAGGAGCTATTCATGTGGGACAACTGGGAAATGACTTTTTGTGACCACGATAGGAAGAGACATGCTAATGTGATATTGAGCAGGGTCTGGATTTCCGTTTTGGCCTGTGGTTGGTCTCCCTGTCCAGGGGGACACACAAATGCAGCTCTAGAATACTGCTGAACAGTAGCATTAATATTCAGTGGCAAACCTTGATCTGTTGGTCTTAGAATACTGGTGTGAAGAGGGATATAGAATAAATAATTAGAATGTAATCTAATATTAGTAGCTATGGCCTGGCTTCCTGTGAGCTGGATTTAGGGATGCTTCGATTCTTAATACCATCAACAAGCAATTGAAATATACACATACATCAGAAGCCGGGTCACAGCTGGTATGCCATTGGGGTATTTTCAGGAGAGGAAATAAAGGATTTAGATGGGGCAGAAATAAATAAGCCACATTTCCCCTTGTCTGTGTTGTGCCAGACTGGGAGACTGTATATTTGTGAAAGAATCCACTTCACTGTATATTTCTTAGTGTCTTAACATGCACAGAGGAAATACTGCCCATCCTTTTAACAAGTTTTATATCATTGCCTTCACAACTTAGGATGAAATGCCCTTCGACCCTCTAAGGCTGAATAAATGCCCCACTAACTCCAGGAGGTTAATGTATCAAGATAGATTCTCATCTGCTAATCTCAAGGCCAACAGACCCAATTTGGAGTTATTTTACCCATCCTCAAAAGCTTGATTTTAATAGACTGTTGAGAAAGAGGTGTTTAAATTTCAGCAGCAATTCCATTTATACCCTACATGACATTTAGGGCTTAAGGGAATAGAAGGAATTGCTTATGGGAGACATCAAGCAAAAAAAAAAAAAAAAAAAGATCCTGATTTTTCTCCACACTCAGAACAGTGTGAGGGGAGTGAATCTCAGGGTTTTGTTTCATTTGCACAACATCAGGCAGTCAGCACATGTGTGAAATAGAGAACGCAGGCTGGGTTGTGACTAGCACCCAGGGTGACTGATTTATGTTTAAATGGAGCAATAAAAACTGTGGTAATCATAAGGCAAGTCAGTAAGGATCCCCCCAAAAAGTTAGTTCTCAGACATCCTGTCTCAGAAGAAACGATCTGTCCTGCAGTGGTTTTCTGTTCAGGCGACTGTATCGATTGTACTGGTCTGCTGTATTTTAGTAAAACTTGTTGATCCATTACTCAAGCAGGTTGCTGCTAGCCTGGATTCATTTGTTCTTTTCCAGCCACATTCCACTGTTGCTTGCTTAGGGAGCTTTTGGAGAGCACACTCGGTGGGTGGTGAATCCTCAAAACTGCAAGAAGCCATCAATCTCTTACTTTCAGAAGGCTGGAGATACCCTCAAATTATTTTCTCTTCAACCATCAGATTTTTGGGAAGATAAGCCTGAGGACAGCTCTTCCTTATGTCATCCTGAGCTGATTTTAGCACCCTTGAGGCGTTGTGTGTGGGGGAAGTATGACAAAACAAACCTGAGTGGAGCTCACTGGGGTCTGGTTTCCCAGATGCTGCTTTGGGATATGCCATCCAAACACATGATTTGTGCACTGACAGAACAAATAAAAATGGCCCCTGGTGTAAAGTCTATTGTCTCTGTCAAGAGAACCCAAAAGCCTCCCTGCCCTTTTCTCCTTTGAGTAGGGCTATTGGTTTTGGCTAAGCAAAGATGAGGTTCCTTTATGGCAGGTGAGCTGAGTGTCCCATGGGGAGAAAAGGGGTTTTGCTGGGTAAGGCAAGAGTATAAGGAACCGTGGATATGTGGAAAGAATGCTAAGATGGAGAGGACAGAGCTGGTGGGCAGGCCTGCCCTCCTTATCCCATCCCCAAAGCGGGTGAAGGGATGGCCACACAGCAGAGCCTGGCTTATCCAAAGGCACCCAACGCTGTGTTAAGACTCTCAACCTGGCTCAACTGTGCCATTGCCTCACCTTCATGGCTGGGACATTGCTGCCTCGATGAGGCCTCACCAATGGGCTTAGGCAAGGCCCAGGCATTGTTAAGATAGCTCACCCGGAAGTGCTAAATCTGGCCAGTTCCTGAGGGTGCTTTTTTGTTCTAGTAAAGCCCCACGTTTGGGAATCACCATTTTGTTGGAAATCTCTCTCTCTTCTTTTTGCAGTTATGTCATGTGATAGTCATCTTGTATAGTTAGGGACCATCTAGCATTCACCTCATCACCTCGAAGAGGGGCAATGGGTCATGGCCAGAGGTGCAGACTCCTGTGGGTTTTTATAACAACATATCAATCCAATATAGGACTTGACCTTGGGGGCCACTGTGCCTGTGAATGGAGCCCTTGGAAGAGAATCAGAAAGATTGATAAGAACTTCTCCTGTCTCAAGGCTGGCTGGGAGAGAACACAGTCTGATTTGCTCCATTTGGCTCTAAGTGAAGCTTCCTCCAAGAAGTGGCTTGAAATATGTTTTATGCATGATAAATGACAAGGGCTTATATAGTTCCCGCAGAGGTTATTGTGTCATCTGAGTTTGCAGATGAAATTCCAGGAGGTAGTTGTCACTGCATTATCATGGCTTTTGTCCAAGAACTCCACAGCCCCAGCAGCTCTCTATGTTCATAGCACCTTGATGAGAAGGTAGCACATAGGAATGGCCTTATTCTGCAGAAAAAAAAAAAAAAAAAAAAAAGACAGAGACAGGAGTTCTTAGGACTAGGTAGCCTGGATTTGTGCCTATTTCTTGTTAATTGCAGACTTTTGGAAAGCTCACTTTCTTGACGAGGCCTTTTTGCTCCAAAATAGTATTACTCCTGGTCACATGGATTGCTAATGATGCTCATGTTGTTCACATGGGGATTGAGACATCTGAGGTTTCTGAACAGAAAGGGGGCTCCTAAATGGCAGAGACTAATTATATTAGTATTTCCCCCTCATTATAGAAGGGGAATTTCTATAGAGTGCAAGAATTTCTATTTGGGGCACTAAAATGGTACAAGAAATAGAGTCGGTTCAGTTGGTCATTACTCACACAGCAGTCAACAGACTAAACAGTCCTAAATCAGGCAACTGTTTTAGTAACGATAATTTTTGTTTTCCTTGAGTAATTTGAAAATGCTTAATAAAATGGAACTATTTCTTTCTAACCAATTCCCTCCATTCATCTGGAAGGGTGTTTGTGAGTTTACATCTCTGGGATGGGGATGAGCAGTGGGGAGGCCACGGGGAGCAGTGCTGTATGACCTGAAGGTGGGCGATGGGGATGAGCAGTGGGGAGGTCGTGGGGAGCAGTGCTGGGTGACCTGCAGGCGGGCAAGTCTTCTTCAGAGGAGGAACGTCACACCCACCGCCTGACTCCCTTCTGGGTTAGCTCACTCCACTCTTCTGTTAGGCTTTGCCAACCAGGCCAACCACAAGGATACATCCCTAGATCTTGGGTGGCCACCGTGGTTCAGAACATAGATACAGAACTAATTTTATTTGCTACAACAAGCAAGAAGGCTGAGGTTTATTGAGCAATAGCTGGGTTTTGTCAAACTTGCTTAAGGATTGCCTAAGACCAGCAAAATAAACATGATAAAGTTGAAGAATGACCAGTTTTCCACTCTGCTGTGTTTGGAGGCTGACGAAACTGTCATTGACAAAATTGCCCTGATGGGACTGTTTTTTGTTGTTGTTGTTGTTGGTTGGTTTTTTTTTTTAATCTGTGAAATACTTTCCTGAATGGTAACTCGATTTTATTGTGAGTAATGAGTTCTGAGTATACCAGGGAGAGAAACAGTGAGAAAGCCTCCTGCAGAGGTTTTTAGCCCTCTCTCCTTCTGCTACAAAGATGTTATTGTTACATTTATACCCAACACAAAGACTCAGGGAATATTTGTGGAGTAATCGCCTGTTTATTTGTTTTATATATTATTATCATTTGTCTATGTATGACCCTTTTAAAAGTTAATTAAGTGATACCGTAAGTCCCTGTGAAATCATCACCCACGCCAGAACTGGAACCGAATCAACTTACCTCAAGACCCAAGCACTCTTCTTTATTCTGTCTTCTTCTAATACCCTCAGAGGCATTCATTATTCATTGTTTTTGACTTATGACAATATATCATTCAGTTTTATTTATTTTAAAACTTTATATAAAGAGTGTAATGCTATACGAAGTTTCTTGGAATTTGCCTTTTTCACTTAATATGATACTAAAATTTTCTGTGTTGTTGAACACAGCTGTAGTTCATTTATTTTCACTGCTGCATAATCCTTCATTACATTGATATATGCCATTTATTTATTTATCCTACCATTGATAGGTATTTTGTCATTTCCAGTTTTTTAGTATTATGCTGTTCAATGCTATGAACTTTCTTCTGTTCCTCTCCAGGTATATATGTGTAACTATTACTCTTGAGTATATATCTAGGAATGGAATGCTGAGCTGAAGGGTATAAGCACAGTCAACTTCTTTTTTTTTTTTTTTGAGACGGAGTCTTGCTGTGTCACCCAGGCTGGAGTGCAGTGGCGTGATCTCAGCTCAATGCAAGGTCCGCCTCCTGGGTTCACCCCATTCTCCTGCTTCAGTCTCCTGAGTAGCTGGGACTACAGATGCCCGCCACCACGCCTGGCTAATTTTGTTTTTGTACTTTTAGTAGAGATGGGGTTTCACCGTGTTAGCCAAGATGGTCTTAATCTTCTGACCTTGTGATCCGCCCACCTCGGCCTCCCAAAGTGTTGGGATTACAGGCAGGAGCCACCGCACCTGGCCTCAACTTCTTTTTTAACTTATGAATTGTTTATTTCCGGAATTTTCCATTTAATATTTTTGAACCACAGCTGACTGAGGGTAAGTAAAACCATGAAAAGTGAAAGCATGGATAAGGTGGAACTACTGTGCATGTGTATGTGTGTGTGTGTATGTGTGTATAGATATATCTATATACATATATGTATATACTATATAAATGTATATATCTATGTATACTCATACGTGTTTATAGATATACATTCTGTGTAAACTAGACTATGCGTTCTTTAACACTTAGAAATGAAGCACGATCAACTTTAAAACATAATGCCAACTGGCTTCCAGGAGTTGCATTTTTGATTTAAGAACAAGTCTTGTTTAATTCTTTAACAGCATGCACCAGATCTGTCATTTCTGGAATCTTGTGCGAATTGTGTATCAACTTGAGGGTGAGTGCTCGTGGGTTGTTGTGGTGGGCAAATGAGGCTATGTGGAGAACTTAGCAATGTTTTCAAAGAGACCTTGCCACACAGATGCTTTCAGAATTTAAATGACTCAGAAAGTTGTTTACTTTTGGCCCAAAGCCAATGTCTTCTGGAGGTAGTGAGTGCTGCTTTGGATGGGTTGGGATCAGCAGAGCATCTACCACAGAAATTCTAACAAAATGAGGGTTGGACCTGTGATAAGGGCAGCGTCAGCAGCAAGGGCCTCTAGAGGCTTGGTCACCACAACTATAAATCTTTCATGTAGTCGAACTTCCTGCTTTCACTTCACAGGGCCACTCACGGACTTGTCATCTGCTCTCACCAGGACTTCAGAGGATCTCAATGCTGCTGTTCTCACAGCCTGACAGGGACAAAATAACAGGAAACTTGCAAATTTGTCTTTATTCTTGCTTATGGTATGGCTAGAAAATGTTTGAATTAATATGAGAAATATAAAGATCTATCATAACCTCCTTTTTTGTAGGTGGGGCTACTTTTCCTTCCTTAATAGTTACCCTTCTGCTGAGGCCCCCTATGGGAAACACCAATCTTTAAGGGACTTAATCCCTTTTTCCAAACTTCCCTGGGCCAGTGCCCAAATGGTCTATACATTGTCTGTTAAATCAAAGAAACCAGCTTTCTTGTTTTTCTCTATGGTTTCTTCCCATGCAATTGACATCTTACAGTGCAACATGGAAATTTGAAATAAAGGCACACCATTGCACATCTAAGTTGAGATCTAGAGACGGTGGTTTGGAGTGAAGTTCTAATTAATAGGAGAAATGGGATTGCTAACTTTGGCTTTTCCCAGGGATCCTTAAGGTCTGGGACAGATCCCCCATTGGTCTAGAGGAGTTAGGGTTAATTGTAGTCCTGCTTGGAGACAAAGGTACTAAAATGTGACTACTGGCTTTTTCAGCTATAAAATTGAAGAGTCTCTGCATGGTCTGTTCCAGGCATCTCCCTGAGCCAGCCCAAGGAACTGCCTTTAGGTCTCTTCCTTATCCCTTCTCTCTCTCACGCCTTCTTTTGTTCCCTGCCCTTCTTCCTGGCCTCTCTCTCTTACTTTCATTTCTTCTGGCAATTAGTGGACAAGCCAGAAGAAAACAATTAAGATGGTCATCAATTTGGGCAGTATTCTGTTCACACTTATTTGAGACTTGTTCTGTAGTATATGTGAACATACTCAGGACGTAAATGAAATAGAATAGTGAGCCAGAAAATTGTGATAAATAAAGGTGCTTCTACCCATATTTTGTTTACATTCTGGGTGGTGCATGAGATTAAAAGCTGTGAGACTTTGCAAATAGAATGAGGTAGATGACTAGTTTTTGCTGTGCATAAGGTCAACAATATCACCCAACAAATAGCCAGCTCCTTGCCACACTCCCTTCCTTCATTCTAGTCATCTATCTTACAAGCATAATTGAATTAGATCCTCATAAAAGTCTTACAAGGCACATACTACTGATGGTAGTGGAGGCCTGTCTGGAGCGGCTGCTGCCATGATGCTGGCTTCAGGGGGTGAGGCATGGCCAGGGCTGCACACTCCAAAGAGCCAGCAGGAGCCGGGAAAAGGCAGAAGCCCTGGCAGGGCAGGAACCTTGTGCTCCCTGGGAGCAGCTGCGGCCATCCAGCTGTGGCTGTGGACCTGGGCATCCCTGTGCTCTTGGGAGCTGGGATTGGGCAGGAGCCCTGCCCTTCTGGAGTGTAGCTGCAGCTGCCCAAGCCATGGCTACGGACCTGGGCGTCCCCTCTTGGGGGCCTGGGAAAGGCCCCCTCCCACCTGCAGGCTTGGAAGTGCCTGCTCCCACTACCTGGCCTCTCCCTGCTCCCTGCACCTACTCTGATCTTGGAGCAAAGTTGAGGTCGAGCCCAGGAGCTGTTGCAACCTGGTTGGGTGTGTGCACAATTGGGGCAGCACTGACGCTCCAGCCCCCTGCTGCCTTGGCTGCCTCTGGACTTTGGGCACTGGTAAGCATGGGAGGGAGCCTGAGTGGGGGCTAAGGGCGGCTCTGCATGGGCCTTTAGGTGTCCCTCAGCATGAATAGCCTGGGTGACAGCAGGAGGCAGACAGGCTCCTGGGTGGAAAGGAGTGGGTCCCTAGTGAAGCTCTACCTTCGAGCTGGGGAAGGCCTGAAGCCTGACGGCCAGGCTGCCGGCCCCACAGACCAGAGTGGGAACTTACGGTACTTTTTCCAGGCCCACCCATGGCCACCCACGGACCAATCAGTAGGCACTTCTTCCTCTCTGAAGTCCATAAAAACCCCAGACTCAGACAGACTCAAGGAGATGACAGGACAACCTGCCTGCAGAGAGGAGCTCCCCACTCCAGGGTCTCCTCTCTGTTGAGAACTGAACACTCATCGGGACGCCCTGCCTGTGGAGAGGAGCTACCCAATGCAGGTCTCCTCTGAGCTGTTCTGTCACTCAATAAAGCTCCTCTTTGCCTTGCTAACTGTCCACTTTTCCCTGTACCTCATTCTTCCTGGATGCAGGACAATAACTCAGGACTCACTGAATGGTGGGGCTGAAAGAGCTGTAACACAAACAAGGCTGAAACACACCCCTTGCTCACCACACTGTGGGTGACAAGGAGAGAAGAGAGAAGGAGAGAAGAGTTGCGGCCCTTCAGGGAGCCCAGACCTAGGATCTCCCCCAGCCAGGGCTGTGACACCCTCTTTGGGGCTCTGCGGTTCCTGGTGTCTTCAAGCTTCTGAGCACCACTGGATTCCCCAGTGCCAGCTATGGAAGCTGCTTATGGTACACCTGGGCTGGCACCTGGAGCTGTCTGCCCCACCCACCACCAGCATGCCTGGCTGTGCACAGTGGCCGGACCCCATGCTTGCTCACTCATATACCCCTTACCGCTCCACTCGCTCTTGGCAGGTATGAGATCCAGGCCAGTAGAGCGAGCTGAGTGCAGCCTGCCAGGCTAAGTGGGCAGTACAAGCCCAGCAGGCCTGAGGAAAACTTGGGCAAAGGTGCCATTGGCCCTGTGGCTTTCAGCTGGACAAGCAACACCTCAAGAATCCCGTGACATTACTATAGTGGCCATTTGACAGATGAGGAAACCATGGCTCAGAAAAGTTAAGTACCTTGCCCGAAGTTACCTATTTGGATAGAGAAGGAGGTATATTAACCTCAACTGAAAGCCTGGCTTGGCTAAGGTCCCTCTGAATGGCTTGCTGTTATTAGAATTAGCGGGAACGGGGGCCTAGTACTAGCTGATGGAGAAGAGGCTCATACTAAACTGAGGATCCTTTGAGCTACAAAAAGCTGGGCACGTGAGCTATAGTCATTGCCATTGGCAGCTGGAGTCCATCCCGATCCCAAGGCTGGGACTCAAGCCACAAATGACCTGCTTCAAAGTATTTCTTAATTCAAATTAGGAATACTTTCATTCAGTCCATAAACAAGTCCATTAAATTATGAGTGTGGCTGTTCCATCTAAACAATCAGAAGTAATGCCTCTCACACTAAAGCACCTACTGCATTTTGAGGAATGAAAAATTTGCCTCTTAGCTAAATATATGACAGAATGTGATGTTTTAATGAAAACCTTGGTACAATTATTGTGAATCCAGTCCTTATCCTGAGCTCAGAATATGGCCCAAACTCTTTTCGGTTCTATTCATACTTTCAGCTAAGTGTCAGGATTCAGGGCATGCCCATAGCAAAGGCTGGGCTCAGTCACAGCAACAATAGAAAACGCAGTTCCAAGCAAAAGGCAGGAGCAGGCGTGTTGCTGGCAGACAGCCGACTTGGCAGGCAGTGGCGGGGCACCTTCCGGGAACTTTGCTCAACAGTCCAAGTGACCCCGAGAGTCCTATGAGAGAAGCTCAGAAAATCAGAAGCAGAGGGTCACATTTGATCAGTCCACAGTGTCTTCTGAGGAAAGGCCATCACATGTTTTACGGGGAGGCTGGCACCCATGTTACCAGTTCCTGTTTTTCTGTTAAATGTTACTGTTTAACAGAATAACCTTCCTGGTGCTGACTTGACCGACAAAAATAAATTTAAGGAGATATTAAACTGTTGAGAGTCAAGTGTAGAAGAGGAAGGGGAAATTCTTACAACCAATTGCAACTATGTATCCGAAAGCAAGGGGGCCAGAAGCTTTGTATTTTAATTGCAAATTTAAAAATTCCCAATCTTGTGATTTTCTTCCAAAGCAGTTGTTACTCAGCTCCTAACACTTCTCGTATTCTACACGTCTTTAATCACTCTTTTCACTTTTGCCTCAGGGAAGCAATATCCAATTTACGAACATGTTTTTTTCTAAAAGATTATTTGTAAACTGGTTATTGGGAACTAAAAATACATTTTTCCATAGAAGTTATAACGTTGTAAATAGCAGTTAAAATCTCAACAGACTCTTCATACAGTAAAACTCATTAATAATAATATACAGCTATTACTATAAGGAAGTGAGTTCCTCATTCTAATTCTAAATTGAGCCTCTACCTAATCAATTAACTCCTGTGGGCTCATGATTGTTCTAATCAAAAATAAGAGAACAGGCCAGGCATGATGGCTGATGCCTATAGTCTCAGTGCTTTGGGAGGCTGAGATGAGAGGATTGCTTGAAGCCAGAAGTTCGAGACCAGCCTGAACAATACCGTGAGACCCTATCTCTACAAACAATAAAAATTATCTGGGTGTGGTGGCATATATTTGTAGTACTAGATACTTGAGAGACTGAAGAAGGAGGACCCCTTGAGCCCAGGAGTTTAAGGCTGCAGTGAGCTATGGTTGTGTCACTGCACTCCAAACAGAGGAAGGTCCTGTCTCTAATAACAATAATAAAAATAGAACTATTCAAATCAAGAAATATCAAGTGTTTGTGTGGAATGCAACTTAAGCTCAATATTATAATGTCACACAGAATGGCATGAAGGCAATTAGGCCAGGGTCCGGGGGCGAGGGTGACTTCAGCTAGGCTTTGAAGAATGATTCAGATTTGAATTGGTGGAGGAAAAAGGGAAGATCATTTCAGGCAAAATGAGTAAAAATATGGAAATAGGAAGAATCCTGGATGGAAAATGAGATGTGGTAATGGGGATATGCTGGAGAAACTAAAGCTTTGTATGGAGAGTAGAACAGCCTTGGGACAGCTGAGCATTTGGACTGCCTCAAATGAGGAATTTGGAATTTAAAGAAAGAAGGTGTTTAATAAATATTTGTTGAATGAATGAAAGGATGTCTTATTTATATTATACTTTGGTTCCTAGCCTTCTCTCCCCCTGATTTATTTTATCTCACTG
Organism: Homo sapiens; assembly: GCF_000001405.40. Lineage (NCBI taxonomy): Eukaryota > Metazoa > Chordata > Mammalia > Primates > Hominidae > Homo > Homo sapiens. Next base: position 58,754,428 of record NC_000014.9, read on the forward strand.
TCTTCTCCTATTTCTTTCTTCTCAGGCCTCTTGAACCTTCTAGTTGTTTTTTTCCCAGCATATATAAAACTTTCTCCATCTTCCTACACAAGTGAGCAGGAGCATTTCCATGATTCTTAATTAAATCCAGTAGTTTTTGGAAATCCTGCTAAGGAGGCGTTACATCTCCATTTGCTGGCTCTTCATTCCTATTACAGGCCTCCTCCTCTCCCCACTGTGAGCCTGGGAGGGAGTGCACATGGGCGTCTTCAAGGTTTCTAAGTAGGCTGCTCAGCAGTGGGCTCCTCTGGCAGATCCCCAGCAACCCAGAGCCCTGAAGTTTTGCCCATATGCATGACAGATTTTATTTGATTTGTTTATATATTTTTTGAGACAGAGTCTCACTCTGTGGCCCAGGCTGCAGTGCAGTGGCATGATCTGGACTCACTGGAACCTCTGCCTCCTGAGTTCAAGCGATTCTTCCACCTCAGCACCCCTGAGTAGCTGGGACTACAGGCATGTGCCACTATGCGCGGCTAATTTTTGTATTTTTTGTAGAGACAAGGTTTTGTCATGTTACCCAGGCTGGTCTCAAACTCCTGGGCTCAAGTAATCCACCCACCTTGGCCTCCCAAAGTGCTAGGATTACAGGTGTGAGCCACCCCACCTGGCCTTATATCTATATTTTAATCAAAACAGTCTCCATGAACTTTATAACTGGATCTGAATTCCCACTCTTAGAGAGTCATTTGTTTCCTTTAGGCCAGAGTCCAGTTAAAAGTAGAAACTTATGTGGGTAAAGCCTTATTGTTCATTCAATGCTGAATGTGAATGAGTTTGAAGTCCTTTGAGTCATTAGGGCTTTGAGAAACATTCTCTAAGGAGTTGCTCTCAACCTGGGGAGCTGTATAAAACATGCAGACTATTGGGCCCCACTCTTGGGAATTCTTATTTGCTAGGTCTGAGGTATGGCCTGGGGATTTGCCATCCATGGCAGATAGAAACTCCTTGCATGATTCTGATACTAGTTAAAGCTGTAAAGCCGCTGATTATAGCACAGTGCCTTTCCCTTAGCAGAGAGTTATTGTGTTGAGTGCTTGAAGGGGAGGCCTAAGCCCGAATGGGCAGGCAGGCCTTGGTAAGATTCAGCTGTGGGGGCTTGTTTTCAAATGGGGCTCTGTGTTAAAATGGGAACTGCCTGCATAGAGAGTTTTTGGCCACTTTGGGCTACTCACTTGGGAGATGATGTCTGCTGTCGTCAGGAAAAGGGGGAGATTTTTTTCCCACTTCAGAGGCTTTCTTTGGGTATGCCAAATTGAGTTTGTTTAGGCTCTGTGCTGTGCAGAGCAGCTGGGGAGAGGAGGAGCTAGCAGCTAGCAGCTGGCTCTGAAGTTAGCATTCTGTGTGTAAACACCTTGGTACCTACAAGCCAGCAGCTTCAATGTCTTTTGTGACACCTCCTCCCTGGGAAGTTTCTACCTGTTGGCTATTGTGCCCACTGTTTCTACAGTGGTCCTACCATCAGGGCCTGTTTTGAGGCTTGTGGCCCTCAAATTTTTCCAGTGTAGAAATAGATTTCCCCAGTATAGAAATATTTGGTGGGGGAAGGGAATTTTGAACAAAATTACTCTGTAATCTCCCTGGTGATGGCCTTTGGCATGGCCTTTCTCTGTTTGCTTCACCCACAATATTCATGTGGCAAAGATAAAAACAATAATGGTCCTCTTTCTGGATCATTATAATTTGGAGGGTTTGCCCAGGTTGGGTGTAGACAAAGGGAAGGAATGATAATTTAAAGCAGATGTGCTATTCTTATGTAAACTGAGCCTGAGGTACTACAGGAAAACTTTGGCATTATTCAGGCCCTGAAACTGCATCTCTGAAAGTTCATTTTCCTGACAAGCATCTCTCCTCTTCTTCCTACTCCGTTCCCAGCCCATGTTCAGGAGAAAAGGCAATCATTGTAAACCAAGAGAAAATTCACCCAAGGATGTTCATCAAAGCTGGGTGTAGTTTCTGCCTTTTGCCCCAGCTGCAGGGTTGGAGGCAGGCATTGGTATGGCCGACAGGGTGGCCCCCGAGAGATGTCATACGTCTGCCATTCTCCTTTTTCTAACCAAAGAACTAGGTCCTTCCATTTGTGCTCTTTTAAAAACACATTCCTCTAGGGGTTAGGGGAGACATTCCAAACTCCCCTGGACTCTGGCATTTTTGTCACTGTATCCCAGCATATGTCCAGGGTCTTGGCACATAATGAGTGCTTTGAAATATTTGTTGAGTAGATGGTGATGACCATTCTACATTCTGGTTTTGGTTAGATTAAGACTGCTTATTTTTCCATTTTATAGATACCGAGATTTTTTCCTTATCTCAGTCATAATCTTCATGCCCTGCTCATACCCCTCGAAGGCCATCTTTGGGCCCTTGGAGGTGGAATAATACTTTATATTTTCTTCCATCACATGCCTTATTCTCTCAAGATTATCTTTTTTACTCCCTTTTACTTTTGGTCATCCATGTAGATGTGTGCAGCTATAGCTCATTGATTTTCTCTGCTGCCAGAGTCTTCCATGTGTGGAATCATTGGGTCATAAGTATATATATCTTCACCTTTACAAAATTATGTCAAATAGTTTTCCAAAGTGATTGTATCTATATCATTCTGTTCCAATTATTTAATGGTGCAAATGACCCCAAGTTGAGTGGATTAAAGCACCAATTTTATTTTGCTTATAATGTTGTGGGTCACGAGTGTGGGAGGAGCTTGGCTGAGCAGCTTGTCTCTAATCCATGTAATGTAAGCTGAGGCTGCTGGCACAAAGGATCCACACCTAACATGGCTTCATCACTCATATCCACATCTTGGTGCTCTTTGTCTCTCCACATGGCATCTCATCCTCTAGGGCCTGCCCACATGGCTTGGGGTTAAGAATGGTGGCCTCAGGGTAGTCTGACTTGCTATATATGGTGGCTCAATGTCCCAAGAACAAATGTTCCAAGTGTTTGGAAATGAATGCTATCAGTCTCTTAAGGCCTGGGCCTGGTAGTTTGCATAACAGCATTTCTGCCACATTCTATCAGTAAAGGGGTCATACGGCCTGCTGAGAATCATGGGGAGGAGGTATAGACCTCCCAAATCTTACAGGGGTAAATATGATAGGGAACAATAATTTGTGGTCGTCGTCTTTTATCTGCCATACATTCTCTGCAGTAAAATATCGAAGTTCTTTCGCTACACACCCTTGTTAACAACTACTATCATCAAACTTAAACACTTTTGCCAATCTAGTGACATGAAAAAATAGGAAGAATATTTTAAAACAACATTTATTGAATATTTACTGTGTGCATTTACAGGCATTGGGCTAAATGCTTTTCATTCCCTGCCCTAATTTTAATCTTAACGATAATCATGTGAAGTAGACGCTTATTACCCTCAGAGAGGTTAACTAACTTGCCAAAGGTCATCTAGCTATAGGTGTAGATTTGAAGAGACATTACCTGACTTCTAAGCCCATGCTTTTAATTTTTCCTTTTATCCCAAGAAGTGAGCTGAGATGATGATTTGAGACAGGGGCAGGACTATAAAGGAAATGTAAAACTATTGAGCTATGATGATTAAATAAAATATAAAGTAGTAGGAAAGAAAATATAATTTTAAAATGTTTTTTCATTTCACTTGGAGGTATGATGTCTCCCTTTCTCTATACCAAGCAATAAACAATATTTGACTCCAAAAGTAAAAACAAAACAAAGCAAAGCAATGCAACAGTCTGCCACCCCCAACCCAAAACTTTTTAGTGCTTGATAGGAATTGGTACTAGTTTTCAAAAGGGGGCTGGAGCTGACCTCAACATACGTAGAGCATGACTGAAGATGCAGATATACTTCTTTTATCTAAGTCAAGGCAACATTGCAGCTTTTGTGGTTTGACTAGCCCAGAAGGAAAGGATGAGAATATTCCCTGCACAGTAGGTTTTGGGTTACGCTTTCCTTACAGCCTAAATTGGAGTCTCATTGATCAATTTTCTATTCTTTGCTGTCCCTTTTCTCAAAGAATAACAACAAAGCTGCATGCATGAGCATGTCATCCACCAGCCAGATATTTACAGTGAACAAATCTACTTTTCCATAGTGTGAGGATTTCCAGGGCAAGTGCCCAAACCTCACAATGTCACATGCAGGCTTCTTGTGGTGATAGAACTTCATGACCTAACACATTTTTGTGTCTTATTTCATTCCTGATATGGATTCCCTCATCCTTGAGGAAAATAGGTCTTCTTCGTACATTTCAGAAATAACTCGTGAGTTCAAATCATAACTGATTTCCATGGCCACATTAGTTGCTTAAGGCCTGGGGTCTCAGATTCCAAATGACTTGGAATAATTTTTTAGATTATTTCTTCCCCAAACTTCAATCCCTCTCACAGACTGAATTAACCTTCTTCATCCTTTCCTTAACCTGTTCTTTTCCAGGTAAACTTCTTGGTTCACTTTTCCTGCTCTGAGCACCCTTTTGAGGAGTCTCAGTGTGTTTTCCTTGCATTTATTGCATTTTTTCTTTTTTTTGTATAGATAGAGATTTATTATAAGGAATTGGCTCATGCAGTTATGGAAGATTGTATATTGTGTTTCATTTTAACCAGCTTCTGTTTCATTAAAAATTAGTACTTCTAGGCTTTTACATTTTTCTATTGTTTTCAGTGTTGCTCAAAGCGATTGGAATTTTATCTATAATATTTAGCCAGGTTTGAATATCTCCCCAAAGGGATGAGATGTGGGTTATATATGGGATCATTCATCTTTGTTTCCTTGTCTTTTCTATCCTCAAGAAGTTTGGTTTAGTGGTTCAGTAGTTTGGCTTCATTTTCTGCTGCCCTGTTATTAGTTGAAAGCTGGACTCAAGAAATTATGATCACAAGGAAAATCTCTAGCTGCTAGTGTCATACACACAAATTATTGACTTAATACAGCAAAATTAGAAAACCTTTAAATATTTCATGCAGAATGTTATTTAGGATCTATTAATATATTTGCGGTTTAAAAAATAACAGAAATAAATGGAAGAAAATTTGAACTTGAAAATAACATACTACCCACTTGATTGTAGGGGACCCAAATTCCTCATGGTGGTATTCTCAGCCCTGACAGCTCTCCTCTCCTAGATGATTAAATAACCTTCTTAGTTCTTAGGAATAGATTTCCAATTGTGGTGACCTTTAATGGTGACCATATGACACGGAGTCAGGGAGGAGTGTGCAGATGTCTCTTGTGGAAATGGTGATATCAGTGAAGTGTGAAAATGTGTCTGCTTCTTTCTTAAATCAAAGCCAACAGTCACTTAAAAAGATGCATCAATTATTAAGAGCTCTAAACTTAACTTTATGTTAACATTAATAGAATAGAACTTTTGGTTCTACTTAGCCTGGTTAAAATGCCTGATAAGCTTTTCTAGGAAAATATCTCTTATTGGGAACACAAGTAAAAAATGTGTAAAGGGATATCGTCCTATTTTTCTGTATTGAACCAGAAGTGTATCCTAGACAATCCCTAGGAATTCCCCTTGCTCCAAAATGCTATGATCTCAGGTAGAAATGAAATCTTTAGCCTGAAACACAGAGTCAGAATCTGAAGAGCCCATTTTTTCCTCTTTCTGGCTTTTCCAGTTTACAATGATTGTCAGGTGCCTTCTTTTTAGACTTTCAGGGATGTTCAAAACAAAACATGACACAACAAAGTGTTCTTTCTCCACAGGCATCATTGGTCTCCACAGGCTATTGTGGGTGAGAGATGATTTAATTAAGAATTGGGCACCTATAACATTGGGAAAACAAGGTCTTTGTGTAAAACGTGTTCCCAAGGGGAGTTCTGGGAGGGATGCTGGAACCAGGACAGCTTGAGATCCCAGACACCGTGCTCATCTGCCATGAGTGCTCCAGCAAATGGGCTGTTGCTTTTCAGGCTCCTCCTCCATTCTATTCAGGCTGCCTCTGTGTTTTTTTTTCTTTCTTTTGAAAGGCTATGAATGATTTATTTGTCTTTGCTTTTTAAGTGATGCCCCATTATGTTTATAATACTATATACCACATATACCTAAATAAAAGACAACTAAGAGCAAAAAATATGTTTGGCCAATTTGAAAATTCTTTATATCTCTATATATTTTAGAAATATAGATGAGATATTCAAATGTCAACAGATATTTAATTTATTAATACAGGTACTCATTTATATTTAAAATAACATCTTAATATTAAAATATTATTTTTTCCACTCTGTTTCCTGAAATGATTTTATTCAAACACTTTACATGTATTTTTTCTTGACTTCTATTTGAATCACCTAACATGGCTTTCTAGGCTCATTCGACTCACTTCCAAGTTGTTTGGGAAGCACTGTTTTTGAATCCCTGTTCAATGTGATAACAGGAACTGCTGTGCCAGGCCAGAAGGACTTATTTGGCCAACATTAGGTGGTTGGCTTCTCATTGTCATGTAGGCATATATTTGTGATCATCAAAATGTAACCACTTACTATGTTGCTTTTAAAAGTTATTTTTAAATGCTTGTTGCTCTATTTTTAACTACATTTGATAATTGCAAATACAAATCTTAACCTTTATGAATAAATGACTGAATCCAGGTTAAATTTCTCATTTCCTTTTTTACCCATACTGACATTTATAAGGACCCCAAGCAAGTATGGATTGAGGTTGTTTTAGGCTTGTATGCTTTTCCCATGAGATACTTTGTAGTTCAAAATAAAATACTTGAAAAAAAAAAAAAAACCTTCTTTGTGAGATTTTGTCAGGCAACTCATTTTATAAGGAACAATCCCAGGAATGTAACAGAAAATGTTTGCCTTACATTAGGGCATTAGAAATATAATGAAGTGAGTTCCCTAACAAGAGATAGAAGGTATATTAGTCCATTTTTACATTTCTATAAAGAAATACCCAGCCGGGAACGGTGGTTCACGCCTGTAATCCAGCACTTTGGGAGGCCGAGGTGGGTGGATCACCTGAGGTCAGGAGTTTGAGACCAGCCTGGCCAACATGGTGAAACCCCGTCTCTACTAAAAAAAAAAAAACAAAACACAAAAATTAGCCAGGTGTGGTGGCAGGCACCTGTAATCCCAGCTACTTGGGAGGCTGAGGCAAGAGAATCACTTGAACCTGGGAGGCAGAGGTTGCAGTGAGCTGAGATCGCGCCATCACACTCCAGCCTGGGGGACATGAGCGAGACTTCATCTCCAAAAAAAAAAAAGAAAAAGAAATACCCGACACTGGGTAATTTATAAAGGAAAGAGGTTTAATGGACTCACAGTTCTGCATGGCTGGGGAGGCCTCAGGAAACTTACAATCATGGTGGAAGGCAAAGGAGAAGCAAGGACCTCACAGGGCGGCAGGAAAGAGAGAGAGAGTGTGAAGGAAGAACTGCCAGACACTTATAAAACCATCAGATCTCATGAGAACTTACTCACTATCACGAGAATAGTGTGGGGGAAACCACCCCATGATCCAATCATCTCCCATCAGGCACCTCCCTCAACACCTGAGGATTATGGGGAGTACAATTCGAGATGAGATTTGGGTAGGGACATAGAGCCAAAACATATAAAAAGGACTGCAGTAATTCTATGTTTCTATTTAATATGCCCATTTTATTTGTATAATATGTGGAAGTGCATGGTAGTTTTCTTTTCCTACTTTCTACTTAAAGGTAAGGCTGATAAACCAGGGGTTGAAGCTTGGAGAAGGCCTCTCTCCTTGCTTGTTGTTTGTCTCATGGGTACATCCAGAAATCGCCTTAGAAAACAGACAGGAAGGATTATGTTTGCTGATCAAACCGTTTGAATGAACCTCACGCTTTGGACAGAGAAAGAAATCAGATTATGTTAAAACACTTTTAAGCATTGAAAAGATCATGAATGATGAAAGCCCAGTGATGTACCTGTCAGGGTGCATGAGATGTCAGTGGTGTACCTGTATGCTGCTTTGGAGTGACCTTGGACATTTCTTAATACAGTCCTTGCCATCACTGTCATCACTGTCATTATTGTCACCATTACGATCTTTCCCTGATTACTTGCTATGCCAAGGACTGCACATGTTGATTTTCACAAATCGTTTCTCTTGGTTCACACAGTTAATGATCCAGCCTCGCTGTGGTTGGAAAGTTTGGAGAGGAAAATAGTTTTAATAATAACTGTCTTGCACACCTTGGTAGCTTGTTTTCGGCCCACTTCAATCTTTGAAAAATTAAAATCCATAAGGTTGTGAAGGAAACTAGCCTTATGCAAAATGACAAAGTAAGACAAAGAGGTTTTTCAGTCTTTTTCATTCTTTTCATCTTCCCCTTGGCAGCATTCCCAGCTCCAGGACCATACTTTCTTTGACCTTCCCCCTTCCTCTTTTGCTTTCTTTTGGGATTCTGCCCCCTGTTAAGGCTAATTTGAGGCAATTAAATTACTCTAAGATTGAAATTTTGAAGGCTTTGGCTTGAAGCTTGGGTTTCCCACTTAAGAACTGTGTTATCTTGAGCCAATCATTTAAGCTTTCTAAGCCTCAGTTTTTTTATCTGTGTTGAAAATGGCTGTGTGTGAATTAAAAGAGATAATGTGTGTTGCTGAGGCTAAAGTGTGATTACGGTCCCACATATTATTTGCATTTTAATGTGGCCTTTAATTGAGAAGTGTCTGAATTTGAGAATTTGAGCTATAGAAGTTTGATGAGGGAAATAGGATGTGTGCTTGGGGAACAGGTTTGGATGCAGGGCTACCTGCACCCCTAGAATAATTTATGGTTGGGAGGTCATGTTTGTTGCCTATTGGCATCTGCCCCCATCTTCTTAACTCTCAGATTAGAACAACAGACACTTTAAGCCCAGAAGAAGTTGTTTAGGCCCATATGATGTAATGGAAAGGTAGATGGTCTTGCCCAATATCGCACAGGTCACTAGCGTCAAAGCTGGGGTGAGAGCCATTTGTCATCACTCCCAGTAGTGGAATTGGCAATGTTTAGTCTGAAGAAAGCTTGTTAAATACCATTTCCTCCTAAGAGTTCCTAACGGAAGCTTTTAGATACCTAATGCTTACTTTTTGTGCATCCTCTGGGTGGAGTGATTTCACAAGAGCCTTAAAAAGGGAGTCATCTGGACCTGACAGTCCCAAAGCCGGTTAGGACTGCACCAGGTGGAGATTAGCATCTCTTGGACTCCAGAGACACTGCCTGAGTTCCCAGATATTCAAGGAATTGGGGAGAGCTCTATGAATGAATTCAGTGGATTTCTGAAGTTGTAAACTGACTTTCACCTGAAGACTCTTGTCTGAGGCTCTTAACATTTTTATGTTGAAACACTCCAAGCATATAGTAAAGAATTAAGCAAAAGTAGGGAACACTGAACTCACTGCGGCTTCTTAAATCTTTCTCTTTTTTTTGCCATTTCACTTTTTTTTTTCTTTGAGATAGACTCTCGCTCCGTCACCCAGGCTGGAGTGCCGTGGTTCACTGCAACTTCTGCCTCTTGAGTTCAAGCGATTCTCCGGCCTTAGCCTCCTGAGTAGCTGGGATTACAGGCACATGCCACCACGCCTGGCTAATTTTTGTATTTTTAGTAGAGATGGGGTTTCACCATGTTGGCTAGGCTGGTCTCGAACTCCTGACCTCAGGTGATCCGCCCACCTCGGCCTTCCAAAGTGCTGGAATTACAGGCATGAGCCACCGCGCCCAGCCTCATATCACTTTTTAAAGAAAGAAAATGAAACAGGTACTGAAGTTTTTTGGCTTTTTAAAATCTATGATCCTTGAGTATTCTTTCCCCCCAGAAGCCATTGCTCTAAATTTGGTGTTTATAATTATTTTTGCACATTTTATACTTGACTTATGAATCTGCAGACATAAGTATTTATCCATGAGTAGTATAAGTCAAGTTTTGCATGTTTTTAAAATTTATATAAATAGCATCAGACCATATGATTTCCATACCTTGCTTATTTTGTTTAACTTTGTGTTTTGGAGATTTATCCATGTTGAGACATGTAGCCCATAATATTTTAACGTCAATAATTTACATGGTAGGAATATTCAACTGTTATTTGCCACTTATTTGTTGCTCACCTGTCTCACTATCTTCATACTACATTTTAATCTCCTCTCAATCATTTCATTTTGTGACTTCTTCAGAGTTGTGCAGTGAACCACGGCTCACTATTAGGACATAAAAATGCAGGTCGCCGCACAGAATCTAAAGGTGTGCATGTACGGTTTTGAATGGTACTAATATGGAATTCCATTCTGGATGCTGCAAGGGCCACCTCTAAGCTTTGAGTAAGAAATCTGTTTTAGCAATGCTAGATTTCATTTTTTCTTTTTTTTTTTTTTTGATGGAGTCTGGCTCTGTCGCCCAGGCTGGAGTGCAGTGGCGCTATCTCAGCTCAGTGCAAGCTCCGCCTCCCGGGTTCACGCCATTCTCCTGCCTCAGCCTCCCGAGTAGCTGGGACTACGGGCGCCGCCACCATGCCTGGCTAAGATTTTGTATTTTTTAGTAGAGACGGGGTTTCACCGTGTTAGCCAGGATGGTCTCAATCTCCTGACCTCATGATCCGCCTGCCCCTGCCTTCCAAAGTGCTGGGATTACAGGCGTGAGCCACCGTGCCCGGCCCTCGTTTTTTCTTAAGGCGTATTTAAAGCAGACCTCAGAGTGACTTTAGGGTTGTATTTTGAAGGAACATTTATTTTTTAAACAAACTATCATTCCCCCTCCCTGCCTGCCATTATTGTGTTTTCTTCATCCAGCTTAGGATGAGGCACAGTTAAATCTTGATTGTTGCTCAGGAGTTTTGTGCTGATTTATCCTTTATTTGCCCCATGTTCTTGAAAATCCATTAAAAAAGAGGAATAAAAAGGCTTTAGGAGGTTAGTGTGGTTATTTCAGGGAGGAATGTCAGGAAAGACTATCCCCCCTCCCTATGACCCCTCAGAACCTCCCTTTTCTCCTCATCCTGCCAGGCTCCCTGGTACGCCCCTCCCTGAGCAGCGTGGCTCTGTCTCCACAGGTCCGCTTCTGTCCCTTCTTGTGCTCTTTTCCTGGATCCTTGAGCTCCACTGAAGCCATTCCATCTGGTCATGGGACATCTGTGATTTCAGTCTAATGACATTTCGTGAGGCTGGGATCCTGTGTCCCAGCACTCTTTGGGGAGAGCTATTTCCAGGAAGGCGAGGGCCTGCGGTCAGTGAGGCAGACAGCACAGCTGCAGGGGACGGCGTGGACAAAACTAAACCCTCCCACAGCTGAGTGCATGTCATCAATGTAAACGTTGATCTCCTTTTTTTAAATCCTCAAGGGACCCCGAGGAGCGGGCTGTGTCTCTGGAACCTTAACTAGGCAAAAATTGGTATTATGGTTGGAAATGCAGCTGGCCAACGCAAGAAGCTTCAAGAGCTGAGAGGGTCACAGAGAGGTCAAGGGGAAGGGAGGTGGGGGAGTGAAGGGGCTCAGATGAAATATTTCAGGGATTGTAAGCTGTTAAATAAATATTCCCGCCCCTACCCTTGGCTTATCAAGCCATCCTAAGCTTTTGAAGCTTACTAATCTTGCCCCCCTTAAACTCCCTGTGTTCCAGTCGGTAGCGACTGGATCAGCTTTTGACTGTCACAGTGTCCCAGAAACAAGGCAAATGAATGCTGGGAGGCTTGTTATCAAGAGGGCAGTCAGTATCTGTGAGGGCCTGGGGCCTGCTGAGAAAGTCAAAGTGAAGGTGAGTGCCCTTCTGAACTCTGGATCGGATCACCTCTCTCGTCTTCTGTCCCGGTGCTGAATTAAGGACTGGGGTGCCCTGGGGGCCCTGGCTGAGGTCTCCCAGGTTTCTCTTTCTGGTACAAGCTAATTATTTATGATATTTCATTTAAGATGTTCATTGCTTAATTGCAAAATTATCAAAACCAAAACAGTAGTAACCAGGCATGATGAGCTGGTGGTAAAGTGGTCACAGGATTGAAAATGTTTGAGAATAATAGTTTTCAAGTGTTTCCTGCTGGCCACATGGATGCCACAGCCTATCTCAGGACATGGTGAATGATATCGAAGAAGAGTTAAAACTGTCTGAACACTCATCATATGTCTCATAGTTTGCTAAACTTCTATATGTATTCTCATTTCATTTTTCCTTATCTCTGTTTTACAGATAAGACTGAGGCTTAGAGAGATCCAGTCATTTCATAGCTGATACATGGAAGAATCAAGATGCAAACCCAGGTCTGAAAGGATCTGAAGTGTATATATATTTTTTCTTTTTGCTGTTACATCACCACAGTGTGGGCCACACATCTGTGTGTGGCATACAGCATATGGTATTATATTTCAATTTGGTGACTTGAGGATGCCAACCAATTTAGAAATTGCTTTTCTTGTATTAGTGTTCTATACAAAGTCCATAGGGCTTATGATATAAAATTAGGAGAAATCTTTGGTTGTTCTTTTTTTTTTCTAGTCAAGCTGACCACTTAAATCATTTGTTCATTCATTCAACATTTATTAGGTGTCTAGTTTGTGCCAGATACAGTGCTAAATGCTGGGGAAACGATGGCAAGCAACAGCAGCAATGGACCTGGGTCCATGGAGCTAGAGTCAAATGTAATCAAATAATTACAACAATGTGGAGTTTCTCTTGGGATAAGTGCTGTGAAAAGAGAGGTACAGGGTGTGAATGTTCATGGTACGTGGATGTGACTGATCTGAAAGGTCAGGAAGGCTTCCTGGGAAGCAGTGCAGGAGCAATGTGCACATGGAGAGACTCCGTGACTATTGGAGGTAGATGAAGCCTCGTGGCACTGCCTTTGGCTGCTCAGCAGAGGAGCACCCATCGGGCAGGCAGGGTCCTTGGATTTGGCCTCTCACTTGGGATCACCTCTTTGGCCTCGAGAAAAGATGTTCCAGGTTATGAGAAGTCCAGGCCTGTTTGGGGAATCAACCAAGCATTTCATAATTCAAGTACAACTTAGCATAGAATGCCCAGGAAGCAGGAGGCTCCCACTTGTCCAACCTGAATGTCTCCTGTTTGTTGGAGGGTGGTTATAATAGGGACTAGCACTGTTTATCTTGTAGAAGGTCAGTCCCTAGAATAATCTTTATTTAGCCTTCGTGAAGATACATACAGTGACGTTTCTTCTACACAGAAGAGCACTCATAAAGTCCTTGAATCTTAATGGTGGAAGGACGTTAATGAATGTTAATGGAGAAGGATCATATTTGGGTCTATCACCTTTCTGGCAATGAGGAAAGTAAAGCTCAGTGGTCAGATTTATGTGGCTAGGCTCATTGATGTATTCACTCTCCTGGGTGCTGTGGCCACAGAGGTGATCAAACTAGACAAGACGCCTGCCCTCATTGAGGTACATTCTAGTGGGTCTCCAGTTTCCTAGTTCCAGTCCAGTTTTCTTTTATGACATATTCACTTTCCAGACCTTACTCCTTCTTGGAAATGAGTTCTCCTTGGGGCAAACAGGCATTATTTTGATTAATGGCCCTCCTAAAATTTGGAGCCTATAGTTAAAATAACCAAGCAAATGTCTGTGAGAACTTTCTGTGGCTGAATAATGCCAACATTTTCTTTAATTAACATACAGTTGCTTTTTCGGAAAAGGGAGCATTATAGCCCCATGACAAAGCCGTGCTCTTTCTTGACTCCTAGTACTGGCTACTGTGGGCTTCAGATGGGGGATTGTTAAGAAAATATTGCCACATGTGGTGGCTCACGCCTGTAATGGCAGCACTTTGGGAGGCTGAGGTGGAAGGATTGCTTAAGCCCAAGAGTTTGAGGATGCAGTGAGCCACGATCATGCCACTGCACTACAGCCTGGGCAACAGATTGGGAGCCTGCCTCAAAAAATATTAATTTTTAATTTATTGCTTTTTTATTGCATCAACAACATATTAATTTTTAATTACTGTTTTTGTTTATTAATTCTTAGGCTAAGGGTAATAGTCTCCAAGCTGGAGGCTGAAAAATAATCTATTTCTTCTTATCATCACTGAGGCCTACAATCTTCTTTTCAGATAACTTTTTCATGTCATTATTTCTGTGTTAAATGGGGAATTAGATATTTTTCTCTATAAATAGCTATCCCTGAAAAGTAGTATGTACCTGCTGAGTGCTTGTCACCAGTTTTAAATTAATTCACTGTTTTCAATGGATGACTTTCCTAGTGATGCCACATATATTTTAATAGCTGATGACCCTTTTGTGTCAGAACTAGATACCTGGATATCCCAAATCGATGTAATGTTAGCCTGATGATAATAATAGTAATAGTTATATAGTGCTTGCTAGGAGTTAGAATCTGCTTCAACCACTTTAATATAACTCATTTTCATTCTCACAATAATTCATGGAAGGTTGTATTTTTTTTTTCATTGTACAGACGAAGAGGCTGTAATAGAGGTCAAGTATCAGTATGTTAAAACACCACCTTTAGTTTTACAATAACTATATAATTCCTCACTTTACTCCCAAATCTTCACTAAATATGGTGAACTCATCTCCAGGCTAGTCATTTGTTGTGCAAACTCACATTGATTTTTCAGTCTCTCAAAGTCAGAGCTGATAATGACTTTGGCCACCAACTGGTTCGACTGCCCCCCACCTCGTGACTCTCTTCACCAGACTTTTTAGGGAAATCAAAAGCTTCAGGTGAAAGCCTCAGCATACTCTTCACCCTGCTTGAGTTGCCTTTCATCTAAATCTCTCTAATGATAAGCTCCTAATGAGCTGATCTTCACAATTGAAATTCTGGCTTTGTTTTGCCGTATATTGTTGTGTTGGCGCTAAGGGAGGTCACTTAGCACATGAAAATACCCCTTACCCCCTTCCAGGCCACAGACTGTGGCCTATTTCATCCAGTGAGGCTGCTGGCTTTTGACATGGAGTGATGGATGGATGGGAGGGATTCTGAGGTCAAAAGTTCTACTTCCTTGCTGCTCAAAGTGTGGTCCAGGAACCAGGCAGCATGGGTGTGATCAGGAAGCATATGAGACATGCACACACCCAGGCTCACCCCACACTCACTGAATCAGGATCTGCATTTAACAGGATTCTCATTAACATTTGAGAAGCAATGTTCCACTCTACAGTCCAGAGAATGAGATTGCTGAAGTCCATTTTAAGATTTTCCCCTTTTTCACTTGTGTTTCTCTCCTGTATTCTCATCCCCAAGTGTCGAGAACAGATCTTGGCTTTTGGTAATTTCTCTCTTTAATATGCATTACTGTAAGTCTTATAAATAAAAATAAATGTTCCCTTTTGGGTTTCACACCTGTTCTTGCTTCATGAAATGTAATGTCTCCAGGCAGCTTACATTTAAAAAAAATTCTGAAATTCTGTGTGTGTTTCACAGTGTGACACTATTTATTTCTCTGAAGTTTTCAAAAAATATTATTCCTGTTTTCCCATGCTTCATATTGGTTGAAAAGAACAGTTTTCTTTTCATAAGCTGACTACCATACAGCTGCTTTTGATGTGAGATTAGAACATTGCCAAGCCAAATTATTTTGCTTTGAAGTCCTGTAATTGCAGCGTGATTTTGACTAGATGTATTTCTTATCTAAACAAATCGACAGTTAATACTTCATTGGGAGCATTCTACTGTTGTGATATGTTTGGAGTAGCACTTTACTTATCAAATTATTTATTTATTTTTCAAGTAGAAAGGCATATATTACAGCTTCACTATGTTTTTAAGTTCCCAGGATTTAAGTGGGAGCCCTGAGGTTTTGGTTTTAAATTTAATTTTAATTTTAAAAAAGAAAATGGTTATACTTATTGCATGGACCAGGCAAAAGGGCACATAGCAAATTATCATAGTCCTGAGGCTGAAAGAGTTTAGGATTTAGAAACAACCTAGCTGTGGATAACAATTCCAAAGAAAATCCAAGGTGCCTTTTGGAATGTGGCTGTAATTTTTTAATGTGGGCATTTGTTAAGTACCTACTGTGTATATCGTCCTGGTTGCTCTGTCTCTGGAGAACATATACCCTAGATCTTCTGGAACAGTCTTAATTTCATTTTTTCATGGCCAGATCACATGTCTCAATTTTTGGTCCAGCACATATGGTTCACAACAGGGGAAGCAAAGAGAACAGAAGGTGGAGGACCTGCCTCTCAGTGAGGAGTCATGAGGCCTGTGTTTCCTTACTCAGACCAACCCCTTGCTCTATCTGGTAAGTGTAGGAAATGGTTCAGAAAGCACACTGGGTTGGGAAAAGATTATGCACATGACAGGATTTTTAGGGAACCCCACCCCCCAGCACCTCCCACCACCTCCTTCATCTCACCCCACCCCAGAAGAATTTAGTTATCTGCAAAGCTCAATTACAGGCCAAATTAAACCTCCACTGGCCTTTGGACCTGGAGATTTTTCCAAACAAATTGTGAATCAATTTGTCAGTGAATCAGCCATCAGGCAATAAAGTGCACACAATAAAATATTTTCATTGGTTTTATACACAAGACTGACAGCTCAAACTTGCCTGATTTTATAGCTGATTTAGATTAGGTAGAACAAGAAGTTTAAGGTAGTACATTGAAAGAAAATTGCAATCATTTTTTAAAACAATGTACTTTCAACGTTTCTTCACGTTCATACCCTCCAAATAATCCCTATCTCTTTAAAAAAACAAAACAAAACAACTTCCACCCCCAAATCCCTATAATTGGTTACATACAGCAATAACACTTGCTTTGAATTTATTTTTATCCGGTTGGTGTAAAAGTAATTGTGGTTTTTGCAATTACTTTTAATGGCAAAAACCGCAATTACTTTTGCACCAACCGAATACGCTTATTTCTTCTCTGAAGTCTCTAGTGGAGGTGCCAATGAGTTGAACAATAAGGGAGATTCACTTGCTGGTTTCCTAGGCAAGAATCTGAGAGTGAGGAAGTTAATTGGGCCCCAGTCTCTGCTTTTCCATATATTGTGTATTGAAAGGCAGACTACATGTGCCCAGTTGGCTTGAAATGTTCAGAACAAGAAGGTCAGGAACTTCCAGTGTAGAGAGTATCTTCACTTTCCTTTTGAGAGGTTATTGTTCTATTTCTTTGCCAAGTTATTTGTCATGGATCTTTCTAGCCCAGACTTGGAGAAACACGGTAGCATCCTTCTCAGAAGGAAATGGGCTCCTTCAGCATGCCGTGGAGGAAAGGGAGTGCGCTAAGGAGCCAGACATTGGTGTCCACATTGTGGCTTTAATACTTTCTTGCTCTACAACTTTGGGTAAGTCCGTTAAACTCTATGAGCCCCAATTTCCTCATCTGTAAAATGGGCACAATAAAACAGATTTCATGGGCTCACTATATTAAATGAGAGTATGACATATATCAGTGTACCTAGGCAGCTGCAAAGAAAGTACTCAAAGATTATTAATTAATTAATTAATTTTTTTGAGACAGGGTCTCACTCTGTTGCCCAGGCTAGAGTGCACTGGTGTGATCAAGGCTCACTGAGGTGTTTACCTCCTGGGCTCAAGCGATCCTCCCACCTTACCTCCCGAGTAGCTGGGACCATAGGCACATGGCACCAAGCCTGGCTAATTTTTTAATTGTTTGTAGAGGCGAGGTTTTGCCATGTTGCCCAGGCTGGTTATTTTTTCCTTTTATAAACGCATTTAAGCATTTTATATGCTGTGCAGTTGGTACAAACTTCTCATTCCCCACGACCCCCACCCTGTTCTCAGCTCATGCCTCTAACTGTGGTGTATTTCAGGAGGTGCTTCTTGCATGGAAAAGCCTGTAAATCATCCATTGATTCGTTTACTCATTCACTCAGCATATATACGCAGCAGGCATTAGGAATACAAAACAAATTAGACAGTCTACTCCTGAGGGACTCTTCAGGGACCCCTCCCCATGTTTATCTAAATTACCCTCTTTTACAAAGGCCTCTTTTATGGTCTCGTATTTCTGGCCTGCCACCTGGAAGCCAGTGCTTGCTTTCATTTTGAGTCCATTGGCTAA
Source organism: Homo sapiens (assembly GCF_000001405.40). NCBI lineage: Eukaryota > Metazoa > Chordata > Mammalia > Primates > Hominidae > Homo > Homo sapiens. The sequence continues at coordinate 58,772,413 of NC_000014.9, forward strand.
TTGCACTGACCAGAAGACCATTAAAAAAAAACCCCAAAACTCTTAGTTTCTTTTTATTTAAATTAATTTTAATTCACATTATTGCTACTTGTCATCTTTAAAGAGAATTATTGCTTGTGGGGATTAAAATGCATACAATCTAGAAACAGACACAAATATGCTCTCACCTATCTAATATTTAGTGATGCCCTGTAGTATTTATAGTTGGTATCGCATTGACTAATATGACCTGGCACATAGTAGGCACCTAATATTAATTTGGGTGATTTATAGTTCTCAGAGGGCAGATAAGACGGCATTTAACTATTCTGCTGCCCTGTAAGTGAATATTTGAATTAAAGGCAATTTGAATGAACGAACTCAAGAGCAGCATCATTTGTAGCCTCTGGTTGAACTAGATTTTTTTTTTCCAAGTAGGAAGCTCTAGGGTGATTGCTGGGAGAGTGTGGAACAGGGTAAAAGCACAGGCTTTGGAGTTAGACAAATGCAGTTGCACTCTCAGCTGGGCCACTGATGTGAGTGAACAGATCATTAACTGTTAGCTGTTAGTTTGGGCAGGTCACGAGAGCTCTCTGAGCTTCTGTTTCCCCACCTGTAACATGGGCATCATAACAGCATGCAGCTCCTGACTTGTGGTGAGGAGAAAAAGAGACACTGAACGTAAAATGCCCAGTCCGTGGGAACCGTGGGTAAGGGGGTCTGTTCTCGTTAAGTCAGGTGTAGGGACCCAGGAGGTTGGAATTTGGGGTGAATGGCTTTGCCTTTGGAGATTAACATTCCCATTATTATCACATAAATCAAACAGAGAGTCTTTGAGGGTTTATGGCCCTTCCATCATCCTAGGGGGCAGTGCTTCCTCCAGATGTAGTTCTTAACCCACAGGCCACCTGGAGGGGTTCCCTAGGAGTCATCTATTAACAGGCTCAGGGATGAGGCCAGAAGGGAGGAGGCAGCCATTCCCTGGAGGGGCGGGGGTTGCAAGTCTGAGGCTGCTCTCTGTCCCTGCACCCTACCCCCATACTTTATTTAGCTTTAGTTCAGGGAAGAGGGCACTCAGGCTCTCAGATGTGGCTGTTTCATCTTAGCTGGGTCAGAGGTTAATGGAGATAAGTAGTGTCTTCTTACCAGGAGGCCTCAGGAGAGCCCAGTGTGTTGTTGCGGTTGAGTCAGGATCTTAGAGATTTAACAGACTGATATTCTCCTACCTTGGGAAGAGAGAGTGAGGCCCTGGGAGAGAAAACTGCAGCTGGGCTAGGCTGGAAGGAGCGGAAGGCTAGAGGACCGTGTCAGTCATTGAATGGCTCAGAGTGAGGCAGGACAGATGCCCACAGGGCAGATCAGAATTCTGGGATCTGTATATTTTGCTATACTAAGTTGGCAGCTTCTACACAGCCCCACTTTGAAATAAAGGCAGGCAGCCTCTCTCCCGTGCCGTGGTACCAGGGTAGACTTCTTCACACAGGCTGCCACTGTGGTAGCTCATGGCCTGGCTACTACTGTGACCCATGGGCCTCTTCCCCAGAACCACAGCCTGATGTCTGATTCTGAGCTCCCTCTGGCCAGGATCTGTTCTGAAGCGGGCAGCATGTCTGCAAAGTGCATGGGATTTAAGACCTGGAACTTCTCTTCTGGGTTGAAGCAATTGCAACAAGTCAATACAGATTACTAAAGAAGGCAAAGTATGTATAGGTTAGGAACGTGTTGAAACACCCAGCAAACCCCTCCTCTTCTGAAAAGTCTTCCTTGGTCACCTCACATAGAAATAATAATGTTTCTATATTCTTAGAGCACTTGGTATCATTTCCTGTCTGTGGCCTTATTGGCTGTCCTGCATGCCAAATTCCCTCTCATCTCTGGCCTAATGTCCTAAAAAAAACCAAAACTGCCTCTTTGTCTCCTTCCTCCCTCATTTCCTCCTTCCTTCTTTCCCTCCCTCTCTCTTTCTTCCAACAACATATAGTAGGCAACTATATGCCAGGCACTTTCTAGGTGCTGGAAACAACTGTGAACAAAACAGGCACAGTCCTTGCTCCAGTGGAGTTGATATTCTAGTAGGCATATTTACTCACCTATTCCTTTCCCTGGACCACACTCTTTGGGAAGCAGGAGCCACCTCATCTCTTCTTGTGTCTCTTGTAACCCTTGTAGCTTGTGCCTTGCTGGGGGTTTAAAATGCTTGTTGAATGAATACATGCTCCTTAGCAGAAGCATATGTAGAGGCCGCCAATTCAGAAGATCCTGGGACAGGAAAGGAATGAAACAGGCTGAGTGTCTGGGATGCACAGGGGAATGGTAGTGACATTGACAAACCAGAGAATGTGGGCTCTGGATGACAGCCACTGCTGTCATTTCAGTTGGATGTGGCCATCTGGGAATGTGAGCCCTGTTTGCCAAAATGTGCTGATTTTGCAAGAGAAGCCAGAAATGAAAATTTTAATGTGAAATCTCATTTTTAAATGTTGGAATTTAGTGCAAAAACCCAAGAAAATATGTCTGTGGGCCAAATGAAGAGCATGGGCTCCCAGAGAGCATTCATGTTGGTAGGTGGGGATTTACCACTTTGGGTGTTTGTGAAGAGTTGGAATACCATGTCCCAGGCCACCACACTAGAAATCTGTGCTAACTCACAGATTCCTCCTTCTCCCATCCCCTAGTCTGGCTTCCTCTCATTGCAGAGACAGGCTTGTCGATTGCCTGTCCTTTTAGTTCCTCCTGTATGCACCTGTATTAGTCCATTTTCATGCTGCTGATAAAGACATACCCAAGACTGGGCCATTTACAAAAGAAAGAAGTTTAACTGGACTTACAGTTCCACGTGGCTGGGGAAGCCTCACAATCATGGCAGAAGGCAAGGAGGAGCAAATCACGCCCTACATGGATAGCAGCAGGGAATGAGCGAGCTTGTGCAGGAAAACTCCCTCTTACAATACCTTCAGATTGCGTGAGACTCATTCACTATCACAAGAACAGCACAGGAAAGACCTGCCCCCATGATTCAATTACCTTTCACTGGGTTCCTGCCACAACATGTGGGAATTCAAGGTGAGATTTGGGTGGGGACACAGCCAAACCATATCAGCACCACTGAACAGTCAGATGTAGCAGTGAGAAAAGGAAATCCCTAGAAAAGTAAAGCAGGGCAGTGATAAGCACTGGGCCTGGCAGTGTTGCACTGTGGCTACTGCATTTATCTGGAAGAGAGACAGCCCTGGGTTTGAATCTTGATACCACCAGCTAATGGATATATTACTTCTTTCACTTCTCTGGCCTTGGTTTCCTTGTCTGTAAAATGATCGTAATATCTGCTTTGCAGGATGGTGATAAGAATTAAATGGTATATGTAGGTTATGAATTATATATAAAAGATTAGGCCGGGTGCGGTTGCTCATGCCTGTAATCCCAGCACTTTGGGAGGCCAAGGCGGGCAGATCACGAGGTTAGGAGATTGAGACCATCCTGGCTAACACGGTGAAACCCCATCTCTACTAAAAGTACAAAAAATTAGCTGGGCATGGTGGCAGGTGCCTGTAGTCCCAGCTATTTGGGAGGCTGAGGCAGGAGAATGGTGTGAACCCAGGAGGGTGAGCTTGCAATGAGCCGAGACCGCGCCACTGCACTCCAGCCTGGGCAATGGTGCAAGACTCTGTCTCAAAAAAAAAAAAAAGATTAAAGATTAAGACATATGTAGTTTCCTTATTTGGTATTCAAGGAAGCTCCAGAGAACTACTTAGCCCCTGAGGATCATGAACTAGACAGAGCTGACGTTGGATTTGTTTTGGGATTTGAGGGATGGTAATGGGGTAGTTGGGATTAACAAGGAATTGAGGGTCTTGGGTGGGGGGCAAAATTGGGAGATAAATTACAGCTCACAATTTGGGCTACTTTCACACCTAGTGATGCCCTGGAATGTTATCAGCATCTTTATTTTCAATCAGTGATCGGAACATTGCTGAAAAAATGGAGGTATAATACAAAAATGATGTTCTTTCTATCTCTTTCAGTTGTGGCCAGCTTACTTTGTGTTTGAGACAGGCTGCATAGCTCATGCAGGATGACAGTTCATGCTGGGGTTTGGTAGTGGTGTGTTCTGGGAAGTTGGGGGTCTCTTTTGCGTATTTCTGGGGTGTATATTGGAACGTGAGGAGACCATAATTTTGTGTAAGTTGTGGAGCAAAGATTCAATGCGTGGAAGACATACTAGATGGGTAATACTTCACCACATCTAGACTTATCCTGGAGTGTGTGTGTGTGTGTGTGTGTGTGTGTGGTTTTCTAAAGATGCTGGTGAACTGAGATACTTCTGAGAGAGCAGATGTGCTATATGGACTAAGGGAATAGAACCTTGATGTCACAAGTATTTCTCGGAAGCCTGCCACATCATTGCTGTTAGGGTTTAGGGTTTCTGTTTCTCTAAGCTCTGACCTAGAGATAAACCTCTCTGAGCTTGTGATAATGAGGATTTACCCTACTGGCTTCTAACATGGATACAAAATAGGGAAGGTGAAAAGTGGTACGTGTTTCCCAGAGTGAGGGGTAGGTAATTTCTGTCTCAGCACTGAAGACTTGGAGTCAGAGGCAGAAAGTTCTTCTGCGTTCTGTGAGTCTCTAGGAAGATTACTTGACCTGCTGTGCGCCAGTTTCCTCATCAGTAAACTGGAGATGCCCCTACCCATTCTACAGGCTCTGGCAAGCATTGCATTAAATGACAGATGGGAAAGTGCTTTCTAGCTGGTCACCACCTAGAAAGGTGGTCACAGGTGGTCACCTGTGTCTTGAGAAGACAAAGGCGCTTTGTATGTATTATTCAGGTGTGTATTTAAAGCCAAGGCTGATCCCAATAAAGTACAATAACCTAAAAGATTGATACTTTCACAGACTGAAGAAAAATTTTCCACTTTAATCCCAAGCCCCAGACCTACCCTCTCCCTTGAAAAAGCTTAGAAATGTTGTCTCTAGAGCTGGGCACTGAGAAGGACGGAAGATATGCTCAGCTCAGAGGACCTAAATTCTGATTAGCTGCAGAGAAAATGACCAGCTCTGCAGCTTCTGGGGCACATTTGAGGGGCATCTCTCCAGGAGGACATAGCACCAAGCATCATTTGATTTACTGATCTTCCCGCTTCCACCCCTGCCCAGGGTTCCCATGGCTGCCGTGAACTGGGAAGTGGAAAGGCAGCAATTGGGCTGTGAGAGCCTCCTGGGTCTCCTACTGCTGACTTCCTCCTATAAATCAGCCACAGACAGCTGCATCCACTCGCACCATGGGATAGAAAAATAGACCCTGTTGCTAGACAGCAACACAGGCTCCACAAACACCATGGGGTCAGAGGGCAAGGGGTCTTAAGCCAGGCACTAGCCAAGCAGGCCCAGCAGCCCCGCAGATCCATTTGTTTATTTTCACAGTGGCATTGCCTGTCTGTACTACACGAAGGAGGGAGACTCCCTTGCCCCTCTGCTCTGCATGTGTAGGCCACTTGCTGCTCACCACCGGAAAGTCCCGCTGACCTGCTGGCTAGTTTATTTATTTTAGATGCGTGTAGACTGTCTGCTAGGTCTAAGTTTTGAAGCTGATGGGGAAGTCATCAAGTCTAGTACAGAGTATTTAGCAATTGAATTTTATCTGGTCCATTGAATATCTGATTGAACAAGAAAGGGAAACCTTGTACTTTGTACTGACGTATTCACAACCTCCCCTCCTTCAGCACCTCCCTCCAGGGCCTTCCTTTCAAATCAGCATCTGACCCACCAAGAGAAATAGGTTTATGATGGCTGTGAGTTTGAGCTTTCCTTCTTCCTTTGACTTGAATCAATCTCTTTGAAAATAACTTTTCCAACATTTTATCATGACAATTTCAAAACACACGTTGAAGCGGAACGATTTTTACAGTGAACCCTGTAAACTCATCTAGATTCTACCATTAACATAATACTATACTTGCTTTGTCACATATCTGTCCATCAAGTCATCTTATTTTTGACACATTTCAAAGTAATTGTAGACATATGTATGCTTCCCCTAATTACCTCATCAGGTATACCAGTAATTAGAGTTCAATATTTGTTTGTAGTTTTTTCTTTTGATATAAAACTAACATACAAAAATGCAAATATTTTTGACATGTTCCCCAAGTTTACAAATGCATACATCTGTGTAACCCAAACCCCTATCAAGAAATAAAACATTGGCATCACCCAGAAAGTTCCCTCATGTCCCTGCCTAGTGAATATCCATCTCTACTTCCTCAGAAGTAGAGATTATTTTCCTCATAGGTTAAGTTTGCCTGTCCTAGAGTTTCATATAAATAGGATCACACATTGTGCTCTCTTTGGGTAAGGTCTCTTTCCTTCAGCCTGATGCTTTTGAGGTTCATCCCTGAAGTTTTGTGTATCAGTAGTTTGTTCCTTCTGAATAGTATTCCACTGTACAGACATTCCACGGTGCATTCATCCATTCTTCCATTTCTGGACCTGTACTGTTTCCAGTTGTTGGCTCTTATAAAAAAAAAGTTGCTATGAATATTCTTGTTCAAGTCATGTTGCAGACATACGTTTTCATTTCTTTTGTATAAATGTCTGGATTTGGAATTGCTAACTTACAGAGTATTATAAAATTAAGTCTACACAGACTTTTTTTGTTAGACTTTTTGTTGCAAAATGATCTGAACATTTTACATTTCATCAACAAATATATGGGAGTTCTGGTTGTTCCATATCTTTATCAACATTTGGTGTAGTCAGTCTTTTTAGTTTTAGCTATTCTGGGTGGATGTATAGTGGTATCTCCTTAGGGCTTTAATAAAGCTTTAACTTTGATAATTGCTTATATATGTTTTCTTTTGTCTTAAATAATATAACATATAATATTTCTGACTTGGCTTCAGGCTTTAATTTTCATTTTATAGCAGTAGGTTGGAGACTATGGATACTTACGTTAAATGTTCCTGAGGCTGAGTTAAATATATATTTTTTGAAATTATTATGATCACTGTCAATTATTACTAGGCTAGTATGGGAATTTCTGTTATAACACTTTTTCTGGGGGGAGTATATTTTAGGAAGTGAGTGAAGGATGTGTTTTCAGGAATAGAGTTTGATAAAAATAGAATCTTGGGGATGTAGTCTTTGAATGAATGAAGCCAGCAAGCATATCAACTTTTAGGATTGCTGGCATAGCACGTTTTGTGGCAGCACTTGGAATACCATTGACTTAGCTCTTGGAGATTTCTTTCTATTCTGAAATAGTCATAATAGGACTTTAATCCTACTTGCAGGGCTCCTCGGCTTCCCTAGTCCATCCTGATTTCTCTCCTTTCTTGCTGTTATGTGGGCTGCCTCTTAAATAGAACCTTTTCTACCTCTGTATGCACTGCCTCTGCTCAAATCCCAGTCTTTTGGCTTCAAGTCTCATATCTATGTAAATTTATCGCTGCAGCTTTGCCCTTTCTTCTGAAAGGAGAAATACCTCATCACCTCATCAGAGTGATCTTCTAAAAGCACAAGTCTGTTTATGATTGTTTTATAATCCCCCTCACCTATAAGAGAAAGCTCATAGTAGCCAACGATGTTTTTGGATTCCACTCCGAGCCCAGTTCTGTCCTAACCACTTTTTAAATATTGTCTCATTTAATTTCTGCAGCAATATCTATGAGGTAGGTTGTAGCTTTAGACTCGTGTTTAAATGAGGAAACTGAGCCTCAGAGAGGTTTAATTCACCTACGGTCACATAAGTGGTAAACTGTGAAATCAGTATTCAAACCCAGGAAGTCTGACAGCAGTATCCACACTTTTAGGTTGTATATTGTTCCTTAGTAACATACCTCCATCCTGTTTTCCCAACTTCAATCCCGACACTTTCTATCTCCCCCTTACCTCACTCTGGGCTTTAGTCACAGATTTACTGTAACTTGAAACAAGCCAGGCTCTTTCCTACCTTCTTGGCTTGACAAATGCTGCTGCATCTGTCGGAACACTTGGCCTACTCTCCACCTTTCCCATCATTTGGACTCATCCCTCCAGAAAGAGTCCAAGCCTCACTGCTCCTGGGGAGGCATCTAAGTCAAATGCTGTTCCTTGCTTCTTCGGTTTTTCTACAGCATGTGTTGTTCTGGTGTTTTGGCCTGCAAGTTACGTGAGGCGGGACCTTGTTTTATTCATTTTGTACTCTAGAAGTTAGCCAGCACCTAGAAAATCATAGTTACTCCATCTGTTAGGTAGGGTTCCCTGGGAACCAGACATTGAGAAGTGTTTGGGAACAGTACCCGGGAGGAAGTGAGGTTAGAACTACATGGAGGGACAAGTGGAGCTGAAGTACAGTCACCCCAGGAGCCTCTGCGGATCCATGAGGAGCTCTGGAGGTGGGAGGGACTGTCCTTTGGACTTGTTCCTCATTGAGGCGAGGTGTCAGGCCTTTATGGTCCAGCACCTACCAGTCATTAGATGTGGGATGCTCCAGGGGAGGGCCATAATCTTACGTGGCACTAGAGCAATTCTGGGAGAAGAATTCAGCTTTGAGCCTGCAGCACGCAAAGCCCTTTGGACAGCTCAGGAGTGAGTGCCTCGGTTCTGAAGGGAAACTGGGTAGCACACCACTCACTGCATGTACTACCCTCAGCAGATATGGATTGAAGGAATGAATCCAGGAAGGGAGCCTGTCTGAAGCAATTGCATTAAATATAGTGTTTAGTGTTTGCTGCATATATATGGTGGTCTTTAAAAATATAGAGGAAAGGCCCAGCGTGGTGGCTCACGCCTGTAATCCCAGCACTTTGGCAGGCCAAGGTGGGCGGATCACGAGGTCAGGAGATTGAGACCATCCTGGCTAACACAGTGAAACCCCATCTCTACTAAAAATAAAAAAAAAATTAGCCGGGCGTGGTGGCAGACACCTGTAGTCCCAGCCACTTGGGAGGCTGAGGCAGGAGAATGGTGCGAACCCGGGAGGCGGAGCTTGCAGTGAGCCGAGATCGCGCCACTGCACTCCAGTCTGGGCGGCGACAGAGTGAGACTCCATCTCAAAAAAACAAATATATATATATGAAAAATTTTTAGAGAACTCAGAAATGGATTATTAGTAGAGCATTAACTGACCACATCTGTGTTCAGAAAATAGCTTACCAGAATAGAAAAGTTCCTCATATAACTGAACGTTGCATATAAATACATTTGACATTCTTGGAGGAGGGAGGTGTATGTCTCTAAACTAAAAAAGGCTTTCGTTTTGATTTGTAGTCTGATAAGCATGCTATGTGAAAATGAGTGTATGCTAAGCATGTTTAATAGTCATTGCTAGATCCTGAGACCATGAATGTAATGTTAGTGCATCCCTTTTCTTTTCTAACTGAGGTCACTTAGGATTAAATGGGCCTGTTCCGGCTTTGTCTGCAGACTTCCTTTGCCAAGTAGATCCAGTGCCATAAGGCCCCAGTGTGCTAGTTAGGTTCAGCTTTACGCCATAGAGTTTGTAAGGCAGCCGTGTCCCCCTCCCTATTTCTGTTGTTTTGTTGATTTAATCCTAGGATGTGGTTTGGTTGGTTTATAGCTTTTTAAAGGTATATTGAATTTGCCTCCTGGTTCATCTCTCCCAGAACGAGGCAGAAGTAGCCTTTTGGGTTAAGACTCTGGCCCCGGAAGCCAAGGAACCTTTGACCCCTAGTCAACCTGTGGAATCTGAGCTACCTCTAGAGAGACTCACAATGACTGAGCCGGTTAATGGACTTTGTGGAGTACCTCAAATTGTGGTCATTTAGGGCATTATTATGAAATTGTTTATCGGTCTGTATAAACACACACACCACTTATCACTATAATGTAACAATTGCTTTCCAGGCTGCCAGCTGGAGGTAATATCGGTTCTCCAAAATAGTCACAAAATAGTCTTTTTCATGCGGCTGTCTTCACAAAGAACTGCAGAAACCTCAGCCTTCTTTAAATGATTCCTTTGGGTTCAAGGCAGGGGAAGTTTGGGAGAGCGGTGATGGTATCTTGCAAACTGATGTCTTTCTTCACATTTTACATAGTGACCTGACCATTGAAGATGCCATTGATAGAACATCCACCCACGATAGCACAATGGGTGTTCTTATTTGTCTTTTTCATCTTGGGGGAGGGGAGTTCTTAATATTTCATACCAATGGCCTCATTCTTTTTTTGTTTAGTCAACAAACGCTTAAGTTGAGTGCTTACGATGTGCTGAGTACTGTTTTATGTACCATGGGTATAGCTATTAAAAAAACAGATCAAGTCCCTGCTCATGGTGTTTGTAAGCTAGTGAGAGGAAAGAGATGTTCTATGAACAAATCAGTACAAATTCGATGCTGATATGTGCTACAACAGAGAGTAAAGCAAGAAAAGGGATACAGTGCAATGGTGGGGGTGGGCGCTCTTTGATATAGATAAAGTGATATTTAGGTAGCGGTCTCAAGGAGGTGAGGGAATGAGCCAGGAGGATATTTGAAGAAAGAACATTGCAGGCCAGGGAAGGACTTTGGATTTTACTCTGAGACAGGAAGCACCAAAAGGCTCTGAGCAGATAAATGACATGATCTGACTTTTTTTATTTTTTTGAGACAGAGTCTTGCTCTGTCACCCAGGCTGGAGTGCAGTGGTGCGATCTCAGCTCACTGTAGCTTCTGCCTCCCAGATTCAAGCGAGTCTCCTGCCTTAACCTCCCGAGTAACTGGAATTACAGGTGCATGCCACCGTGCCTGGCTAATTTTTGTATTTTAGTAGAGACAGGGTTTCACCATGTTGGCCAGACTGGTCTTGGACCCCTGACCTCAAGTGATCTGCCCCCCTTGGCCTCCTAAAGTGCTGGGATTAGGAGCCACTGCACTCTGAATTATAATTGAACCACGTCACTCTGCTGTGTGCATAGACTGTAGGGAGTGGGGCAAGTATAGAAGGGAGACCAGTTAGGAGGCCAGTGCAGTTGTCAAGGGGAGGGAGGATGATAGCTTGTAATAGGATGCTAATGGGGGATGTGCTAAGAAGTGGTCAAATTCTGAACCTATTTAGAAGAAAGTTAATGGAATTTGGTGATGGGTTAAATGCGAATGTGAGAGAAAGTGAGGACGACTCCAAGGATTTTGGCTTTAGCAACTGGTTAAATGGAAAAGCCATTTAGTGACACGGGGACAAATGAAGGAGGATCAGATTTGAGTGGAAAAATAAGAGTTCTATTTTGACATATAAGGTGTTGAGTAAGTGGTTGAAAATATGAACTTGGCATTAAGATGTTGGGATTGCAGATATAAATTTGGGAGTGTTCAGCATACGGATAATGTTTCAAGCCAGATTACTAAATGCAATCACCTAGAGAGTGAGTGTAGATAGAGAAGATATGAGTTCTAAGGATGAGGTCTGAAGCTCTCCAATATTGAGAGGCCAGAAGAGACTGAAAGAGTGTCCACTGTGGTCTTCTTGGAAATAAGAAAGTGTTTTAAGAAAAAAAAGGATCAATTAGGTCAAATGTTTCTGATAAGTTTGGTTAGACGAAGCTTTAGAAATGAGCATTGGTTTTGGCAATAGAAATTCATTGGAGACCTCGTCATAAGCAATCTCGGTGGTGTGTGGGATTGAAAGCCAAATTGGAGTGAGTTCAAGAAATAATTGAAGGGAGTAGAAATAACAAACACGTGCAAGTCTTTGTGGTAGTTTTGCTGTAAAAAGGAACCGAGAGATGTAGCTAGAAGGGAATGTGGGGTCAATGGAAGCTTTTAAAGGAAAAGATGTGGTATACAACGGAGTGTTTGTATGGTAGTAGAAATGATCAGGTAGAGCAGAAATAACGGATGAAGTAGGAGGAAGATGATATAACTGTAGAAGCTATGTCATTTGAGTAGAGGAGAGGGAGCAGGATTCTGTGCCTAAGTGGAAGGTTTGGCATTTGCCAGGACGTGGGTAGCTTATTGCAGCAAGAGAGAAGGCAGTCCGTGGGCACAGACACAGATAAGGAGGTTCACCAAGTGGCGGAAGTGGGTGCAAGTCCTCTTTTGATTGCTTCTATTATCTTGATGAACTGAGAAACAAAGTCAGAGGCTAAGAATGAGGATGGGGAGTGTTGGAGATGTGAAAAGAAGTGAAAAGGAATGAAATAGTTGTTTAGAAAAGTGGCAGAATAAATCAACAATGGAAATGGAGCATGATGCATAGCCAACATCTTACTTGAGAACTTGTGAAGAGACCTGTCCCTGAGGTTGTGCCTGTTTCCCCAGCCATGTGCAGTTACTTGGGTCGACATGTAGAGTAGGGGAGACGTTGCGGTTTTGTTAGGCGACGGCAGAGTGAGTGAGTGACTGCCTGTGGACTTTAAATGGAAAATAAATGGGAAGATATATCACACTACTGGAAGTTGTTTGTCTACATTATGCCAGAGAGCACACCCCCTTGAAATCTCTGAAATTTGTCCAAAGTGAATGGGACAGAAATATAATTCTCATGTCATCCAAAAACAATCCCCTGTGCCACTGGATATCATACTCCTGCCATGGGCATGTGCCCCAACCTTCGATCCCATCTGTACACAGATGGTATGAGCCCAGAGAGGGTGTGATTGTGGGATAGTCCTTATTCCCCAGTGGCTGAAGGGATGTCTTACCACCATCCTCATGCTTCCCCTAGCATCCAGTCATTGTCTTTTCCCAGCGCAGTGAAGACTTTGGTTCCTCAAGTAGCAGGAGCTCTTTGGTGGTGCCTGCAACATTCCTTCCTCCCTATACACAGAGTCTGAATGCCAAGACTTCTGTCATCACATTGTCCCATTAATTTGTTTCCTCAGTGTGTGTAGATCCTATCATTTCCAGGAAATTTGAAGAATAAATAAAGTGAATATTTATTTATATTGTTGCAGTAGAGGTCCACTCTTGCATTTGTTTAGTAACAGACTTAGGAATGACCAAAAAACTCTTCTTTTCATTTGAAAGCCTTTTGAAAATGTTTGTCCCAAATGAGATTTTATGTTTAAAGCAGCATGATATCCCTGTTCTATGAACTGAGCGTCAGGGATCCATCACTTGAAAATGATTCTTCTGTCATTCTGAGGTTTAACACATATTTTTCTCCCAAATTAACTGGAGTTTTCCATTAAACAATGATGATCTTACAAAAATTTTCTTTCTCATTTACAATGTCTTGACACACAGCATCCAATAGGCAGTAATGTAAAATTGAAATCACAGAAGCAAGCCTTCCGTTATTGTCTGGGGGTTAAAAATCCAAAATAATGAAAAGCGCCATCCATATTTTTCCAATTGTCCTTCAATGTTTTTCTTACTGTGTGCCCCAGGCAGCTAAACTTTTGTACACATGATTTCTTGTATGGCTTGGAATTATACATTTTCTTACCATGTCAGATGTTTCTTGTGTTTTTGCTATGCAAACGTTCTTTTCTGAAACCCATCCCTCTTCCAAGAGTTAGAAATGGGGCCAAGCTGGCTGCAGAGTGGAGACCAGCACTGCTATATCAATCGCTGCAGCTTGACTCACATAAGCCAGACCCTGCCTTCCATCCCCCACGGCTAATCCTCCACAGAGAGCTCTCTTTAGAATTACTATGACTTCTGTGACTTGACTTGGTTGAGGGCTGAGATAGAGGCCACTGCCAGAGCCTCTGCTGACATCAGAGGAGCAATGGGAAAAGGAAGAGAGGGAGTGAAGGATGATCTTGAAATGGCCATGTCCCAGGCAGTGGGAAAAGAAGACAACCCAGAAGTGTTGCCTTTAGCTCCAGGAGCCTGGACCTCTCTGCCTTGTAGGGCATGGCAGCTCAGCTCTTGGCCAAGTTTCGGAACTAGGATAACAAGATTTACAGAGGCCAGAGGAAAAGGGCTGCCCCAGAGCAAAGATGCTCTTGAATTCTTTCTTCCCACACTTATTATTCACTGCAAATTCACCTCCTGAGCAGTCGATGTTGAAAGGGAATTATGAGAAGACAATAGTCCATTTAACAAAGCAGATGTTTCCAGCTCCTGTTTTCACCTCCTTCACATCCTGTCATCACTCCTGTAAGTGCAGAGTTTTCACAGATTGGAAAGGAATTGTCTGGGAGAAAGGCCTATCCCTGTATGTATCGAGCACTAGTAGGGGGAGGCTTAACATGCGAGCGTGGGTAAGGATGAGGAGTGCCGACAGGAAGGGCATGCAGGGGACAGTGCAGCACCTGTACAAATCTCATCAATGGTTTTCCATTGTACTTAATGCACAGCCTAAACTTTCTACCATAGCTGCATTCCTAGGCTTGCCCAGCTCTTTCCTGCTTGAGGTCCTTACAAATGCTCTTTCTAGCAAGAGCCCTCCCATGATTTCCATAGCACCTGCAGTACTAGCTAACATCCATCACGTGCTTACTAAGCACTAACCACTATGCTAAATACTATATACCACTGCAGTGATTCCATTTAATTCTCACAGCTGCAAAGTAGAACTTATTACCCCCAGTTTACAGATGAAGAAACAAAGGCACAGAAAGGTTAAGGAAATTGTCAAAGTTTCACAGCTAATGAGTGGCTGAATCAGGGTTTGATTCTAGGTCTGTCTGACTTCAGACCTAGACCTTCTGTTTTATTTTACCTTTTTAAAAAACCCATTTAATCCTGTTTTATTCCACTAGATCTAAGTTCCATGACAGCAGGTGCTATGTCTCTTTTATGTAATACCTTCCCCCTGGTAACTAGTAGAATACTGACATATAGTGCATATTTATTAAAATAATGAATAAAAAATGAATTAAAGAGCAGTTAAAGTTCCCAGATGCTTCACTGTGGACATGCTGATGTTTCGTTATAGTTCTTATTCTCAGGGAGCATTATCCTCAGCCCCTGACATTCTTCCACTTTCAAGTTTTTGAGTAGTAATTTGGAAGATAGATTTGGGGAAAGATCCTGAGATCTGTACCTACTTATCCAACTATCAACTCGACATGACCACTTTCATGCCTAATAGGTTTCGCAGTTTTAATGTCTTACCTCTTCCTTTCTCATTCTTCACATTAGTCAATGGCCGTGCCTCCCACCCATTTGCCAAGTTGCAGAACCCTGAGAGCCAATACTCAGTGCCTTCCTTTCCTTTATTCCTCACTTGCAATCCAATTGCATGTCCTGATGTTCATCCTTCGACTGTGCGTATCTCCCACCACTATCCTAGTCCAAGACAACATCTTTTCTTATCTGGACCATTACAATAGCCTCCTTATCTAGAGGATCCCTGGTTTGGAGCATGGTTTCTGGATCTTTATGGATTCTCAGTGAATCCACAAAGATCCTCATGAATTCCTATGAGAGTAAAAACAGATGTTTTGTCAGGAAAGCATCACCAGTCAGGGCCATGCACGGCACAGGAGATAGGGTTGGTTCATTTGAGCATAATATTGGGCAATGTAGGCTGGATAAAGTGGTTGGCAGGATTTGGTGATTAGAGCATCCCTCTACTTGGCAAAGGGAGGTCATGGCTGAGCTCCAGGCTCTGAGATAGTTGTGGGTGTGGCATCTCTTCCCTTCCCACTGTCTCTGTGCATCTCCTCTCTGCTGGGGTCTCTTTGGAGATCTGGAGGCCCCTGAGCTGGCTGCAGAGTCTTTCCTACTTCTCTCCTCTCTTTCTTCCTGTTCTTATCTCAGCCCACTTGCATCTTTCCCAAGGCACACGGGTAGACAAAGCCTCAAGAAGGGCTCCTAACAGAGTTGGGAGGCACCTGGGAATATCCTCATTAGCTTTTCTCAAATACCCAGATACTATGAAGCTATACTGATTGCTCTAAAATCTCCTAGACCACCTTGAGAATTCAGAGGCTTGGGTAGATACGTAGGTCGGTGGGGAAGTCTGAACTGATCTGCTTATCCTCCTTCTTTCCTGGCATGGCTCATGCTTGAGACTGGAGACTTTAGTCTCATGAAGAGTAAAGAGCTTTCTGGAAGGGAGCTCAGTGGTTTATCTATTCCTCAACAAACAATTCTGCCCCTTATGCAAATACCGCACCCCCCTTCCACCCCCCACCCTCCACAACACTGACACTTCTGGAACCTTGGTAAAGTCTGAATCGGAGAGGAGTAAAAATCTGTATTTTCAATACAATATAGACAGTAAAGACCAAAGAGCAAGAGATGGAGGCCAAGGGAAGAAGAGTTCATAAGCAGAAAATAAGATTCAGAGGAAATGAGGATGCTTGTGGGAGAACGAGTGTAAGGCAAACCTTGCATGTTTAGTGATTTTTAAAAATGGTTGTATAGGAAGAGAGGATTATTTCTTTCACATTGATTGGAGTGTAAGTTTCTTGAAGATGAGGGTCATGTTTTGGTCATTTTGTGTCCTTCCCACCACCCCAGGGCCTTGTATAAGCTTATCAAACAGTAGCTGCATTTATACAGAGCCTGAAAATAATTGACACAGGCTCCATGTGAAACATTCTAGGCACATCTCCATCCTAGCTCACCATCTGGGCTTCTGGGAGGATGGGAAATCATTTGTGTCAGAGTGGCTCCAAGATTGTTCAGAACTGGCATACAGAGGATTATCAGAGAGAGAAATTTTGCAGTCTCTTGGGGCTGTCTTTGAAGAAGGTGTTTATAACACATTTTGCTGACTGCTTCCATAAATCCCAAGAGCACTGATAATTTTTCATCAGAAAACAAGAAGTGAAAATGAAGCAATTTGGCTGTGAGAACATCCTTGAATTTCTACTGGTCGCTTCTAATTGTAACTTGGCTATAACTACATTTTTATCCTTTGCGTTAGAGTATGAAGAAAAACACATCCTTAAGCTTTAGAACAGAGCAATGTCTAAAAACATCCTGAAGTTCAGAGGGCAAGGAGAATTCTCTGAAACAATCTTGGCCAGGACTCTCGAGAACACAGGGAGGAAACTTTTCATTCCCTAAGAACCATGGCCTTTGTAGTGCAAATACTGGTTTTGTGGAGGCATTTGGCCTGTCATTCATTAGAAACTAGTGGTCTTTAAGTGTGGGGCCCCAGTGTTCAGATTCAAGGGCTTGAAGTTTGGGATGAGGCCGGCTTTCAAACATTGTATTTTTTTTCTATTCTCTAATAACTTAAAACAAAAACAAAAACTTTGAAATCATGAGACCAATAAGAGCAAGGAATTGAAATAATAACAGCTAACATTTATCGAGTGCTTTCTAGGTGCTAAGAGCTATTTTATGTGCATTAAATCATTTAATCTTAACAACAACCCTATGCTAAGAGACGAGAAAATCTAGACCAGAAAAGTGAAATAAGCCACCCAAGGTCACACAGCATAGCCACATTAGTCTGATGCCAGAGGTGAGCTCCTACCCAAGTGATACCACTTAGAGTTTGTGCTTAACTAAGTAAAAAGGTGAAATAACTAGGACCAGAGGCTCCATATAGTGTGCTGAGCTCTGATACCTAGCCTCTGACAAAGAACCCAGTAAGAAAAAGTAAAAAAGACTGAAACAGAAAAGTCCATCCTGTGTTTTCTGCAAGTCCACGGCCAGGCTGATGGAGCCAGTTTTGAGGCAGCTTAAGATTTTCCCTTTCCATGGCCAGATCTGTTTTAAATTGAATCTTCCAGCTGGTCCCGATTTGCAGATTGGTGCTCAGCTTTCTAAACAAGCCTTTCATTGGCATCTCAGAATTCCATTCCAGCTAATACATGTTTGGTTGTACCACAATTCGGATGGTTGGGGTATATGTTCCCCCAACTCTTTTTTTTTTCTTAAAAGTAGAGCGTAACAGTTCATTCTTATTGTTGCATTTTGTAATATTTTCACATGCAATTTTCTCCTTCAGATCATTGCTCCCTACAAAAGAGGTAATGGGTAGATTATTGTATTATATTTATAATTGAAAACAGCTGACTTCATGGATTTTTTTTTACTTTTTTTTTTTACCTAGTTTTCCAGCTGTGTCTGACTTTGGCTTGTCATGTGAGGCGGGGGGAGATGGTTTAGTGGAGAAGGGGGTGGTGTCAAATCATTGCTTGTGTAGCCAACATCAATAGTAAACTAGCTCCAGAGAGGAAAGGGCAGGATTCTTTTAGCAAATAACTCTATGAGCCAAGGAGGGTTTCTGGAGAGCAGCTTATAAATATAAAAAGGGGAGAGAGAAAAGGTGTAAGTGAGTGAATGTGTGGGTTAAGATACCAAAGCCACCATTTTGTTGAGTGCTTATTATATGCCAGACACCGTGCTAAGTACCTTATATGAGTTATTTCGTTTAATCCTCACAACGACCCCATTTTTCAGACAAGACAACTGAAACCAAGGAGCCACGATGTAAGCATGAGACTTTCTGAGGTCAGAGCCCAGGCTGTAACCTCTCATTCCACTCTTCCTCCCACTGGGCTTTCTTGCAGGTGTGATATGCTAGTTGGAGAGCCATTCAAAGGCCCCTTTAGAGGACACCTCAGCCTTGTTCCACCTCTGTGGTTTCCTGGAATTCCCAGTGGGAAGGCAAATGCCGTTTGTAATGAAGACCCCTCCTGTAGTCTGTTCAGAGCTCTTATTGTCGACTCTGTATTCTTCCTGTCCCCATCACATTTTTTTTTTCAATTTTGACTTTAGGTTCAGGAGGTACATGTTTACATTGGTTTACATGGGTTAATTATGTGTCGCTGGGGTTTGGGGTGTGAATGATCCCTCTCCCAGGTAGTGAGCAAAGCACCTGCCAGGTGGTTTTTCAACCCTCATCCTCCTCCCACCCTCCACCCTCAGTTAGGCCCCAGTGTCTTTTGTTTCCATCTTTATGTCCATGAGTATCCAATGTTTAGCTCCCACTTTTAAGTGAAAACGTGGTATTTGGTTTCCTGTTCATGCATTAATTTGCTTGGGATAATGGCCTCCAGCTGTATCCATGGTGCTGCAAAGAACATGATTTTGTTCTTTTTTTATGGCTAAGTAGTATTCCATGGTGTATATGTACCATGTTTTCTTTACCTGGTCCACCACTGATGCGTTATCTCTATTAGGCTTTCCTTGAACTTCTTGGGGAATTGAAAAGAGCAGGGATGGACTGGGCGCGGTGGCTCACGCCTGTAATTCCAGCACTTTGGGAGGCCAAGGCGGGCGGATCACGCGGTCAGGAGATTGAGACCGTCCTGGCTAACATGGTGAAACCCCGTCTCTACTAAAAATGCAAATAATTAGCCGGGCGTGGTTGCAGGCTCCTGTAGTCCCAGCTACTCGGGAGGCTGAGGCAGGAGAATGGCGTGAGCCCGGGAGGTGGAGCTTGCAGTGAGCCGAGATTGCGCCACTGCACTCCAGCCTGGACGACAGAGCGAGACTCTGTCTCAAAAAAAAAAAAAAAAAAAAAAAAAAAGAGCAGGGGTTCCCTTTTATAGAGTTATTCTACCTGAGAAATATTTGCAGTAATTTAATATGTGGGACATTAATGGCCTCATCTGTGCATTGTTCTTTTTGCTGGAAATTCTTAGTGCAGTGAGTCCCTGGAGGCCACCTCTTGGTCCAGCTGCTTGCCCATAAAGTAAATTTCCTGTGAATTATTCAGGATTGAAGCCATACAGATCTCTAACTTCATTACCCATCTTTTCTCAGATACATTCTCTACATATCAGTGAGTAGATGAAGAAAGATGTCCCAGAATTTTATGTTGACTTACAAGAAAAAAGGCGCATTTTTTTCTTCTTGGTCCTATGTCAGTGATTCCCAGGGCAGGCTGGCTGGCCAAATGCATGGCCCCTGTGACCTGCTGTTTCCATCTGTGCCTCCACTGTCTTGGTTGTTGAGTTTGCCCTTGACAAAGAATGTTAAGGCATCTTATGTAAATTAGATGGGGAACTTAAAACTCGAGACAAAGTATGTGCAATTCTCAAGTTTTTCTCTACTTTTGCTTTGTGCTGTGGCAGTGACATTGAAAATTGATGAGATTATTCTTGCCCCAAATCTACCTATAATTTTGTATAATTATTCCAAATTCTGTGCCACAGAACTGAATTTTTGGGGTAAATGTGTAGGGCTTAATGACTCGCAGTCTGGATTTCCTATAGAAGAAAACCCTGTATGATTTTGATACTCTTTTTGCTCTTTCATCATAGATTTGGTCACAGGCTTGCCATATTTTATTTAGTGAGATACTTTCAGTCCCTTCAAAAAATGTTTATGTCTGCTTTTTTCTTTCTAGAAAGAGAAATAAAACATCTTAATTTTTTTCTTAGTGCACAAACTATTATCTAAAATAAATAAACACTGAGTATGATGACGTTCATCCGTGGGTTTTTCTACTGGTGTGATTTTTCTTCTCTGTCTTCAGCTTCAGGCTCCTCTCCCTAAGGAAAACTATTCACTTTCTCCTGGGTAGTAAGTATGTTTTGTATTTGGGTGGCTCAGTGTTGTTTAGGCTACAGGCTTGAGGTATAAAGGGCAAGACTTTTCCCCTTAGGCAGGGATAACTTTAGTATATAAAATGTTCTCACCAACGTGAAGGGAAGAATTTTATTCATCTGAAATTTTTCATGAAATTTATTTATGAAAAGCCATCAGAGGAATTCCCAGAAGGCTACATGCCTCCTTCTCATAGGACTGAGAAAGGATGGGGTAACATGGGGTTACAGAGTGAGTTCTCCAACCAGGTGGCCAGAGCTTGGGTAAGTCCTGATGGTCGCACCTGGCTGGGAAGCCAGGAAAGGTGCTCACAGACAAGTGGAGAAATGAATAGAATTGTGGTGAGGCACCCTCCAAAATGAGAGACAGTAGGAGAAATTTTAGCAATTTTACCGTGTGCAGAATTTCAGAACTAAGTACTGGAGCCTAAAGATAATTTCTGGGAAGTTTTCTGTTTGATATCCTGTATAAAACCCCTAGATGGCCTAGTTAAAAACCTACAGAAAAGATCTACAATATGGTCCAAAGTTTACGAAGCCAGATTTATGTTTCTTTTGACTGTGACTCACAGCTAAGACTGAGCCACATGGAGCCTTAGGGATTATTTAGGTTAGATTACATATTAACAAAATATCAGCATATCCTTTAGTAAGATATCCACGCAGTAATGTCAACTAATCACAGTAGCATAGCATTTAAAGGGAGTTTTGAGCAGGATTGAAAGAAATATGAATAACTAGGTGTAAGTAGGAATTTTCATAAAGGGACGATTTACAGAGCTGTGGCAGGGTTAAAAGGACCAACAAGGAATGTTGAAGCACTCAGGGACCAGCAACATTGAGAAACTGTTTCCTAGAACTGAAGAGTGGAGGGGAAGGAAGAGTGTTGTTACTAAGGCCCATTAAAAATTGGGGCTATAGAAGGGGAGCTGACTGCAACTGCATCAGGAGCTACAGTCAGGGAGGGATGGTGCCACTGCCAGATTGTGAACCATGAAGCTGAGTAGGGAGCGAGCAGCAGAGAAATACCCTCATCTCTCCTGCTGTTGCCTTCCATTGGCTGAACCGTCCGGGGCATCTGAGCCTGAAGAAATTAGAGAATACTGCCGGGCGCTCACGCCTGTAATCCCAGCACTTTGGGAGGCCAAGGAGGGTGGATCACCTGCAGTCAGGAGTTCGAGACCAGCCTGACCAACATGGTGAAACCCTGTCTCTACTAAAAATACAAAATTAGCCAGCCATGGTGGCGCATACCTGTAATCCCAGCTACTTGAGAGGCTGAGGCAAAAGAATTGCTTAAACCTGGGAGGCGGAGATTGCAGCGAGCTGAGATCTCACCACTGCACTCCAGCCTGGGCAACAAGGGTGAAACTCCATCTCAAAAAACAAAACAAACAAACAAACAAACAAAAAAAAAAACCAAACAAAAAACCCAAGCACAAAAAAACTTAGAGAATGCTATCTGTAAGCATCAGTTCCCTGAGGACCTAGGCTGCCATGGAGGAACAGAGGATGGATGTGGGGTGGTGCACAAATGGAGAAGAACGCACACCCTGAGTCTCACTCTAGTGAATTCTGACCTTTCTTTAAGAAAAACTACCCAATTTTGGAATCTTTCTTGACATGTCCAGGCTGTCTAGAGCTCTAGGACCTTTATAACTCTTAGCCACAGCAGGCTTTACATTCCCTAGAGTTTTTCTTCTGCCAAAACAGAAGAACAGAACTATGGCATATAGTTTTCAATCCATCTTCTGCCTTAGCACAGGTGAATGACAGAAAACAGTGACATTGCATATCCCTAATGCCAGTGCACAATGGGGCACAATTCTCACTGGGCATAGGGAACACATTGCCTTTAGGGAGGTATAAGAGAACCTCAGGGTGGTGGTAGTGTACATTTGAAAAAGCCCCGCCTTTCCAACTTGGACGCGGCAGAATGGTTCCCGCAAAGAAGGGTGGCGAGAAGAAAACGGGCCGTTGCCATCAACGAAGTGGTAACCCGAGAATATACCATCAACATTCACAAGCGCATCCATGGAGTGGGCTTCAAGAAACGTGCACCTTGGGCACTCAAAGAGATTCGGAAATTTGCCATGAAGGAGATGGGAACTCCAGATGTGCGCATTGACACCAGGCTCAACAAAGCTGTCTGGGCCAAAGGAATAAGGAATGTCCTATACCGAATCCATGTGAGGCTGTCCAGAAAACGTAATGAGGATGAAGATTCACCAAATAAGCTATATACTTTGGTTACCTATGTAACTGTTACCACTTTCAAAAATCTACAGACAGTCAATGTGGATGAGAACTAATCCCTGATCGTCAGATACATCAAATAAAGTTATAAAATTGCCAAAAAAAAAAAAGTAAAAGCTCCTACAAATGATTCTCATAAACTTCTGTGCTTCTCTGAGAATGACTGTGCTAAAAGCTTTAACCAGGATCTCTTGATGACAGGATCTTTCTCTTTCTGAAACGAAGGGTAGAGTTTCTCTTTCTGAAAGGGAGGGTAGAGTTTTCATCAAAACATTCAAGCTTCTACACGTGGCAGTAGTGAAAATGCTTGGGAATTCAAATTTGTATCTCATTTTAACTGTGTAATCTGTTAATGTCTCTGAGCCTCAGTATCTTAATCTATAAAGAAGGCATAATTATACCTACCTCCAAGGGTTGCTAAGAATAAGTCAGCTAAAAGTGCTTTGTAGGTGGAAAAATTCTAGATAATTGTTATTTATATTATTGTTATCTTGATGTCTTTTCACATATGGGAAAAGCTGGCTTTTTATTCCCTGCAGTCAGCTTAAAACTGAAAGACATAAAATCATTTATAGAATAACTCTAGTCTGAATCCTTTGCATCGATCCATTACCAATCAGAAGGTGGCGTATTTTGAAGTCCTGAGCTTATGTAGATATGGGTTTTGAGTTAATGTATAACTCCTTTTAAAATTACAGACATTTCTAGCTTCCTTTGAGTTTTACAAACTAACAGTTCAGGCACAGACACTTTTCTCATTTTTTATTTCAAACTTCAAAATATATTTATGATAATAAACTAAAAGTAAAATTGTCAGGTTGCCAAGTAATGAGATTATAGGTGAATCCACACTCCCAGTTTGCCTTAATATTGTTAAATTACTTCTATAACTAACAAGGGAAACATTCATTTAAACCAAACATAGTAAGTTTTTGTAATTTATTTCCCTTTGTAAAAGCTGCATAGATATATATTTATTGTAACAAACTTAAAAAATTAAGAAACATTGTACCTGTGGACTTATTCTTCAAAAACAACAATATTTTGAAGCTACTTTCATTCCTTCTTTCCCCTTCTGATGGATATATTTTAATAGCTGTGAACATTTTCATGTTCCATTTTCCTTCTACCTTACAACATAAATATTTCACATTGTTACTACAAGATTTCCTTGATAATTTTAATGGCTATGTAACAGTTCATCAGATGGGTATATCTTAACATTAGACATTTAGGTGATTTGCTTCCACTAGATATTAATATATAGTAAATTAAATAATAACAAGAACAAGGAAGTTAAAAAAAGGAAATTCTCCTCGTTTTTTTACAACTTCCTCATGGCTTACCTGGATCTCCTCCATGTCTCATTAAAATTTAACTAATTATTTCATAACAGCACGTAGAAATTCTGGCAGTGTGATAGACATATTCATTTTACTCCTGACCACACAGACAAAGCTGTGTACCACGATGACAGAGGCCAGCAAGCCAGAGGCATGTGTTATTTTTGGAACTTCTCTAGAGAAAATGTGAACTCAAAAGTCTGGGCTTAACAACTGTTCCTGTTACACACATACACAAACACACTCACAGATGTTAAATATTGGGATTCTAGATGGCTTGTTTTCATTATGCAAAGACATTTCTCTCTTTCCCATGATGTCTAAAATAATACTATGAATTCCAAGAATCATGGAAAGTTAGGAAGTTTGGAGATTATTTATATGGGATTTTTAATATATGACATGTCTGCTATGCTAAACACATGGCAGACATTATTGACCAATTGTTCTTTCCTGAGACAACTTCAGACTCCTTCCCAGCATAACACTACCACACTCATGACCAATCCTTCACAAATGGTTCAAGAGAGCAAACCTGTTCACCATCGAGAGCTCTTCAGACCTCTTACTTCATGGATAAGGAAACTGAAACACTTTAGATTCCGGGCAGAAAAAATAATGCATCTGCTTGGCTTGTTGAGTGTATGTAGAGGTTTACATATTAAAAGGATCCCCAGGTGATTTGAAAGCACCCTAAGCTTGAGAAGCACTGATCTAGACCACTGAATGGAGGATGCCACAGGTACAGACAGGTCCAGAGTGAGGTTGTCCAGCAGCTGTGGGCAGGACCCCAGGGGAATCAGTACCTTGGAGAGGGCATCCCATATGGTGAGCTGTGGTTTTCACTTCATAGTTTCAGAAACTTAATTTAGTTAATTACACAGAGATGATTAACCCGTAGGAGACCAGGTTTTACTAATGAAACTTAAAAGGCATTGATGTGCAAACCAGAATTCCTATTTTGGTACAAAAAAAAACCTGTTAGAATCATCCTTTGCGTCATACATGGCTGCGGGGGTATTTTTTCTGGCAAGTACCTTCATGCAGCTACCTAAGGTAAAGGCCCAGAGATGCCTTCGTCAACATAGAATGATAGCAATGACAGTAGGTATTTCTGAGGGCTGTTTTTTTTGTGTTAGAGTTATTTCTCCTTCAAGATGCTGGATAAACATGAAGAAATCCTCGCTAATACATTGCCTTTGAAAACCTTTTACTAGGCCTGGCACGGTGGCTCATGCCTGTAATCCCAGCACTTTGGGAGGCTGAGGTGGGCAGATCACGAGGTCAGGAGATCGAGACCATCCTGGCTAACACGGTGAAACCCCGTCTCTACTAAAAATACAAAAAATTAGCCGGGCGTTGTGGTGGGCACCTGTAGTCCTGGCAGGCACCTGTAGTCCCAGCTACTCGGGAGGCTGAGGCAGGAGAATGGCGTGAACCTGGGAGGCAGAGCTTGCAGTGAGCCGAGATCGCACCACTGCACTCCAGCCTGGGTGACAGAGCAAGACTCTGTCTTAAAAAAAAAAAAGAAAAGAAAAGAAAACCTTTTTCTAAAACAATCCTTGGCCAATGCCAGCTATGTTTCAGTGAGTTTTCTTTTCTGTCAGTTTCATTTCAGTCATCTTCCTGAGGATATTTACCAATTTCTCCAGTTTCAGGAGCAATATCCTTGTAAACTATTTCATAGAGGTACCTGCTTCTGTAGCTATTTAAACTCCACTGTTTATTGATTCTTCTTAACTTTATTCTCTAAATTCACCTAAATTCTAGGTGCTCTGTCCTGTGGCTCCCAACAATGACTACTTTAGTCAAATCTTGTTTCTCCAGCTGATGGGAGGCAAACTGCTTAACCTGTACATATTTGTTACTTTTTTGAACAGTGGGGGTGAGGAAGTTGAAAGAACTTACAAAAAGAGTCAATGCCTTCACTGTAAATGTATTTGGAGCGAACAGAATCAAGATGTTCTTAAATCGAAGTCATTATTCTCTGCCAGATGGGAAAAGGCACAGTCTTATGGTTATGAAGAGCTAGGTTGGGTCTGTATCGTGCTGTAAACTCCACTTAAAGCCAGACTTCTTTGTTTGCCAAGAGTAGCTATCACAGACTAAAATGCTAAAACGCAACTGGGGATGCTGTCAATCTGCTTGACATGCATCGACTGCAAACATCTCATACCCCTGGTAGAGGGGGCACATTCTACTTCTCTAACACAAGGGAGTGGGAAGGCATGGTTCAGGAAAGCTGCACATATTACAGTATATATATTTCCATAATCAAAAGACAACCCTTACTATATTACATTATTGGACAATTTGAAAAAACTTTTAATGCTTTGCTGTTCTTTTACTCTGAATTCCTCTAGAACACAGTTACATGCCTACCACTTATTACATGAGGAAATCCATAATATAGGAGCTCTTATTTAGCTTCCAAATGGTCTCAAATGAGATCCAAAATTTAAGAAGGAAATAAGAATCAGTGATTATGTAACATTAACCAAATGTCTTTCCCAAACTGAGGCTGACTTTACATTTCTTAGGGGCCCAATTCCATTAATGGTGCTTTCTTATTCAGCAAGGTAGAGACATGGATTACTTAGCCAGTGTTTTAGAACTGTGAAAACTGTACTGTACACACAACTGAGGGCTGTAAGGGGATCTTGCTTCATACTCAGTCACTGGCTGCAGCAAGGGAGACTTAAGTGAGACCATACAGCAAGGACTTTGCAAAGCTAAAAGTACTAAATACATGCAAGGGGATTTGCAGCTAAATAAAGTGTTTTTATACCTCCAGCTTCCACTAAGCTGTCCAGGGACAAGTGAATTCCTTTTCTCCAGCTGCTTGAAGAAGTGTGTTGTCTAAAGCATTGTTCCTGGCTACTATTATTTATAGTAGAATTGTCTTCTCCTACTATTCTCAACACGTTTGCTTTTTCATTTTTGAGGAAGCAGTTTTAGAACCTGAAGTTGGACCTGTACCTTGACTGTCCTCTTCACATACAATGATGCTCAGCCTCTCCCTGTTACTTCATCTCTTGTTATGAAATTCCGACCCAATTTAAGTTTGCATGCAAGTTTCAGTTTCTTCATAAAGTAAGCACTCTGAATTCTTACTAGCATTTTAACACTCATTATCTGATCTAAGCAATTGAGCCTGATTATTTGCTGTTTTATCTTGCTTTTTAATGGTTCCATGTGCATAAGGCTCTTCAACAAAACTGTACATTAGTTAAAAGTAAGAGTTTCTAATGCCTCTTCAATGCTATATTGTTTCCATTGTGTTTTTATTATAGCTGTAGAAACCATATTTCTTTTTCTTTTTCTTTTCTTTCTTTCTTTCTTTTTTTTTTTTTTTTTTTTTTTTGCTATGGAGTTTCGCTCTTGTTGCCCAGGCTGGAGTGCAATGGTGTGCTCTCAGCTCACCGCAACCTCCGCCTCCCGGGTTCAAGCGATTCTCCTGCCTCAGCCTCCCGAGTAGCTGGGATTATAGGCATGCACCACCACACCTGGCTAATTTTGTATTTTTAGTAGAGATGGGTTTCTCCATGTTGTTCAGGTTGGTCTTGAACTCCCGACCTCAGGTGATCTGCCTGCCTTGCAATGGCACGATCTTGGCTCACTGCAACCTCCAACTGCTGGGTTCAAGTAATTCTGCCTCAGCTTCCCAAGAAGCTGGGTTTACAGGCACATGCCACCATGCCCAGCTAATTTTTGTAATTCTACTAGAGAAGGGTTTTGTCATGTTGGCCAGGCTGGTCTCGAACTCCTGACTTCAGGTGATCCGCCCGCCTCAGCCTCCCAGAAGTGTTGGGATTACAGGCATGAGCCACCGCACCCTAGAAACCATATTTCATACATAAGATAATCAGACATGAATTGAACTCAAGGTCTGTCAATGGGGCAGAATATTTGAAATCTGGGTTACTCTGGGAAATCCAGGAGACAGTGTTATTTTATTTATGGTGCCACTATATACCCTTGTTATAGCCACACATCTATCTGCCCTGCTAGATCTTTAGCAACCTGAGATTAATAAAAGTAATATTTATCTTTGTGGTACCAGTGCCCACTATTGTTGTCAACAATGTTATCCATTGTTAGCTTTCTTTTAGTGCTTCTTCTGTGCCAGACACTGTACTAAGTACTTTACATGAATCATCTAATCCTCACAAACTTTATCTTCATAAGATAATAAGGTTCAGTTATCTCCATTTTAAGAATGAATACTCACTGGTGCATAAATAGTAGGCATATAATGAATTTTAGACTAATGAATGAATTGATGCTGAAATGGTTGATGCCTAAGACATTGCCATGGGAATATTCTTCTTGCTCCAACTAGAAAGATAACTTAGAGACTCAGATCACTTCTTCACTTTTTAAAGGTAGATTAGGGAATCTGGGTGTTCATTTTGATTCTCACTTACCTGTGTGGCATTTTCTATTGAAATAGTTATTGGTTTGTCCACATTCATTAATACCTCAGTGTTAGAAATTGTCAACTTTCCTGTATTAAATTGATACATTTGTGAAGGAATTATTGTTTAGGGATAAATGGGAGAGAATAGAAAGGACTAGGGAGAATAAAGTTCTCCACATAAATGTGGAAACATTTATGTCATTGTTATATGTATTTAAATATACCTTTTACCAATGGGGTTCTTGATCCATTTAGTGAAATATAAATTGAAATTAAATATTTGAATTAGAAATTGAAATTTTGTATAAAAGAGAAGGAAGAAAAAAGTTTAGAAAATTGATTATTTCATTTCCTTTGTAAGCAGAAATTATGTGACAGACTCAATGAGTATTTCAGGGGAACAGAATTTGCAAATAATATAGTTTAATGGGTATAATTGTCAACTGATAATTTACTTTGCTGGATAAAAAATAGATGATACATTTCAAAGTTACAGCAGCCTAGGCCATATAATTCTTGTGAAATATCCTCTGGGATTACTCAATAGGGGAAAAAAAGTAAATTTTGAAGCAGTGCAAAATGCTCTTCCATGTAGAGTACTCAAAACTCTACATGAGCAAGGACCTGTCAAACATTTCATGACCTCATGACAGTTTATTTTTTAATTTTTTGTACTTAAAACTTTTAAGTTCATGGCTACATGTGCAGGTTTGTTACATAGGTAAACTTGTGCCATGGGGGTTTGTTGTACAGATTATTGCATCACCCATGTATTAAGCCTAGTACCCATTAGTTATTTTTTCTGATCCTCTCCCTTCTCCCACCCTCCACCATCCAATAGGCCCCAGTGTGTTGTTGTCCCTCTGTATGTGTGCATGTGTTCTCATCATTTAGCTCTCATTTATAAGTGAGAACGTGTGGTATTGGCTTTTCTGTTCCTGCATTAGTTTGCTAAGGATAATGGCCTCCAGCTCCATCCATGTCCCTAAAGGACATTATTTTGTTCTTTTTTAAGTATTCCATAATATATATGTACCATTTTTTCTTTATCTAGCCTATCATTGATAGGCATTTAGGTTGATGCTATGTCTCTGCTAGTGTGAATAGTGCTGCAATGAACATACATGTGAATGTGTCTTTATAATAAAAGATTTATATTCCTTTGGGTACATACCCAGTAATGGGATTGCTGGGTGGAATGATATTTCTGTCTTTAGGACCTTGAGGTATCACCACACTGTCTTCTACAATGGTTGAACTAATTTACACTCCCACCAACAGTGTAAAAGCGTTCGTTTTTCTCCACAACCTCTCCAGCATCTGTTGTTTTTTGACTTTTTAATAACAGCCATTCTGACTGGTGTGAGATGGTATCTCATTGTGGTTTTTGATTTGCATTTCTCTAATGAATAGTGATGTTGAGCTTTTTTTTTTCATATGTTTGTGACTTCTTATATGTCTTCTGAAAAGTGTATGTTCATGTTCTTTGCCCACTTTTTAATGGGGTTGTTTGATTTTTCTTCTTGTAAATTTGTTTAAGTTCCTTATAGATGCTGGATATTAGACCTTTTTCAGATGCATAGTTTGCAAAAATTTTCTCCCATTCTGTAGGTTGTCTGTTTACTCTGCTTATAGTTTCTTTTGCTGTACAGAAGCTCTTTAATTTACTTAGATCCCATTTGTCAACTTTTGCTTTTGTTGCAATTGCTTTTGGCATTTTCATCATGAAACCTTTGCCCATGCCTATGTCCTGGATGGCATTGCCTAGATTGTCTTTTAGTGTTTTTATAATTTTTGGGTTTTACATTTAAGTCTTTAATTCATCTTGAGTTGATTTTTATATGTGGTGTAAGGAAGAGGTCCAGTTTCAATCTTCTGCATATGGCTAACCAGTTATCCTAGCACCGTTTATTGAATAGGGAATCCTTTCCCCATTGCTTGTTTTTGTCAGGTTTGTCAAAGATCAGATAGTTGTGGGTGTGTGGTTTTAGTTCTGAGTTCTTATTAGTTCATTCTCACATTGCTATAAAGACATACCTGAAATTGGGTAATTTATAAAGAAAAGAGGCTTAATTGACTCACAGTTCTGCATGGCTGGGGAGGCACCAGGAAACTTACAATCATGGCAGAAGGTGAAGGAGAAGCAAGGCACATCTTACATGGCAGCAGGAGAGAGAATGAAGGGGGACGTGCCACACTTTTAAACCATCAGATATCATGAGAACTCACTATCATGAGAACAGCAAGGGGGTATCTTTCCCCGTGATCCTATCACCTCCCACCAGGCCCCTCCTCTGACACATGGGGTTTACAATTTGAGATGAGATTTGGGTGGGGACACAGAGCCAACCATATCAGTTCTCTATTCTGTTCCACTGGTCTATATGCCTGTTTTTGTACCAGTACCATGCTGTTTTGGTTACTATAGCCCTGTTGTGTAGTTTGAAGTTGAGTAGTGTGATGCCTCCAGCTTTGTTCTTTTTGCTTAGCCTTGGCTACTCAGACTTTTTTGGTTCCATATGAATTTTAAAAGTTTTTTTATTTAGTTCTGTGAAGAATCTCAATGGTAGCTTAAAAGGAATAGCATTGAATCTATAAATTGCTTTGGGCAGTATGGCCATTTTAACAATATTGTTTTTTCCTATCCATGTGCATGGAATGTTTTTCCATTTGTTTGTGTCATCTCTGATTTCCTTGAGCAGTATTTTGTAGTTCTCCTTGTGGAGATCTTTCACTTCCCTGTTAGCTGTATTCCTAGGTATTTTGTTCTTTTTGTGGCAATTGTGAATGGGAGTACATTCCCAATTTGGCTCTAGGCTTGACTGTTGTTGGTGTATGGGTGATTTTTGCACAATGATTTTGTATCCTGAGACTTTGCTGAAGTTGTTTATCAGCTTAAGGAGTTTGCGACTGAGACTACGGGGTTTTCTAGATGTAGGATCATGTTGCTTATGACAGTTTATTGGATGGAAATCTCATATGTCATAGTATTATATAACCTGGAGACACATTGCTTATTGTGATTAAATTTTCTCTGGAGAAAAGAAATATAGCGAATTAGAAAATGTTATTCCCTGCTCATTGGAAAGGGACTAGTCCTCAGTCATAGGGACACTTGTGAACTACTGAAGAAAAATGAGGATGGAGAATTACTTGTTTTTTGAGGTATGCTCTATCTGAGGTCAGCTTGGCTTTGCCTGATCACTTTCAGTTTGAGGGTGTGGATTAATTGTCTCAGTCTAGGCTCTATGAGGAGAACCCACATTTTCATGCTTTTTTATCCTTCTCTAGGTTTCAACTTTCTTGCTAAGTTTGGCCTCATCTGGGCCTTCCTTTAGAAGCCCAGTGTGCTATCCATTGCACGACACAGCCTGGGCCTTCCTTTCTAATCCTGGTGATCTGAGCTCTGAAATGAAACTTTTGCAAGCCCACCGCTTGGATTGTATATGGTGAGAACAGCCCTTTCCAAGACTCAGCCAGCACCAAACTGGCTTTCGACAGATCATGAGCTGTACCAGGCCTTGATAGATGTCAAAAAAATCCCAGCCACTTTTGGTTGGCTGGCATCACAGTTGACTGTGACAGGTAAGTCACTGAATGTTGCCTTGCTGAGGAAGAAACATGATATAAGAAAGTAAATGTGTTTGTTAACACTGATCTGGGGAGGATAGGTAAGAATAACAACTGAGGTGAATGTGGAGCTTGGCTGCTAAGGGAATTTTTATACTTATTAAGAAATGTAGGCTGGGCATGGTGGCTCATGCCTGTAATCCCAGCACTTTGGGAGGCCGAGGTGGGAGGATCACTTGAGCTCAGGAATTTGTGACTAGCCTGAGCAACATGGTGAAACCCCGTCTCTACAAAAAACACAAAAATTAGCCAGGCATGCTTGTGCATGCCTGTAGTCCCAGCTACTTGGGAGGCTCAGGCAGTAGGGTCGCTTGAGTCCGGGAGGCAGAGGTTGGAGTGAGTAAATATCATGCCATTGCACTCCAGCCTGGGCAACAAAGTGAGATTCTGTCTCCAAAAAAAAAAAAAGTATAAAAGTATTTCAATATTTTAACAATCAGTATGACTGTATTTGTTTATATCAGCTGGACTTCTATAAGTTCTGCTGTAGTCCATGAGACTATAAGTTGCCTAAGACCAAAGTTGCAGTTTGCTTTACAGTTTAGATTCACACTGAAGGCCGTATTTTGTGTTTGTCTCATCACAATACTTTTTGTTCCATTAAGATGGACACAAATTTTGGGTATCGTAGAGCTGAATGGAAAGAGTTACTGTTGTAGAAGGAGGGGCTACTGGAAAAAATGGGTCAAGGGGGAAAGCATTGGCTATCAATCATTCATCCCAGCAGAGATTTCAACAGAAATTTAATCAGTCAGTCTCATAGCGATTGCAGAACTCTTAGGCACAGTTCAGACTAAATCAGGGTGTAGAGGGAGGCCAGCTGCTTTTGATAAATGACTCGACATGGCTGAGTGTTCTACAAAATGCAACCTTCAGTACTGCGAGCCTGCACAGATGATGTCATGGACACTTCAAATGGATGAAGGCTAATGGATCAAAAGCAGAACCTGATGCCAAAAAAATGGCTTCACTGAGTGAGAACTCAGGGATGAAGTTACTCCGTTATGCAAGGGATTCAGCAGTCTTTTCCTCAAG
Source organism: Homo sapiens (assembly GCF_000001405.40). NCBI lineage: Eukaryota > Metazoa > Chordata > Mammalia > Primates > Hominidae > Homo > Homo sapiens. The sequence goes on from NC_000014.9 coordinate 58,805,402, forward strand.
GTCTTAGTTTGTGGCAAAACTCCATTTTATTTAGCTTTAACCAGAAAACACTAAATGTTCTTAAACTTTTTCTTGACTAATGGATTTGATACACTTAAGTATTTTCTTTATCTAAATTTTCCAAGGCAGATAATTGCTCTAAGGATTGTTAACATTAAAACAGGAGATTAAGGAGACTAGCTGGTAAATCCCAAACACTTGTAACCCTTGACAAAATTCGGTATGCTTGGTGATCTCTACCAACATCTCATCAAGTATGCATGCGTCTAGGTGGAAGATTTGTCTTGGGAAGATGAGTGTCAACGTTTAACCTTTCAAATGTGTGGCAGGATTCTCAGGTGGATTTGCTCCACAGAGTAGGTAGATGAATAATATATACAATGATTACCAGAGTGGACAAAAGCCTGGAAAGACTTGTTGAATGTAGTTTATGATGTTAGAAAAGTGAATTTCCCTAGACATTCGTTCAGCCTCTAGTTCTTAGATGTTCAATTTTATTGTAAAAGAACAGATTACAGGAGATAATTCAAGAGTTGTGGTCATCTACTCATTTTAAGACACAGGTCATACTAACTCTCACCTGGCTTACTTCATCTGTTTAGGATAGGGCTAGCTGAAATAATTGACAATAGTAGATGAGTTAGCCAGGAGACTAAATACAGGTGAAAGGATGACAGCGCTAGATCTTGACACAAATTACCTTAATGGCTGTGCAAATAGTAAGCTGGATACGATTTTTTGAAAACAAACCAAGCTAAACAATCCATTGAAGTGCTCTCTTCCATCTATACCCAGAAACAGCAATTTAGCTTTTGGGAGACTTGGTAAAATAGTAGCTTGGACTAGTGCCCAGAACTCTCCAAGATAATGTAAAAGGAGAGTGTGTGTCTTGGACCAGAGCCATTTCCCTAGAAGATGCAAAGCCAGGCAGGGAGTCTTGGAAGGGTCCTTCCTTATTAAATAGAATTCTCCTCTGTATATGCCTTAGCAACTGCTGGTCTTCAAGGAGAAAGTGGATTCTAAGCTCTTCACCCTGAATAAAGTTTAATTGAGCTGCTCTAGAGCACAAGCATCGTGTGGCATCTTAGATTCCCATGACTGCCACTTTCCTTCTCTCTTGCTTGGTGTCCCACCCTCCTCATTGCCCCTTCATTTTCGGGCTTGGATAAAACACTGCTTTCCAGGGGTAAGATCTGGAGTCTTGAGACTCCTGAGGAGCTGATAGTGCAATCAAGAAGGGAGTAGGTGTTCACTCCTCACAGGGTGAGACTTGACCATTAGGAAATGGGAGATGAGAGAGAGCTGGGCAGTCAGACTTCTTCATTCTTTCTTCCACGGACTACTCTGAGATGCAGTTCCTCTGCACAGCACTTCTTGAGAAGTCCCATGTACCATGCACACATGCCTGTTGAGTGACCTGCTGGGTCTCTTTCTGGGTCATGGGGATGGTGGAGGTGGAAGAGAGGGGGTAGCAAAGTGTACCATACTGCAATGCAACTGTACCTTAACTCATTTTCTTTTCTTCTTTCTCTTGCTGCCCTGGGCTTACATCTCCCCAAAATAGTATTGGCACCTTAAATCCTTGTCCCAGCCTCTACTTTCTAGATTACCTAGGCTGTTAGATACCAGACTAATCATTAAATATTTGACCAGCTCATTAATGGATTGGCCTAATCAATATGTGATACTATCCTTCCTAAGATCTGACTGAAAACTGATTTAAGTCTTTTTCATACTTATGGTTTAGATTTGTGCAATAACAATCAGTATCAGCCCTTCTCAACCAGCATTCCAGATAACTAAGCCCTAACATCCCAAGGCACCTATTGTGTGTAATGAATTAATTTCTCTTCTGTGCACACAGAATGTATCATCCCTGAGAGAATTGAGAAGACAGTTACTCAAATCATTCTTTGTAGGCCTTAATTCTTTTGAGGAATCCTGGTTGTCAAGAGCTGGTCTAAATATTTTCCTGAGATTGTTTTTATTCACATTGTTACCAGACAAGAAATGTATATTTAACTTATTTATAAGTTTTTCAACTCTAGTCTTTGTTTGGCTTAAGTAACAAAGGAAGTGAATTACATGATTATCTCTTACACAATAAATATTTGAATACCAACTAAGAGCTAGGTCTTAGGAAAACTGGAGATGGCTGAGGCTTGTTATCTGTCTTCCTGGAGCTCAGAGTCTAGTGGGAATTAATGTAGACAAATATCACACTATGTGTACTGTAACAGAGGTATATAGAAAGTAACCTAAGGACTGAGGACACAGATAATATTCTCTTTTCAAGTCATGCATAGCATATGTAACTTTGTTGTATCTTAGAAAACATAACTAAATAAACCAAATAAATGTAAAATAATTAAATATTAAAATAAAATAAAATATTAAAATGAAATAAACTTAGTAAACATACCTAAAATAAACCAGCTGTAAGAAAACTGTGATGAAATTTTCTTGATCATTCGTATTACAACAATTTTTCTGGGTTCTCCAAAAAAGAAAAAACCCTTAGTTCTTACATGATATCAAATAGGAAAAGAAGCTGAAACTTGCTAAAACATTCAGTCTTGAGTCCACCAGCTAGGTTACTAATAACAAAGTTTTCTCTCAGTGTATTATTTTTCTGACACTTCTCATAAAAAGAGAGGTAGACTATCAAAAGTTCTATGTAATGTTTTTTGTATTGCTATAAACAAATAGTGCATGGGAATTTATATGACAGCCTGCATTCAAGTGATTCCTGATTTTGTATTTTACAACACTGGAAGGCTAGAAGTTTAGTGCCAGTCTAAAGAGTATCTGCCATTTGTCAAAGAAGCAAGTCTTCAAAAATTTTTGATAAGTGAGGGTCCATTTAAACTCTGCTCTCATATGTATATCTATGAAAATTACTCTGCTAGTTCTAAGGTAGCAGTCTATCACTAACATTTGCAATTTTGGAAAATAATCCAAAGAATTAAAAATTATATGAGTGCTCTAATTGAATCCCTTAAGGGGACTTGGTCTGGGATAATGGCCTTGTTAACTTGCAGGCCTTCAAGGAAAGGTGGGTTTAGTTGTAAAAAAAAGTGCTGTTTTTTTAAAAAACAGTAAAGACTAATTTCGGATAATTTTTCAGATGACAGAGATTAGAAATCTGACATTTACAAATTAAAATTATATTGCAAAGGTAATGAGAATGAATGTTTTAATTTCAAATGTGATGAAAAGTTTTTTAGAATTAAGAGAAGAAAGTAGGGACAGATTTTTGTATTGGGGCACAACTTCATTCTTGGATTTTAAAATGAAAACATTAAGATTTTATCATAAGCTTTGTTGAAAATCTGCCAGAAGCACTATTTTTTTTTAAATGCCCTAGAAGAGGGGATAGAAATCAAAACTCTGTAGTTTGAACTCTTTAGTTTGAAACTCATCCTTCTAAAATTCTCTAGCAAGCCATCTAGGAGACAACTATTTAGAGTTATCTGGATTTTCTGTGTGGAGTCAAAGCTTCTGTTCTTTGGGCTGCGTATTTTGCCTTTCTAGTCAGCCTTGCCCTTGAATCAATAAGAGTTCACAGAAGGAAATGTTCAGGGCTCTCTTGGTCATGAGCCAAGGATAGCTGTGCCGGCGAAGCAAAACAAATCCTCAACAAGAATGTGTAAACAAAAATCATCTGACTAATGCCTGGTACAAAATGATGGCTGGCATTTGTACTTTTGGTTGAATTTTGCGCAAAGGAGCAAAATGATTTTGCTTTTGTTACCCTTTTTTTCCATTGAGCTCTCTGGAGGAGTATCATTAATTTGGAATTCAGGGCTGAGATGGGGTTAGGCTGTCTTTTGCAAGTAATTTTTTCCCTAGTGTAACTTTATCTTCCTTTGTTTGCTTCTATTTGAGATTATTAGGAAACCATTCCTTGTTCAGAAAAAAACAGAGTCCTGCCTAGACCTCCTGATTTCTTTAAGGTTTATTAATTTATTAATTTTTTATTTGTATACATTTATGGGGTGCAAGAATAATTTTGTTTCATGCGTAGATTGCGCAGTGGTAAAGTCAGGGCTTTTAGGGTATCCATCATCCAAATAATGTACATTGTACCCATCAAATAATTTCTCATTATCTCCCTTCCTACTCCCTCACCCTTCTGAGACTCCATAGTCTATCAGTCCACACTCTATTCCATGCATACACATTATTTAGCTTCTACTTACAAGTGAGAACATGTGCTATTTGTCTTTCTCCGTCTGACTTGCTTCACTTCAGGTAATGGCCCCCAGTTGCATTCATATTACTGCAAAAGACATGATTTTTATCTTTTTTATGGATGAATAGTACTCCATTGTGTATATATACCACATTTTCTTTATCCAATCATCTGTTGATGGCACTTAAGTTGATTCCATATCTTTGCTATTGTGAATAGTGCTGCAATAGACATATAACTTCAAGTATCTTTTTGATATAATGATTTCTTTTCCTTTGGGTAGATACCTAGTAGTGGGATTGCTGTATTGCATAGTAGTTCTATTTTTAGTTCTTTGAGAAATCTCCGTACTGTTTTCCATAGAAGTTATACTAATTTACATTCCTACTAACAGTATATTTTGTTTTGTCTACATCGTCACCAACATCTGTTATTTTTTGTCTTTTTAATAATAGCTATTCTGACTGGTGTAAGATATCTCATTGTTGTTTCAGTTTGCATTTTTCTGATGATTAATGATGAGCTTTTTTTTTCAGAAGCCTGTTGGCCATATGTATGTCTTCTTTTGAAAAATATCTATTCATGTCCTTTGCCCAATTTTTAACGGAATTATTTGTGAGTTTTTTTGTTGAGTTGTTTGAGTTTTATAAATTCTGGATATTAGTCTTCTGTTGGATGCATAGTTTGCAAATATTTTCTCTCATTCTGCAGGTTGTTCACTCTGTTGATTATTTCTTTGGCTGTGCAGAAGCTTTTTAGCTTAAGTAAGCCTCAACTTTCTATTTTAATTTTTGTTGCCTATGCTTTTGAGGCTTTAGTCATGAATTCTTTGCCTAGACCAATGTCTGGAAGAATTTTCCCTAGGTTTTCTTCTAGTATTTTTATAGTTTCAGGTCTTACAGTTAAGTCTTTAATCCATCTTGAGTTGATTTTTCGATCTGATTTCTCATCCCTGTGAACTGACAGAAGCCATGGAACACCTCTAGGCCCTCAGTGGAAGTTGAGAACAAACAGCAGGCACAGGAGATGAATGGTACTCAGGGAGCAAACTTTTGACTAATATTGACTCATCTATGTTTAATAGTCATATCAATTGCATTTTAATGAGCATATACTATGTGATAGGTGCTGTCATAATTGCTTCAGAAGAACAACTTAAATTATATTGTGCCTTACTGTATGCTATATACTGTTTGAAAGTACACAGCATAAATGCCTAACATTTATTAACTCCTATAAGCTCCATAACCCTCTGAAATAGATGATATTATTACTCCCATTAAAGAGTGTAGCCTTCATGGGGACAGGGACGTTATTGCACTTACAGCACTCAACATGTACAAACTAAAAGACCCTATTATACAGTTGTGGAAATGAGAGGCCAAGTGTATTACTCTGACCCAGGGCTTCTCAATCTCAGCACTAAGAACATTAGTTTTTAAGAACTAAAGACTAAGGCTGGTGAATAGAGCCATCACGGTGGTAGAGATGAGGTTATGCATGAGCTTAACATTAAGAACTCCCACTTCCACAGCAGATCTACACTGCCACAGCACATGTTCAACTGCCAGAAACAGAGACTATCACTTGAGAAGAGCAACCAGTCTCTTGGTAGCACATGGACTTTTCGTACGCTGAAGGGGCAGTGTTTATTTTGACAGATATCCACACTTAATCCAAGAATGAGTTTGCCTTATCTGCCTTCAGGGCTTCAGCTAGCACATTTTCTTGAGATTTCTTTGATATGTTTGAAGCAGCATAAGGCTGAGCAGGGGCAAGAACCATGGAGAATATCTACTTTTTAACTTGCATATGGATGTCAAGGATTTGTTACTCCCTCAGGAGAACACAAGTATCTGTTTAAATTTCTATCATGGGCTGAGATAATTGGATAAAATGTCATGGGCCACTAGTTATATTTAAGTTAGCAATCACACTCTGCAACACACCACAAACATTGGTGGTAGCGATCGTTACTAACTAAAGTTGGAAAGAAAGGAGGAAGAACAGGTTTCAAAGAAAAAGTTCTTTCAAAATTTGAAGGCTTCTCCATGTCATAGCTGTAGGAAGCAAAAGGGAAATGTGGGAAAAACAGATTGCACTGGGAAGTTGGACTGGAGAAGAGGACAAAGTGGAGTCTGAGCTATGAAGCCAATCTCTTGGGACTCTCCAGCTCATATTCAATTTTCTGTTTCAAGGTTTGAATGGGGGTCCCAATCTTTGGGGATCCTGCTCCAGATGGACATGCAAGGAACATGAAGTAACAAAGGATAGTGTGTTTGGGTAGTGGAGAGGCTGAAGGCCTGAGAGTGTGTTTGGGGAGGATATTTTATGTAAAATGTATGTTTTCTAGGAAGAAGGGGCATAGTTTTTATCTATTGAAGCTTTTTAAAGCAATTTTTCTCTATTAAAAGCCATTGGCCTGAACAGTAAGAATCAGGATTATTCTGGGCAAAAAACATCCTTCATGATTTGTTTTCAGTTTGCCTTTCCAGCATTTACCCTTTCTTCATGCTACTGTTTGCTGATGATAATGACCTAACTCATCATTTTCACACTGTTTTCTCCTCCCCATGCTTCCACAAGGCCATTCTTGTCTGGAATGCCTTTCTCTCCTATCCGCTTCAGAGAATATCTCCTCATCTTTCAGAGAGCCAGATGAGCTGTCGTTTTTTTCCAGATGGCCTTCCTCAGTGCCCAGAGAGAGTTGGCTGGTCCTCCTTTGTAGCCACCTCTGTTGTATGCCTGATAAAGTGGCATTCACTTGATTTGTTATAGGCCTGTTTCCTTCACAGGTAAGTTTCTTAGGCTGGGGGCTGCCTTATTTTCTTTCTATGCTTCAGTGCTTGGCAGATAGCAGGTGACATAATAAACACTTATTGAGAGTGTGAATTTAGAAATGAGTCACTCTGGAGGTGGCTGATCAGATGTCTTCTGTGTAACTTACAAAAAAGAAAAACATTTTTGGAAGTGTAGTAGAAGTTTGAGTTTCTGCAGGGAAGAAGTGTAATAAGTATATGTAAAATAAGTGTTATATAACATGATAGGAAATATTTTCTAGGGAATCTAAGACCAAGATAGAAACCCATCTGTCCCTGCTGACAGAGACACAGTCTGGCTCATGTTTTCTTTTCTATGATTTTGTAATTTATGATTTAAATCCCATAAAGTGAACAGCTGACAAACTAGACAAATGTCAGAATACCGATAATAAGCAAAAAACCCAAACACTTTCTTTATTTTGCCTTCTCTCCATTGTGTCACTCAGTCAACTATTTCCACCCTGAAGTGTTGGTCACATTAAAGGACAAGGACATGAATAGATGCTTGTGAAGGGTTGTATGTTTTGGTAGAGGAAGCATTCTATTTTTCTTTTTTTTCCTTGGGCTAGAGGCAACATTTTTTTTTTTAGATCTCATATTTTTAATTTATGAGGTATTGTTTGTGTTCATTTTCTTCAACATTTCCAAAACCTCACAAATTTAGATGAAGTTAAACTACTATAAAAGTGAAATATCATAGAATATTTTAAAACTAACTACATTAGCTTTTTTTTTTGAGATGGACTCTCACTCTGTCACCAGGCTGGAGTGCAGTGTGCAGTGGCGCGATCTTGGCTCACTGCAATCTCCGCCTCCAGGGTTCAAGCGATTCCCCTGCCTCAGCCTCCCGAGTAGCTGGGACTACAGGCGCGCCCCATCACGCCCGGCTAATTTTTTGTATTTTAGTAGAGACAGGCTTTCACCATGTTGGCCAGGAGGGTCTCGAGCTCCTAACCTTGTGATCTGCCTGCCTCAGCCTCCCAAAGTGTTGGGATTACAGAGTAAGCCACTGCACCCAGCCAGCTTTTTTTTTTTTTTTTTTTTAGTACATCATTAAAGGAAACAACATTAGAAGAATACAACGAAGCATTGATGAAGAAATTGAGTTAGTTATGCTTTAATAAATACATGACTCATTTTTTAAAAGCCTAAATCCTTTTATGTGCAAATAACCACTAATCACTATAAAAGTATTTAAAAATTTAGTTCTCACAAGTAGGATTAATATGGCCTGTTATAACCTTAATATAATACATATGCTTATTTATAATAGATATTTGCTTAAACAGCTTCTTTTGCCATAGATGTTAAAGATATAAGCCTCAGCTCAATTCTGGTCTAATTATTAAGAATTTAAAAAGAATGATTATTCAAGTGATTGAGTTTTCAACTGTACTTTGTTTATTTTAACTCCACTGTTTGCATTACATGAACTATGGACTTGCATCAAGAAAGTAGTGTATATGTCTAGAAACATTTTGAATGCTGGGGGAAGAATTTGACCAGCAGGACGTCTTATTGTCTAAACAGTATGAGGGCCTGTTTGCTTCATGGTGAGAAGATCTGCTTTCCTAACAGATTCTGAAGGTGGAGAACAGAAGGAGATGAAGGACTCTTGTCCTGCAGTGTAAGCAGATAATGGCACTTCAGCTGCTTCGATACACAGGCAGGAGGTTGGACTTAGCAATTTTTTTAGAGACTTCTTAGTTCTTAATATCTGTATCATTAGTTGACAGATGGATTTCTGTCTGGAATCTTATTTCAAGAAAGCTGCCTCCTGCTAGATAATCTCCTTAAACTGTAATTGACAAATGGAATGAATTTCATTTTCCTAAATTTTAGATGAATATACTAAAATGTTATCCATGCCTTCAATCTGTGGAGCCCATTCTTTTAATAAATATTTATTGAGCATTTACTATGTGCCAAAGATTCTGCTAGGAACTGGGATAAAGTGGAGAATAAGAAGGATACTATCCTTATTCTTCAGTGATAGCAACAAACCAGGATTTGAGTGCAAAGACTCTTACAATAATTTTTTTGTGTGTTTATCAAAATTCTGTTCTTGTTCTCTTTACCATTTTAGGTGAAAAAAAGGGGAGATTTTTCTAGGATGTGGTAACTTTTTTTTCTCTATAAAAAGTACAGTCAACCTCTCCAGTTAACTTTTTCAGACCACAGCTTCTCAACTTGGAAATAGTCACAACTGAGGTCAGACAGAAATTCTCTTTGAATTTTGAAGGCCAGTTATTACAGATATGTCCAATAAACCACAGTCCAACTTCTCAGCCCAGACTTTGGGACTTTATGGCTGATGGTAAGAGAACCTATCTTTATATTGTTCTCCTACGGAAACCCTGCGTGAGTCTCCTCACCGCTGGCCTGGCCTGCAGATTTCAGACTCCAGACCACAACATCTACTCTTATTGAATTGCTAGCCTACCAGACTGCTCTGCAGATTTTGGACTTGCCAGCCCCCAGAATTTCATGAGACAATTCCTTAAAACAAATATACTTGTCTCTCTTTTTCTTTCTAAATATATGTATATGATATATATGAACATATATGTATATGTTCTATATGTATGTGTGATATATATACATATAACATTAGATATGATTGGTTTCGTTTCTGCAGAGAACTCTAATACAGGCAATCTGAAAGGGAACAGATATTTAGTATATTGTACTGGAAATACTCAGTGTCCTAATAGATTACATATATTTTGCTGAATTCCACTTAGAATCCACAAGAACATACTGCCAAAACCCTTTGTCTGGTGAGGAAAGCATGCAGGACACTGTCCTCAGTCCAAGGCCTCTGCTTAAAAATGTTGAAAGCATTGTCTGCCTGCCTCCATCTCCTGAGTCCTGTCCCATGGACCAGAAAAAGGTGATGCTCAGACCCTTATGCCATCTTGTGCTATCTTTGTCCCATCAGCAACCGCATGTGGCTGTCTGTGATAAGTAATCGAACAATTGCTTAGGGAAGTACATGTGCTAATGGTGCATGGCAGCTTTACAAACACTGTCTGTTTGAGTTAGACCTGAATTGTCCTCTGATTTAAAGATTCCACTGTGATTATCAGAGCCTTGGGGATGATGCTGGCCAGAAAGAATGTGCATGGCTATTATTGTGCCAATTTTATAATTCATCTTTTAATAATCTGTAACTGAAGAGCTGAATGGAATTTATCAAACCCTGCCTTGTTTCTCACTGGGGAACTTTCTGTGTTTTGTTACTGAGCCAAGGCTGAATGCAGCTGTTGGAGCTGTCACCAGCATTCTGGTTCACCCAAATATTGATAATAATTACTTCTGCTTCACATGGAAAGAATTTATTTAAATATCTGTAATGGAAAGACCGTTATTATTGGTATTACAACTTTACAGTGAGTACATCAAAATGTAGATATGACATTCATAAACTGTGTTTGCAAAAAGCTGTATCTGTCTCCTGCATAGTACACAGGACCCTGGGCTAGTATTGCTGCTCATCTGTTCTTCATAGAAATAGGGAGAAGTTATTACTAGAGAATAATTAAACCCACAGAAACGTCCAAATGTTGGCAGGCTGCAGCCATCCCCAACACCGCACAACAGCCTGTTATGATCAGCGAAATCCAATAGCCGGAGCTTTGAGCCTGAGGGGGTAAATAGCATAATGAATTTTCTTTACCCTGTCATTACTCCTCTCCTGGCTTTCCTAGATTACAGTCACAAGCAGGTCACAGAGCATTTATGCACACTTCGTGCAAAGTGCTTTGGAGTGGAGGCTGGGTCTTGGTCTAACTGGTGGTGATCAATGTATCATTGCGAGGAATGAAAAGCTGCTTCTGACCCTTGCCAGCTACATCACTGGGAAGCCCTGTGCTAGCACAAGCCCATTGCCCCATATTTCCTCTTTGGGTTTTTCCTTTTCTGTTCTCCTTGCCTTCCCCTATTTGCTTGCTCTGGTGGTCTTCTGTCTCCTGAATCAAAATCTCTTTGTTCTTTATCACGTGAGACATGTTTGTTGCTCCAATTAAGATGATTTTATTTCATAGGTAATGTCAGATCACCTCCAAGGGAATGTTTGAGTAGCCGCCTACTGTAGTGAGGACCTCAGCTGAGGCTTACTTGTATTCACAGCAATGGGTTGCCCTGTCTGTTTGCAGGGGCTAAGGAGATCTTGTGAGAAATACCCCTAGGGAGCAAGGACTTTTCTATCAAAGCCTTACTTGTCAGAGGGAAAGAGAAAGACTGAGTCTAGCCCTAGGGCTGTTATGAGACTGGAATCATAGCTTAGCTCCTGGAAGCATGTTTGGGCCTGGAGGAGAGAGAGAGCTGCAAGTAAAAATCATGCCATTATGTTCTGTGACAAATTAGGGCTCAGTGACATACTGTTTAGGGACCCATCCAGCAAAGTGTAACACAGAGGCGGCGAGCCCCCTCCCCCGCAGGAGAACCGTAGTGCCCAGAGCAACTTGGGGCCACAGCACTCTGCCCTGTCTGCCAAGGGGCCACCAGCAGAGGCCTGCTATGCCTCTGGAACTGCAGAGCTCAGCCAAACAGGATGGCAATCCCTGGGGCAGTCCGAGTGCCACTGGAATATTCCTGAATTAATGGATAATATACCTTTGCCCTTGTCTGACACATGTGGTCCATCTTGGATACTTAGTTCTTTCCTCCATGTATTGTGAGTCCTTGGCCAGGAGGGCTGAGCTAATTTCCTTAAGGAGGGCTTCTGGATTTCCCAGGTGAATGCTGCATCCTGATCTTAGCTTAAAGCAGGAATAAGAATAGTTTTTCCTTATAACACAGATGAAGTCTAAAATTGGACCAGCTTTCCAATAGCCTGTTTTCTAATAAAAAAGTTTGTTTTCGGTGGGGCGCAGTGGCTCACGCCTGTAATCTCAGCACTTTGAGAGGCCAAGGCGGGCGGATCACGAGGTCAGGAGATCTAGACCATCCCGGCCAACATGGTGAAACCCTGTCTCTACTAAAATATTTTAAAAATTTAGCTGGGCATGGTGGCAGCTTGCACCTGTAGTCCCAGTTACTCAGGAGGCTGAGGCAGGGGAATCGCTTGAACCTGGGAGGTGGAGGTTGCAAGGAGCCAAGATCGCGCCACTGCACTCCAGCCTGGGCGACAGAGCAAGACTCTGTCTCAAAAAAAAAAAAAAAAAAGTTTATTTTCAAGAAATAGCTTTTGGGATTTAACATTTCTTAAGTAGATTCCCTGGGAAGAAAACCTGAAGGAAAATTTAGGAGACATTAATGTCCTTAAGATAGAAAAACACTGGGTAGAAAAGAAAGTGATGAAAAGAATGTTATGCTTAGCCAAGTCAGCCATTTGAGACAAAACTCCTCTTGTTTAAATTGCAAACTATCTATTTTGGCCAATGAATGTAGTCTTAAAGCATATTCTTAATTTCAGAAGCCTTTGTTACAAGAAAGCCAAATAATCGGGCTTTACAGTTTCAGAGCACTTTTCCTGTTTTAAAATGGCTTTGAGTTCAGAAGATGAATCATGTAATTTTGTAAGAATTCCTTATAATGTAGTATGAAATTATGCTCACATGCTCTGAAGTGTTTCTAAATAGCTCTGGCCACATCTTGGATATTCACTGTCTGAGAATGTATAATTTAAGAAATCATAACAAGATGGCAGAATTTCATTCTAAAGGATTTTCAAGGCATTGATCTCCACTCACTTCAATGTTGTTTAAGTTCTTTTCTAAGACAGCTCTCAGCTCCTGCTACCTTCACCCCCAAAACCACAATTTTCAGAACTCTCAGGATGGGTTCTTCCAACTTGGGATGGTGGTCTGTAGCATTGTAAAGAAGGAGTTGATTCATTGAATTCTTTCCTCTTATTCAATGCCATGAATTTAGGGCCTGCCTTCTGTTCGATATTTGTTCTCAGCTTGCTGTCAGTTCCCTGCTAAGTGATTATTATGACCTTAGCTTAAGGCAGGTGGACTGACCCACCTTTCAAAAAATTTCACAAAATTTGGTGTATTTCTGGAAGGTGGGAATATTTTAGGAGGGATTTTAAATCAGAATCTTAAAGAGGTTTGTAACATTAAAAAGTGGAGAAACCAAGGAATTAAGGAATGTGCTTATTGGGCAGACATCTTGAGGACTCTAGGCTAAAGAGAAATAATGATGAAATAAATGGTGATGTGATGGATAATTTGAGGCCTGGGAATGTTGATCAACACCCTTTAAATTCTACTATCTACAAGGCTGGTTTTGTTTGTGAGTTTTTCCAAGCAGCTAACAATTTTTTTCTTTCTCTTTCATATGAATCAGTGCTTTGGGTTTCTTAATTCATGTTTTGCTTGTAGGTATACTTCTCTTACAGGAGTTGTTTCGGTCCAGAGAAGTTGCATGCAGATGAATATGTGATAAATTGAGTACTGCTTTAACTTCTTGAGGTTGGCAGATTTTTAAAGAATTTGTGTGTGTGTGTGTGTGTGAAACCTTTGTAAAGTGAAGTATGACCAAATAATTCGTTTACTTGGAAAATCCAAATTTTTCATATATCAACTCTACTTAAAATGGGGAGATCTTTCATAGTGCAGTCTGCACTGAACCACAGCTTTTATCTGTGAAGTCAGGGAGGGAGTCAGATTCCCTGTCCTTTCCCACACTGCAGCTGCTTCTGAATATGGTACTTATTTTCTACTTGGACATTGATTACAGTAGAACCATGTGTCTATAGAATTAATTTATAAAAAGAGAAACCTGTTCAAAAAGGAAGTTATTGGAGACTTAGAATTGCTAGATTTTTATTTTTATTTTTGGGGGAGGAAAGAATAAAAAAGCCCACAATTCTCAGCGAACAAGATAGGTCCCTTAGTGTCATTGTAATTTTAATATTTTTAATTTCTTTATGGAGGAAATGAACATTTAGAAACAGAAGTCTCATGATATTCAACATGTTCTTTAATTTTTAAAGTTGATTTTAAAAAATACATATATGTGTTTCTGGATTATATTTGGATATATAAATATTTATGTACTCTGTTCCACTTTTTCTTTTGTCACTATTGTTTATCCTCACAGAGCATTGCAGGCACCAGCCTTCATGTGGGCCAGGCTGCGGCAAGAGTAGGGACAGCACCATGGGCTGGAGAAAGAGTGTAAATGACAACCCAAGTGTGCACAGTCCATCCGGTGCTGTTGGCTGTGTGGGTTTGGGTGGGTTTGCCTTGGATGCAGGGAAGGGGGTGGAGGAGGGTGAGAGCAAGCCCCAGAATCAGTACAGCATGAATGTCATTGGAGCAATAAAATGGGGAAAGGATGGAAAGAGCTAAGTTAAAGAAAATAAAGGACAAAATACATGAGAGACAATCATGAAGTATAAAGGGGAGGAAGGCATAGGCACTAAAGTGGAGGGAGTGGGATGGTAAGTCAGAAATACTACAGTTGGTACCACTCATCTGTGGTTGCTTCCATTTCATCATCAGAGGAGGCTGGGGTAAGGTGTGGTGGCGCAGAGAAACAGGCTTAGGCTGTAAAAGGGATGAGAGAGATACAGGGGAAGAGAGGAAGTGAGGGGAGTAGAAAGTACTGTAAATGAGGGCAAAAGGTAGGATCTGAAGGGAGGGGCTGGCCTCTGTTTGCAGCATTAGGAATAGGAAGTGTTCACGTAAGACTGAGAGTGGAGGGTTGGCCTCAGAAAAAGTAGTTTTCTAGAGTGTTCTGCTTCTGCTTCCTAATTTGCTCTCTGCCACTGAGAACAGGAAGGCCTGAGAAGACCCTCCTTCACTCCCCCAGCAGAGGACGGTCTGGGTGGGAACAGTGAGGCTGAGGCAGGGCTGTCCTGCTGGTGGAGACACAGTCCCCCAGAGAGAGCCTGCGGTGTGGACAGACCATGGCTGTGGAGTTGGGCAGATCTGCCTCTGTGTGCTTCCTTGGTGACCTTGCCCAAGTAATTTAACTGTTCTAAGCTTCAGACTTTTTATCTATAAGGTGGAAATGAAAATATCTACCTTCCAAGGTTGCTGCTATAAATGAGATACGGGGCAACATGGTTAAACTGGATTCTTAATCTCCCCTCTGCCCCTTTTGGTAAATTGCCTAATGGATGTTGGGAATTCTTGCTCTGTTGGAATGCCCAGGGACAGCCACCAAGAAGCACATGGTTACCTGGGGACTGGAGTAGCCTTTGGTCCATCATGGGCCTGGTCCCAGTTTCACCTACTCTAGTGGTGACAGAACTTTTGCTATTGGGGAGGCATAGGCATCTCCAAGACAAGTGGCCTGCAGTGCCAAGGTGCCCAGGATGGCATCAAAGTGAGCAGTGTATGGCTTATGCATCTTTTTGGGTTAACCCCTGTTTAATTTTTCTACAATCCAAATGTATACAAAGATAAACATGGCCAATTGACTTCCAACTTTTAATTTTGACTGTAATAATTATATACTTTCTCTAAAAGATACCTGTAGACCTCTATGCCATCGAGTCAATTATAAATAACAGTGGAATAACTGAAAATTGCTTGCTGTTGGGGGGCCTGGAAACTTTGACTAGTACTCTTAAATTCTATAAGCTGGCCTTGCCTTCAGGTTCTTAAAATTAGCCCAGTTCTGTCTTTCTCTTTCATATGAGTAAATGAATTTTGGTGTCTTGAACTTCTGTTTCATCTGCGCGTGCACTTTTCTTCTCTTCAAGCTTAGGGTTGAGATTTCATTCATTTCCCTCTACTACTACACTCTTCGTTCATGTGCTCATGCTCATCTTCCTCCTTTTCAATTCTTAGTTACTAGATTTGGGCTCTTATCCACTCTGCTTTTCTGAGACTCGGTTTTTGGATCTGTAAAATGGAGCTAATATTACCTTTTTTTCCCCCAAGCTATTGTGAAGATTAAATGAAATGATGTAGTTGTTAAGCTACATAAAAGGCCCTCAACAAATAATAATCATGAACAAAAACATTGTAGAATGAGATTCTAAATATATTTATATTATTAATTTGCAAAAAGTGAGATAAGAGATGAAGCAGAAAAGGCAACTCAACTAAGATTGAGGAGTGTATGTGTATTCATTTGGAATATCTTGTCCCAAATACATTTTCTGAGAATTTTCCTCTTAACTATATTGTTGCTGGGGAAGCAGTCACCATGTGGCCGGTTCCTGGTCTGTAGGTAATTTTTTCAAGGATGGGCACCTGAACTAGACTAGGTCAGTGAGTCTATTCCTTGGAATCTTTGGAATTCATGAGGAAGTTAAGGAAGTGGGTTGAGAAGGAAAGAGAGCCAAGCGCAGTAGAGCAGCTAGAGTAGAGGAAAGAGGCAGCAAGGCTCCGGACAAGGCTTGAACCCCAGTTCCATCTGGTTCTGATGCCTGGCTATATTTCTGTCCTTGGGTTCCTTGAGGTACCCCTGTATCTTTGTAGTGATTATTCTCCCTTTTGCTTATACTAATTTGAGGTGAAGTTCTGTTGCTTGCAACTAAGGGCCCTAACTAATATAATGATCAACTAGATATAAAAATTTCTCAGGACCTCAAGAGCAGGGTAAACTGAATTATCTATAAGGTCTCTTTGATTTCTGTGATTTTATTTAATTTTAAATTTTTTTTTTTTTTGAGATGGAGTCTGACTCTGTCACCCAGGCTGGAGTGCAACGGCATGATCTTGGCTCACTGCAACCCATCATCATGGCCGGCTAATTTTTGTATTTTTGTAGAGTTGAGGTTTCACCATGTTGGCCAGACTGGTCTTGAACTCCTCACCTCAGGTGATCCACCTGCCTCAGCCTCCCAAAGTGCTAGGATTACAGGTGTGAGCCACCGCTTCCAGTCTTATTTTAATTTTTACATTTTTGAGACAGAGTCTTGCTATGTCACCTACTGGAGTGCAGTGGTGCCATCTTGGCTCACTCCAACCTCCACCTCCCAGGTTCAAGCGATTCTCCTGCTTCAGCCTCCCAAGTAGCTGGGATTGCAGGCATGGGCCACCATGCCTGGCTAATTTTTTGTATTTTTAGTAGAGACGGGGTTTCACCATGTTGGCCAGGCTAGTCTTGAGCTCTTGACACTAAGTGATCCACTGGCCTCAGCCTCCCAAAGTGCTGGGATTACAGGTGTGAGCCACCATACCTGGTCTGATTTCTGTGATTTTAAATGTGTGTGTGTGTGTGTGTGTGTGTGTGTGTGTGTGTGTGTGTGAAGAAAGTGATGGTAGGGTCTGGGCAATCACAAGGTTCTTTATCTGTTGCCAGATAAATGCAGAATAGACCACAAATGATAAATGAAACTAAAAAATGTAATTTTATGGACAGTAAACTGTTGAGGGGGTTGCAAGCTGCATACATGCTATGGTTACATAAGAATTAGCAACACAGCTTTTGATTACTTTCCTCGAGTTACTTTTTAGCTCTAGATGTTTAGGAGCACGGTGTAAAGGTGGCAGAGAAAGGTTTCAAATAATCATTCTAGGAAAACAAGGAAATACAATTGGGAATTGGTAAGTCTGATTCTCCAGAGTGAGATGATGCTAGCGTCATATGATTGTCCCTGAACCCTGAATCTAGGATAGCTCTTTTCAGATAATTTCTGAGAGATGAGGGGTGTCCTGCCTTTGAAATGGGAAGGACAGATGCCCTGCAGCTGTCCCTTCAGAAGGAAATGTGCCAGGTGCAAGATGCCATATTGGCCTCTTGACGATGACTTATGAGCTCTGAGCTTCAATTACCATGAGCTTGATGGAGATGTCATTTGTCATTGTTTCAGGGGATGTGCTTTGAAATATTTGAAAAAATAAAACTCAGCCTTATCTTATTAATTGTTTATTTTTAAGGGATCTTTGTGCTTATCACTTTAGATGGGTGACTTTTGTTGCCTTATCTATGCTCTGAAAGAATAGTTGACTATCTGCCTTTTAGCTGGGGTTAGCTTTCACTTAGTCTAAATTAACTCAGTTTTGCTCCCTACTACACATGAAAAAGCCACTAATTTACCAATAAGTACTGTTATGTTCAGCTGATAGGGTGGAGCCATCTGTCTATGGGGGTAATACTCTCTTCTCCCACAAGCTTTCTTGGGTAGTGGCTAAGAGCCCAGACTCTGTCACAGGACTGCCTGGGTTTAAATCCTAGCTGTGCCACTTATTTGTGTCACCTTAGACAAGTTACTTAATATATCCGTAGTTCCTAATTTATAATGTGAGGACAATGACCTCAACTGAATGGGTAAATATATGTCAAGCACTTCGAACAGTGCCTGGCACATGGCAAATGCTATGCAAATGTTTGGTAAGTGACTTATTTCTCCATTAGAATAAATTTAAAAATCAAGTCTTCTTCCTCCAACCAGAGATTGCCTAAAACCACACAAAGACAAAATTTGTTTGGTATCTGATGCTCATGTAAGAATGGATCCTGGCTGGGCAAGGTGGCTCACACCTGTAATTCCAGCACTTTCAGAGGCTGAGGTGGGTGGATCATGAGGTCAGGAGTTCGAGACCAGCCTGACCAACATGGTGAAACACCGTCTCTACTAAAAATACAAAAATTAGCTGGGCATGGTGGTGTGCACCTGTAATCCCAGCTACTCTGGAGGCTGAGGCAGGAGAATCGCTTGAACCTGGGAGGTGGAGGTTGCAGTGAGCCGAGATCCTGCCATTGCACTCCAGCCTGGGCGACAGAGTGAGACTCTGTCTTAAAAAAAAAAAAAAAAGAATGGATCCTGAAGAGATAGACTGCAGAATGTAATAAGGGAAGGAGGCCCCTTGAAAAAGGGCAGGGCTTTGAAACAGGAATCCTATAGGACAGTTTAGCCACAGACCATCCTTGTCTGGCAACCTTCTACTTCCAAGCAAGGAGCAGCAGGGCAGGTTGCGAGATCTGCCTCTTCTTCATAGTTCCTACTGTCATCTCTCTGGAATCCTACAAGCCAGGGTTTCCTAGGGAAACTCCCAGTCAGAACTGTGATGCTTTTTCCACTACAATGGCTCAATTGTAGAGTGGGTTGGAAATAGGCAGACTTCTGATTCTTCACAGCATGTTGATAGAGAATAGGCTTCAGGTAAAAGAAATTACCAATCATTTTTCATTATCCAAGGTATCACTCACCCACTCCAAGGAACACGACTGCGGCAGCTGTGAGGATGCCAAGCATCAGGCCCCAAACCATCTGGCAGATCAGAAGGGGCATTTTCTGGCTTGGGGAAGCTGACATTCAGTAAATTGTTAGTGCTGGCTCCCACAGTGATCAGCCTGGCTTCAGGCAATGGCAAGTTATGGTGGGCAAAATGAAGCCTTGATATACAGGTTGCACAATCTTAAGAGATTTTTGGTTTTTTTTGTTTTTGTTTTTTTGCATGGCATTTTCTTTCCCAAAAGGATGACTTGAGAAGCTTTTGTATACATTGTCTTGTTACATTGGTGGGTGACAATTTTCTATGGGTCTCTCATGTTTCTGCATGTCTTGTGAGCAAAGACACTGCCTACAGATAGCAGATATATTGTCTTTTCAAGAATATGTGTTTAGAGATAAGCCTGAAGTTACTGTCTCTCTCTTGAGCAAAGGGCAGGCATGCTTCGAATCTAATCTAATAAAGATAGTATCTTCCTCTGAAGAAAAAGGCAGATATGCTGATGCTATCCATTGTGAAAATTGTGGGCTTCCTCAGAGCAGGATCCCTCTCCTGTGATGCAACCCACGATGTGTGCAGATATTTATCATTCTCTCTTTAGATGGTCTCAAAATTGGAAGTCGGGGCTTGAGGACTGGCAGAGATTTTTGACCTGCATTCTTTCTAAGCTTATTGAGGTTGTGGAGCATATTCATAGCACCAGCGATTCAAACAACTGAATGTAATTCTCAATGGTGCATTCTAGCTGTATAGATCCAAAATCTTTTTTTTTTCTGCCAGCTTCCTGCTGTATGTCTTTTTATTTCTGTTCAAAAATGGAATATTTTGGTCAAGTTTCAAGATTTAATATGGGCCGGGCGCGGTGGCTCACGCCTGTAATCCCAGCACTTTGGGAGGCTGAGGCACGTGGATCACGAGGTCAGGAGATTGAGACCATCCTGGCTAACACGGTGAAACCCCGTCTCTACTAAAAATACAAAAATTAGCCGGGCGTGGTGGAGTGTGCCTGTAGTCTCAGCTACTCGGGAGGCTGAGGCAGGAGAATGGTGGGTGAACCTGGGAGGTGGAGGTTGCAGTGAGCCAAGATCGCGCCACTGCACTCCAGCCTGGGTGACAGAGTGAGACTCTGTCTCTTAAAAAAAAAAAAAAAAAAGATTTAATATGATAACTTGTACATTATTATGTCTTTCCTATAAAAAAATCTACTTCCCTTCCCTGAGATCCATCCTGGTTTTACTTTTCTCCCCCTCCAAGAAAGAGTTCAGCCTTTCTAAGGTTCCATTCCTGGACAACAGTTCCGCATTTGCTTAGTTCCATAAATAGTAAGTAACTGAATAGGGCCTTTTTAATCCTATCCAAGGTATGTCTGAATCCAAATCTTATGTGCTTTCTGCTACATCGTTCTGCCTTTCCATAATGAAAAGAGCAACCACAAATATTTATTGAAGATTCATTCTGGCCAGGCACTGAAATAAGAACTTCACTTGTATTCTCTTCCCTGATCCTTATAACAATTCCAATGGGGTAGATTCTGTTATTATCATTTTCACACAGATGAAAAAACTAAGGCTTAGAAAGTTATCTACTGTGTGCTAAGACAGCTAGTAACTGATGGGGACGAATGGGAACTCAAGTCTGTCTTCTTTTTTTTTTTTTTTTTGAGACGGGGTCTTGCTCTGTTAGCCAGGCTGGAGTGCAGTGGCGCGATCTCGCTCACTGCAAGCTCCGCCTCCTGGGTTCACGCCCTTCTCCTGCCTCAGCCTCCCGAGTAGCTGGGACTGCAGGCGCCCACCACCACGCCCGGCTAATTTTTTGTATTTTTAGTAGAGACGGGGTTTCACTGTGTTAGCTGGGATGGTCTTGATCTCCTGACCTCGTGATCCACGTGCCTCGGCCTCCCAAAGTGCTAGGATTACAGACGTGAGCCACCGCGCCCGGCCAAATCTGTCTTCTTAACAACCAGGCTGCATTGCCTCCCAGGAAGGTCCTGCCCAATTGGTATCCAAATAACATGTAAATGAAGGATGCTTTATGGAAATGAATTATACTGAAGGAGGCTTTATTGAAATGAATTATACTACCCACAAAATATTCATTTTAGGTTTTAAAGGTGTCCTAAAGCTAATTGCAATGAACTGAAAATTACATAGTCTTGATTCTCTATTGTGAAGAATCTTCAAGAAGAAACAGTTATACCCCTTGTTAAATTTTTCAGACTTGCTATCTTGGCATTTAATAATTTATACCAGTTAAGATCTTTTCCCTCTACTAATGATGACTATTGAGTAATTTATTAATCTTGGTTTGGTCATATTGAAACTACGTTGCTTTTATAGTGGTGCTAGTAGTAGAATAAAATAATTAAATCATAATAAAACTGGGCATCTATTTTCTCATTTATACCAGTGCCAGGTATAAATGACTATCAAATCGCCCATCAACTAAGAATGATTTTTAAAATCTCTTTGTTTGCTTGCTTGCACAAGCTTTATATTGCATGGTATTATTTTATTTTTTCTTTTTTTTTGGAAACGTAAGTATAAATTTACTATCCACCTAGTGGTAGCTAGGTAAAATTGCAGGCATAATGATAAGAAATAATCAGCTTTGTAGTTCTCATCTTCAAACCCAAACCTGTAAGGGGGAGGACAGACTCAAACGTCTCAGGGACCAGGCAGATAATACAAATAAATGAAATAGGCCAGGTGAGAGAGTACAAGTCTTGCCAAAAGGAGCAACCCCTATTTAGCTTCGATTGATTGTCCTTTTCTGAAAAGCAGATGAGAATTGCCATACGTTCTGACTGATCGAGAGAGGCCAGAAATTCTAATTTTGATGTGAAACCTCTTGATTTCTTAGATGGTGGTTCAATTTTCTTGAAAACACTAGGTAGGCTAAATGAAGCTGACAGTCCACCAGTTTTCAATGCTCCTCTGTGCAGAGTGAATGGCATCTCCCCTAACTGTGGTATTAGACTGCCACTCACAAGCCACAATTTGCAATTGCAACAGAGGCACAAACTGACAGAGATCTCCTGCTTTACTATGCACACACAGCTGAACTCTTGAGCCGTGGAGAACAACTAATTCTACAGGAAAAAGTGGAAGGCTAATCTGAGCCACCCAGTGATGGCGGCAGGGGTCTTCAGGACTAGCTGCTGGTCTGTAGGCGCTAAATTGCAGACTGCTCCTGCAGGAAGCCTTCAGGGCCTGGGAGGCCTTTATCTGGCTCAAAAGCTAGGGCTACTTCTCGAAGGACTTCCAAATGCTCCTCAGCAGCTGATAGTGACTGGTCAATCCACTCCAGGCCCCCCGTCAGATGGCAGGCATTCCTTGTCACCAGCACCAGGCGACTGACAGACAGGAGCAGGGTAGTCGTCCCTGTGTCCAGGAGCTTGGGGTCCAACGGAGGGTACATCGACTTCACAACATCATCTACCCTGGGGCTGTTCCACTTGGCCACCACAATCATGTCGCTGACAATGGCTGAAGTCTTCATCTTGGCCCCAGAGCCCATTGTCATGGCAACAAGCTTCTCTGTCAGAGTGTGACAAATCTTCAAGATGGCAATGCAGTGGGACATGAGACCCGAGGCATCTTCGATCCAGTCTTTGTTCTCCAGAATGGCCTCAATGTGGGGGTTGGTGATAACAACGTCATCCAGTTCTAAGAGGGCTCAGACTGGGTCGCCATGGCACTGATGAGGTCCACAATGGGCTTAGAATCATAGCGCTGCCGCAGGTCTCGGGGCTGGTAGTAGCGCTGCCTGCAAACCAGCACCAAGGCTGCAAACGAAGCCAGAAAGATGGTGGCCAGCACACCTATGGCAACTATCACCACGGTCTCCATGCTTCCGGGGAGCTCCTGACTCAGTCCCGTTCACATCGTCCTCATGGGCTAAGGCTGCTGGAAGTGGCAAACTGGGGGAAGAGGATGGCAGGAGCTAGGTTCCTCCACGACACCTCCAGAGACCTGAGGGCCTCAAGCTGCAGCTCCGGGGCACATCCCGCTGCGCTCCCACGACGGCCCCGCGGATGGCAAAGTCAGCGGTATTATTTTCTTTAATTCCTTTGTTAGAGCTCTTAAGTTTCATCCCGTAAATGGTACATTATTTGAGCTTTATCTGTATGTTATAATATTTATGAACCATTATTCCAGACAAAGGAAAGAAAGCCTTACCAAGGCCCATTAGATGCTTCGCAGTATTCCAGAGGCAGCATAGTAGGCAAAAAAGAATTGTGGTGGGTTAAATATGGGTCCAAGCTCAGTGTCTCTATTTACCATTGGAGTGATTCTGGTGAATTTCTTAATCCCTATAAGCCTCAGTTTTTCACCTATGAAATGGGATAATATTATCTAGCCTATAGCGTCTTTGTGAGCATTAGAAAGAATATGTATAAGTTAACTGGCGTGTATTAGGTGCTCAAGAAGCTGAACAATAATCACTGTTGTTTCTCAGATAATTATTATCACTACTATTAATCTCTCATTATTTATCAATGCCCCTATATCTCTGTGGATCTATTTAGATGTATAGACATGAGGTCTTACTAACTAAATGATAATCATAGAAATATTCCTTGTTATTACATTTTTTTCAAGCAAATTTAAATATTTTTCTCACTTTCTACTTTCATGAAAGTTAAATTAACGTTCTCTGGGTGCAAATATATATTCAACCATAAGTAGATATTTCTTACCAAGCATTTAATTCATTAAATTTCAACTTTAAACATTAAAGATTTCAAACTGTAAATATTAATTTCAAACTTTAAACATTAATAAATTGGACCATAAACCTCTCTTAATTTGAAAATTTTGAACCTTGAGGCATTAATATGAATTGTCTTGGCCCTGCCACCAGCTGAGATGCCTAGCTTCCTCTATGGCATATGACTACTGTATTTCTATGGCAACTGCTTTAGCATTTTGCAAGGGTCAAAAGAACCCATTTTGATATGTTAAAGGCAAAAAACAGCAACAGTCATTTAACATCAATTTTAGTCTTATCTCTAATGTTTCCCTTCTATTCAAACACTTCCTTCAATTAACTCCATACTAGATTTCGAAAACAAGTCGTTTCCTTGTTTCATTTTATTCCCTTTTCTTAGAAAGTCACCTCTCTTCTTTTCCCTTATTGAAATTCTATCCATCCTTGGAGGGAGAGCTACAATGTCATTTTCCTGGAGGCCCATCCCACTATTACACAAGACAGGTTACCTACCTTTGTAACATTGAGGTTTTTCTGCTAATTAGACTCTTAGCTCAGATATATTTAGGTTGGTGAGTCATTTGTGCACTTTGTTCTTCCAGAGAAAAACATTGTTGTCTGCATGTCTTTATGTGTGCATAGTGTGTGAGAGAGCCCTTTACAATCATAAATGCTCAATCTAGGTTAATCGAAAGAATAAATAAATAACGAATGATTTGTTTGGAAATAAAACAAACACTGGCTGGGGTAGCAGCGAAGCTGTAAAAGGCTAGGCTGGGGACCTAGTCTGGTTGCCTGTTACATGCATGGCTTGGGAAAATAATTTAACCTCTCTGAACTCAGTTTCTTCATCTGTAAAAACATAAGTGATCCTGCCTCCGTCCTTTCCCTGTATACTTATGGGATAGTTGTGGGAACCAAATAAAGAAATGCATGCAGACTGTAAATGCTAACCTGAGGTATTAAGTTCCTAGACAGCTGGACAACTCAGTTGACATTAGATACTTTTAATAGCCAACTTTACATGCTATTATCTCACCCCATTAAGAATATGTTATCAAGCTGTTTTGATATTACATAGCAAAGATGATTCATTTACTCCCTCATCTGTTTTTCTGCTCATCCATTCGTTCACTAAAATTTATTGAGTACCTACTACATACCAGGTACCATGCTAGGCACTCGGGCTGTGAACATGACAAGACAGATGTAGTCCCCTGCTCTGAAGGACCTTGCATTCTTGTAAGGGAGCACTGAAATAGGTCTACAAACAACTGAGCCCACAGATAAGATCATTTTAGATGAGGATAAGTGCCAGAAAGCAAATAAAACAAGTTAGTGTGCTAGGAAGTAAGTAGGCATGAACATCATTGGAGTGGTCAAGAAAAGCCTTTCTGGAGAGACCAGAATGAAGAGAAGGGACAAACTCTGCAAAGCGGGGACAGCAAGTGCAAATGCTCTGAGGTGGGACCAGGCTGAGGTTGATCAAACAGCAGAAAGACCAGTGGGCTGAAGCAAAATGACCCAAGGAGAATGGAGGCATTCGCTGATGGAAAGGTGGTTTATATGCACAGAAAGATTCAGACAGAGAAAAGCAATATATTTTCTTTGCCGATAAAGATCAAGGAGTTTAAAACTGGTTTAATTCTTGTGAAAACATAGCTCATTGGATAATATGTTAAGGTATTTACAATTATATAACCGTAGCATTAGGGAGTTTTGAGATTTACTATTTTAAAAAATCATTTTAATGTTAAAGCAAAGGGATCTTAACATTGTCCGTGGTTGTTGATATTTTACCAGAATACTATTTTTTCCTTCCCGTAAGTTGTTACTATTATTATTTTGGTGATTTGTTGCACCTTTTGCTGTCATTCATTGTAACCAATATTTAGTGGAAAGTCTGAATTAAAATATTTTAAAAATATATTTAATTGTATTGCATTCACAATATTTTTCTAGTAGGAAAGTAGGAAGTGTTAGGTTCTTTGTAGGTACTAGCTGAAGGGGGAAAAAAATTAGTCCTTCATGGAGTCCTCATGGAGTACACACACACACACACACACACACACACACACACACACACACACACACAATTTTTAACTGTGATAAATGCTGAGAAAGAGGTTATGTGCTATCATGCTCTTTCTTTTTTTTTTTTTTTTGAGATGGCGTCTCACTCTGTCACCCAGGCTGGAGTGCAATGGTGTGACCTTGGCTCACTGCAACCTCCGCCTCCCGGGTTCAAGCCATTCTCTTCCCTCAGCCTCCCGAGTAGCTGGGATAACAGGCGCCTGCCACCATGCCCGGCTAATTTTTTTTATTTTTATTTTTAGTAGAGACGGGGTTTCACCATCTTGGCCAGGCTGGTCTGGAACTCCTGACCTCGTGATCCACCTGCCTCAGCCTCCCAAAGTGCTAGGATTACAGGCGTGAGCCACCGTGCCCGGTCCTATCATGCTAATTCTGAACAGCAGGAATTTACCAAGTAAGAAGGTCAGGGTTAACCTAGTCAAGATTATGAACTATCAGTCCTACTTTAATCACAATTAGAATGGGCTGTAATACGTTTTTATCCCCACTGTAGCTTTACCTTTCCTTAGAGATAAATTGCATGTAAATATATATTAAAGTGCTTCAAGTCAGTTTTGTCTCTTAAGTATATATTTGTTTCTTTGTAATCTGCTTTTACTTTTAATTTGAACATCAAACCAATATCCTCTCCCCACTCTTTTTCATATTCACAGAAGAGGAGTCAGCCCTGTTGTTGACACTAATTAATGACCACTCATATTTGGTTGGCAGAGAGATTTATCCCATGTCCTGTGAGTTCTCTTCTCCTTTTTTTGCACTCTGCACCCTAGACATCTGGGCCACGATTGCCAGAAGCCTCTGAGTGCTCCATCTCACTTTCCTCCCTCCAAGCCTCCCCATGTGTCATCTCTCTGGTCACAGTGGTGTCCCAACCAGTGGTTCCTGCAGTTTCCTGACACTGAAACCTGCTCAGCCAGATGGCATAACTCCCTCCAGGCAGCAACTCTGTGCCAGGCATCGGACTTCCAGGCTCATAAATGTGGAATCTGTCAGGCTGAGAACATAAGTTGCTCCAGCCCATTATTAGCCAGTAGAAAGCTTATAAAAAAGGACTTTATAAACCAAGGCACGAGTACATAATTTCATGAGCAAAGCTGCAGTGTGGCAGTTCTTGGTTTAAAGCTGAAAGCCTTTCTAATGTGTTGCCAGAGGATTAAACGCTATCACCATGTTTCAGGCAGTGATTTTTATTGCATGTTTCATTCAGGATTTGGCACTGGAAAAGAAGGAATTCTGCACACAGCAAATTGAAATTAGAAGGCAGTGAGTTGCTATTTGAAGCAGGGATGCTATTGTTTTGAGGACATTATCTTCTGTTGAGGTGATTCCCATCTTGTGCACAATCTCTCCATTTTTCAATAGATATTTACCATTTTTCATTCTTGATAAATCCTTTCTGTAATGCCTGGTACTTTTCAAAATTATTCTTCAAATAGACAAATAGAATCATTTCTGACGAATAGAATGATGTGTTGCTTAACGATGGGGCTGTGTTCTGAGAAATGCTTCATTTAGGTGATTTTGTCCTTGTGTGATTATTGTAGGGTGTACTTACACAAACCTAGATGGTTTAGCCTCCTGCACACCTAGACTAGAGGGCATGACCTATTGCTCCTAGGCTACAAACCTGTACAGGATGTTACTGTACTGAATACTATAGGCAATTATGACACAATGGTAAGCATTTGTGTATCTAAACAAATCTAAGCACAGAAAAAGCACAGTAAAAATATGGTATTATAATCATATGGGACCACTTGTGGTCCATTGTTGACTGAAACGTTGTTATGTGGTGCATGACTGTAAGGTGGTCTGTTTGCAGTATCAGAAGAGAAATAGCTTGTGTAGCACTCATAGAAAATCAGGGATTAAAATAGGCAGAGCGAAAAACCAGGGACTCACCTCTCTTACTTAAAAAAAAAAAAAGCAGGTCATTGGGCACAAGGTTACGGCTTTGGATTGGTCACCTTGGGTTAGAGTGAGACTTGAGGATCTGAGTCTCAATTAAAAGTTGTTTCACGTTCTGGTTGATCAGGCTCTTTGTGAGTATAGGCCACACGCTACTCTACCTCTGGGATGGCAAACAGGAGCACCCAAACTCCCTTCAATCAGCTCCCTTTCCTTTTCTACCATTTTCTATCTTCGTTTCTTCCCTTTAATAAGGGAAACAAAGCTTTTTCTTTTAATGACTGCCACCAGAGCTCCTCTTTGCAAGGTAACTTTGTTGTGAAAAGGTGCACAACAGTGATAAAGACAGTTATGGGCAGGTGAGATACTAGGACGTGGAGCAGGCTGGTTCCAATGCCCCATTAAGGATGGCAAGGCAGCTCCACACAAAACCAAGAGAGCAAGGGCTCCAGACAGGGTGGGGAGGGAAGCAGGAAGCAGAGGGCCCTGAGGCTGGGATTGTGGAGTGAGGAACCCATGGTACCCTGGAGGTGGAGGTGAGAGGTGACAGCATGCTGGCAGCCCCTGCTCGCTCTCAGTGCCTCCTTGGCCTCGCGCCCACTCTGGCCATGTTTGAGGAGGCCTTCAGCCCGTCTCTGTGCTATGGGAGCCCCTCTCTGGGTTGGTTGAGGTCGGAGCCGGCTCCCTCTGCTTGCTGGGAGGTGTGGAGGGAGAGGCGCGGGCAGGAAGGGTGGCGCTTGGGGGCCAGCGCCAGTTCCGGGTGGGCGTGGGCTCTGTGGCCACTCACTTGGAGTGGCTGGCGGGCGCCACCAGCCCGGGGCAGTGAGGAGCTTAGCACCTGGGCCAGCAGCTGCGGAGAGTGTGCTGGGTCCCCCAGCGGTGCCGCCCGACAGCGCTGCGATCGAATTATCACGGGGCCTCAGCTGCTTCCCCGCAGGGCAGAGCTCGGGACCTGCAGCCTGCCATGCCCGACCCTCCCTCCGCCGCTGTGGGCTCCTGCGTGGCCCGAGCCTCCCAGACAAGTGCTGCCCCCTGCTCCGCGGGGCCTGGTCCCATTGACCACCCAAGGGCTGAGGAGTGCGGGACACATGGCAAGGGACTGGCAGGCAGCTCTGCCTGCAGCTACAGGGCAGGATCCACTAGGTGAAGCCAGCTGGACTCCTGAGTCTAGTGGGGACTTGGAGAACCTTTATGTCTAGCTAAAGGATTGTAAATATACCAATCAGCACTCTGTGTCTATCTCAAGGTTTGTAAATACACCAATCAGCACTGTGTCTACTTCAAGGTTTGTAAACACACCAATCAGCACCCTGTGTCTAGCTCAAGGTTTGTAAATGCACCAATCAGTGCTCTGTGGGGACTTGGAGAACTTTTGTGTCTAGCTCGGGGATTGTAAACACACAAATCAGCACCCTGTCAAAACGGACCAATCGGCTCTCTGTAAAATAGACCAATCAGCTCTCTGTAAAAATGGACGAATCAGCAGGATATGGGTGGGGCCAGATAAGGGAATAAAAGCAGACTGCCCCAGCCATCAGGGGTAACCTACCTGGGTCCCCTTTCACATTGCGGAAGTTTTGTTCTTTCACTCTTTGCAATAAATCTCGCTGCTGGTCACTCTTTGGGTCCACACTGCCTTTATGAGGTGTAACACTCACCACAAAGGTCTGCAGCTTCAGTCCTGAAGCCAGCGAGACCACGAACCCACCGAGAGGGACGAACAACTTCAGACAAGAGAAACAAACAACTCCAGATGCACCACCTTTAAGAGCTGTAACACTCACCCCGAAGGTCTGCAGCTTCACTCCTGAAGTCAGCGAGACCACGAACCCACCAGAAGGAAGAAACTCTGGACACATCTGAACATCTGAAGGCACAGACTCCGGACACACCATCTTTAAGAACTGTAACACTCAACACGAGGGTCCGCGGCTTCATTCTTGAAGTCAGCGAGACCAAGAACCCACCAATATTGTACACAACATTTCTGGGGCAGCTGACTAGATGAGAGCATAGGAATAAGAGGCTGGCTTCTGTAAAATAAGAATAGCAGCACCCATCTCCCTGTGTTGCTGTGAGAATTAAATAGGCTATTTGTAAGGTGCCTAGTACTGTGCCTGGCATTGAGCAGTGTGCTCAGCAGATACTAGGTTGTGGCCCTCACTACGTTGTTTCCCAAAGGGCAGTGGGCAAGTGCGATGAGCCAGTTGTCATTTTATTTATTCAACCAACATACCAGTATTATTGAGTGCCATTGCTCTTGTTTTCCTCAAGGACTGGTGAAGACATTGTCCAGGAATGTTACCACCTGCTAGGTGTGCAACCTTAGGCAAGTTTTTTAGCCTCTGTGAGAATCCATGTGAATGGCTGTAAGGGGGTGACGGTAATCATACCTACATCAAAGAATCTTTCTAAACCTTAAATGAGATAATCCATGTAAAGTACTTAGCATAGGGCCTGGCAACAGGAAATACTCGGTACCTGTTAATGATTAATAAGAACCCGAAGAGTTTAAAACGCTTTTCTTGAATCCACTTATATATTCAACTTCTTCTACCAAAGAGTGGTATACTTCATGAGCTTACCACAAGCTCTTTGTTCTAAATGCAGCTTATTTTCTGAGGATCCAAGAAGCCACCATGTAGCCCTGGAGCTGGAAGAACATCATTGATGTTATAGTTCATCCTCTTCGTTGTACGGAGGAAGAGATGGGGGCTGGCTGGTGGCAGATTTGCTGACTCTCCACGTGGTGCTCCATCCCAGCTGCAATAGGCTTATTTTCTATTTCTTTTCTTTTTTCTTTCTTTCTTTTTTTTTTTTTTTTATTTTGAGACGGAGTCTCGCTCCATTGCCCAAGCTGGAGTGTAGTGGTGTGATCTCAGCTCACTGCAACCTCCGCCTCCTCGGTTCAGGCAATTTTTCTGTCTCAGCCTCCCGAGTAGCAGGGACTACAGGTGCCTGCCACCATGCCTGGATAATTTTTGTATTTTTAGTAGAGATGGTGTTTCCCCTTGTTGGTCAGGCTGGTCTCAAACTCCTGACCTCAGGTGATCCACCCACCTCAGCCTCTCAAAGTGCTGGGATTACAGGCATGAGCCACCATGCCCAGCCTTATTTTCTATTTCTACCCACCTCAATTAAAGTAAAAAAATCAGATGTTGGTCAGGCGGAGTTCAGTTACCACAGGGTTCTGCTATTTTACCATTTCTCTTCCTGCTGTCATTGATGGAAGTGGTCAGGCCATGTAGTTAGGTAAGGCCTGTCAATCTCACCTTATCTAATCATTTCCATCTACTCATGGCAGACTGCCATAAGAAGAAATGGAAATGGTACTGGGAGGCTTTGGCTGTCTTTTAATTCCTATCACCCTTGAAGTGGTTACTTAATATTCTGTCTATTATTCCTTGTAGAGTCTCTTTGGCATTACAAATTGCCTTATTTTCTCATGGAATTAAATTACTTTCAAATGATTTTTCTCATACTATGGTAGCTTGCATTTTTCTAAGCTGACTCTAGTTTATAATTTTCTGGCATTAGATCCAATCCCTTCATCTTGGTGTATCTGAACACAATTTTTGCCTATTCAAAACAGAACTTCCACTAATATCAATAACCTAATGTTCATTCTCCATTCCAAGTCATTTACAAAATTTTTATTGGGACCAGAGAGAATAAGACCTTCTGCCAAATATATTGTCTGAATTGGATACTGAGCCATTTATCAATTTCCTTTGTTTAAAAAATAGGTTAGCTATTTTAAAATTTATTTGACAATTTTTTTTCAAGCTAATTTAAATTTACTTTAGATAACATTTTATTAAATACTGTATCAGATGATTTATTAATTCCCTCCCTCATGTAATTCTGCATTATTTCCTAAACAAATTATTTTTATAATTTTGCCAAGAGCAGCTATGTTATTTTATTTGAAACAACTTGTTTAAATAAATGCTTGGCATTGCTTTGCTATTGCTTGGGATTTTAAAATTACTTTTCCTGAACATAATTGCTTTAAATTAAGAATTGCACTTCTGTTGAAATTTTGAAGGTTATAGTTTTGATTTTTCTTACACTTTTAAAAAATAGGTGAGCTGAGTAACTCCCTTTAATCAAGAATTTATAAGTTACAAACATTCATATTTTCCATAACGAATAAAAAGATAATTCTTTACAAATCGACGTTTCTGTAGAGACAGCAATTTTTTTTCAGTGATATTCTTTTGGACTTTAGGAACAGAGAGTTTTTGTTATTGTTGCGATTTTTAAAACTCTTCTTCAATATACTTCAAATTATCACTCTTCAATGTTATTTTTAAAGACAGAGTTGAAAGCCACTAAGCTTCATGTACAAGCTTTTAAAAAAATGTTGTCATTCGTTTCATACCTGCACTCATTTATGTTGTGTATATTCTCTGTAATTCCTATTTTCTTTTCTATTCATTTAAGCTAGGATTTCCTAGCTGGCTCTTGTCAATGTGAGTCTTAATGTAATCACCAAGGCAGATTTTCTTTGGGTTTATTTTTGTGCTCTCTAGCTCAAAATTGCCCTTCATATAATTTGGGACTTTTCGATGCCAACTGATGGGCTGTCATTAGTTTAATGTGTCCATTCGTACAACCTTGTGAGGCCTATACCATCTACATAGTCAATCTTATTTCTCTCTCCCTGGGGTTAAATCAGTATCTACTGTAATTTCCTTTCCCCGTTTTTAACTACATACTATTTTATTGGACTACAGATTACTTTTTTCCAGAATTTATCCAAATATGATATTAAAAATCTTTCCTATATGCTATGCTATGTTTCAACATCTTTCCATTACCTTTAATTTCAATATTGATCAATTAGCAACATATTTATAAGGAACACTCAATATTTAATTTGAGTGATTAGGCTGCATTTTCAACTTTATCTCAATATACAGTTCAATAAGTTCCTCACGTTTTCCATATGAGGATATAATTACCTGGCATTTCACAGAATGAGAGATTCTGGATTAAGCCTACATTCTTATGCAGCATTAAATAAATATATGTTGTTTTAAAATTGATGTGTAAATGATCTAACATTACACATACATGTTCGTTCCTTTCTTTCCCCTAACAATTATATCTAACATTTTATGTAAATAAGATTAAACTCTGGCCAGGTGCTGTGGCTCCCCCTAGAATCCCAGCACTTTGGGAGGCCAAGGCGAATGGATCACTTGAGGTCAGGAGTTTGAGACAAGCCCGATCAACATGGTGAAACGCCATCTCTACTAAAAATACAAAAATTAGCCCAGGTGTGGTGGCACGCACCTGTAATCCCAGCTACTTGGGAGGCTGAGGCATGGGAATCCCTTGAACCTGGGAGGCAGAGGTTGCAGTGAGCCAAGATTGTGTCAGTGCACTCCAGCCTGGGCCACAGAGTGAGATCCTGTCTGAATAAAAACAAAAGATTAAACTCTCCTTTGTCTCCTTTGAGTCAAACTTTCACTTCCAGCAGAAATGTTCAGTCTTTGATTTTCTGAACTACTCATTTTTTTTCTCCCCTAAAGGGCTTTTTTTCTCTCTTTTTTTTTTTTTGACAATATTGTAAAAAATTAAGGAATACATGAAGTTTATTCAAATATCCACTACCAAGAAGTAATCATTTATGAAATGACATTATGGAAAAAAAAGGACCAACATTAAGTATAAAATGATGGCTTGAAACCAGGAGTTCAAGACCAGCTTGGGCAACATAGCAAGAACCTGTTTTCAACAAAAAGGAAAAATAAAATAAAAGTAAAATAAAATAAAATGAGGCCATTCTCTGTGTTGCCTACCCCAGCTTTACACAACAATACTAGTGTCTTGGATGTTAGGGGATTTCTGTTGGGGTCTGACAGAGACCACTTAGTGTACTTTTTTGGGACTCGACTTCCTTGACATCCAGCTCTAATTTAAAAGTCTTTGATTATCATCACAGCTGAAAATGCCACAAATCTGTTCTTCTTTTAAAAAAATTGTAGTAAAATATCATTTAGTCATTTTTAGGTGTACAATTTAGTGACTTTAAGTATATTTACGTTGTTGAGCAACCACCACCAACATCCATCTGCAGAACTCTTTTTATCTTGCAGAACTGAGACCATTTGCCCGTTAAACAATAACTCCCTATTCCCCACTTTTCCCAACCCCCTGGCAAGCACCGTTCTGCTTTTTGTCTTTGAGAATTTGACTACTTTACAGACATCATGTAAATGAAATCATACAATGTTTGTCCTTTTGTGTCTGGCTTATTTCACTTAGCGTAACGTGTTCCAGGTTCATCCATGTTGTAGCATGTGTCAGAATTTTCTTCCTTTTTAAGGCTGAATAATATTGCATTGTATGTATATACTACACTTTGCTTATCCATTCTTTTGTCAATGGACTTTTGAGTTGTTTGTGCCTTTTTCCTATTTTGAATAACACTGCTATGAACATTGTTTACAGATATCTGTTCAGGTCCCTGCTTTCAATTATTTTGGGTATATACCAGAAAATAATATTGCTGGGTCATGTGGTAATTCTATGTTCAATTTTTTTTAAGAACCCACACATGTTTTTACCTGTAAGATGATAATTCCTCTGATTATACTCATTTTTAGCAGAAATTTTATTCTCTTGTGGCTTCTGACTTCATTTTCAGTTTTTAACAAGTACAAAAACAGTGGTTAAATAAAATGCCAAGAATTATGACACTCCTGGTTTAGTAACGTTTAAAAAAAGGCATAAAATTAACTTTTGGAAATGATAAGCTATAGATTCTCTTTATAGCAAAACCAATTTCTTTATTTTTTCAAAATTATTATTTTAAAAACTGAGTTTTACTCATGATTATCTTTTGAAAATATTCCAATATTTGAAGTTTTCATAGTATTTTTTCCTACCTATAAAGCTTACTTTAAAAGGAAACAGAAGTATGATTTGCTGAGGCAAAATTATAGGGGTATCCTTTAAAAAAATAAACCATTCCTAAAGATCTGAACTTAGAAAACAAGTCCATTAGAAGATGATTATCTGTGTGGTCAAAAACAGATCTTGAATTGATCAAAGGTTTCTTTTAACTAGTTTCTTGATGCATTTTTTTGAAAGGATTTGATTTATTAATAATTTTCTAAGAAGCCATTGTAAAGACATTATGGCAAAATTATCTTGATTTGTAGTTGAGTAATTAGAATTTGTGATATTTGTACAGGGTTCATGAAGTTGGCTTTTTTTGCAGAAGTTGTTTGAGGAAAAATAAAAGCCTGTTAACAAGACTATAAACAAGATTCCAAAGGAAAATGATTGCCTATTGAAGAGAGCCAAAGTGTTTTCAAGCATTTAAGAAATAGTAATTTAGGGACAAGCTGCCATTTGAGTGTCCTGCAGAGGCTAACAATGCTTATGCTGAAGCTGTAATATGCTAGCTTCAAGCCATTCTTATTGATTAATGCTTTAATGGGCTTTTTGCTAGGCAACATTTAGTTAGCACAGTTATTATACCTGTTTGACTGTATAAAATTGCATTTATTGAATATCCAGTTTGGGGAAGATAAAGGAGAAAATTACACTTTTCTTGAGTTGTCTCTGGCACTACGGTTAGGTTGCTGCCTTTTAAATGCTTGAAATTAAAGCTTTCATCTTGAATTATCATAGTATTTCTACTTTTATTTTCTGAGTATGGTCTATAGTTACAGCTGCTGACAAAGAATGGAATCTGGCTAACATAAATTTGAGAGAAGGAAGAAAAAGCTGGTTTTGGATCAGGATTTTGGGTTCTGGGACAGACATTTACCAACATCTGTTTCAAAGGAGAAAATAGAAGCCCACCCTAGAAGTCTAAGGGTCATCAGGAAATAGACAAACATCAGGATATTATATTAAAGCACATCTGTCTCCAGTTTGGCATGAAAAGCCTATATTTAGATATTATTTTAAGAGCTATGTTTAAAAATGCTGATAAAGTAGATTCCATACTCATTTTTTAGTCAACTGTGTTATTTTTCTTTTTCACAGATGTGCACACTTGGTACTATAGTTTGAATATATTTTCTATCAAGACCAAAATTTAAAAAGTAAAAGTATGGAATTTCTGTCTTCTCCATCCTGGCTTAAAACTTTGGAGCATACCTCGAATAGCTTATGCATCGTTGGTGGAAAGTCCTTGCATCATTATTTTACCTTGTGTGTATACGTGCATGTGTGTATTTCACTGTTGTTGCTTGGGGCCTCCTCAGTTGGTGTGGTATATTGGGTCTTCAATCACCTGGTCATACCAGGCCTATTGTAGCCCTGGAGATTTGGTGCCTATTTGAATCAAGTCTGGTAGCAACCTTCTGTAGACCTAATTCTTTCAGCTGTGATTTGTTATAGAAAAAAATAACTGTTTGAATCTGAGTTCTAGGCCAGCTCTTATCAGCTACTGAGGGTTCTGTTTGTGGAGGTGCCCCCTGTGCATGCTGAAGCCAGATTTTGGCACAGTTACAGAGACACACAGAGCCGCATTCGTTTCACAATTCTAGACATAAATAGCCTATTATGGGTTGGATTTAGAGTTATTTATTGTAGTATTTTAGTCAGTTTGGGCTGCTATAAAAAATACAATAGACTGGGTGACTTAGAAAACAGAGATTTATTTCTCACAGTTCTGGAGGTTGAGAAGTCCAAGATCAAGGTGCTGGCAGATCCAGTCTGGTGAGGGCTTTCTTTTTGGTTTGCAGAGAGCTGTCTTGTATTCTTATGCCGTGTGGGGATGGGGAGGGAGAGATATCTCTTTTGCGTCTTTTCTTATGTGGACACTAATCTCATTCATGAGGGCACCACCCTCTTGACCTATTAATAATCGCATCCCAAAGCCCCACCTCCCAATACCATCACACTAGGGATTTAGGCTTCCACATTCAGTCTATAGCCTATAGTTATTCATTTTTACAATAAAAGATGTACTTATATTTTTCTTCATATCTTCTCTTCCTGGTCACTGGTTTGGTTTTTCATTCTGGAGAAGAATAAGAGGTAATTTTCCCACAATTATAATTTATTCCTGGAATCAATTATAATTTATTCAGCAGCAGGAGGGTTACTTTATAAGTTTGAAAGAAACAAGAAGATATGCTTGGCTTTGCTAAAAAAAAGGTATTATTACTATTATTGAGTTATTAAGAGAGGGAGAGTCTTAGTTTGGTGCTAATATATCCTTAACAACAACCTAAAATCTCCTATTTAAAAAAAGAGAGAGTAGGACCCAAGCTCAGAGTCTTTAGTAGGCAACTGTTTCCAGTGAGAATTTAATGACATTACTGTGTTTTTACTTCTTTAGAATTTCCTTCTATTTATGGCAAATAGAACAGCTTTTAAGATTTCTTTCAAACTCTTGTTGGACCAGAAGTTGAAGTAAACTCTGGATTGTTTTATTTAATCCTTATAATAACTCAGTGTGTTTGAAGCTATTTTATTTTATTTTATTCTTTTGAGACAGAGTCTTGCTCTGTCACACAGGCTGTAGTGCAGTGACACAATCGTGGCTCACTGCAACCTTGACCTCCTGGACTCAAGCCATCCTCCCACCTCAGCCTCCCAAGTAGCTGGGACCACAGGCGTGTGCCATCATACCTGTCTAATTTTTAACCATTTTTTTGTAGAGACGGGGTCTGCCTATGTTTCTCAGACTGGTCTCAAACTCCTAGGCTCAAAGTGCTGGGATTACAGGCATGAGCTACTGCGTGAGGCCTGAAGCTATTTTAAACCACATTTTACATGTGAAAAAAACGGAGACTCAGGGAGATTAAGTAACTTGTCTAAAGTCACTTATATTGTGGAAATCTAGAATTCGGATTCAGCTCTGTCTGAATCCAGAGCCCAAACTTTGACCCACTGTGCACATGGTCTGTGCACCAGAGGGAGAAAGCAAGTTTCAGGCCATCTCTACTCATGTCCAGCAGTTCTTGCTAGCATCCTACGGGTAGCACAGAAATTTATATGTGCCCAATTCCTTCTGTCCACAGACTAGCTGTAGTAATGTCACGTACTGAAATTCAAGATAACATTCTCAGAGGGCTTTTCTTTTTAGGAGTGGGAACAGTTTAAAATAAAACTACTTTCCTCCACCAATGGTATGTTTATATATATATATATATATATAAACATATATATAGAAGTAAAATGGGAGAAAAAGTAGTAAAAATATTTAACCCAATTTATTGTCACTCACGGGCAGCTGAATATCCTGGAAGAGACATCAGACTGCATGCGAGAGGGGAGTTCTAGTACCTAACCGAGCAAAGTAGGTCCAGAAACCACCAGAGATTTCTGCTGCTTCACTGACCTAAGCTATGGTTAAATTAAAACAATGATTTTTGGCCTGGCGAGGTGGTTCATGCCTGTAATTCTAGCAGTTTGGGAGACTGAGGTGGGTGGATCACCTGAGGTCAGGAGTTCGAGACCAGCCTGGCCAACATGGTGAAACCCCGTCTCTACTAAAAATGCAAACATTAGCCAGGCATGGTGGCAGGTGCCTGTAATGCCAGCTACTCAGGAGGCTGAGGCAAGAGAATCGCTTGAACCCAGGAGGCAGAGATTGCAGTGAGCTGAGATCAAACCACTTCACTCCAGCCTGGGCGAAAGAGCAAAACTCCTTCTCAAATAAAATAAAATAAAAAAAAAACAATGATTTTTAAGCAGCTTTTTAAGATGAATTATATACTTTTAAATCTTTTGTATAAAAATGGATAAAAGTGGAGCCGTTCTGATTTCTAAATTAGGGAGGAGGGATAGTACTTGGATCTGTCCATATAAATTTAATTCCAAACTCCCCCACAACTTCCTACCACTGTGATCTTTGGCGAGTTACTTAATCTCTCTAAGCCTCCGTTCTTTTACCTGTAAATTGGGGTATAACAATAATATTCACCTTATAGAGTGGCTGTGAATCAATGTAAAATCCTGAGAACAACACCTGGAACATAGAACAATTGTTTATGTTATGGTTTTATTTTTGTTGGAAGCTGGTTGAAGAAAAGATACAAATCACTGCTTAAGAGCAATTTAGCTGGTTGATCTCTAAAATCTCAGAATTCTATTCTGTGTTTCTATACTAGAAATTTATAGAGCATAACTCAGAATACCAAGCTTAAGAATCCATCAAATTACCATATTTAGGAGTGTTTTGTGCTTGCTTGTTAATTTTATGCCTTAAATTCTAGGAAACGTTGATAGCTATATGCCTATCATCTGTGCTATTTTTCTCAATGTGATTAGTCTCTGGAAGGTTGAAATCAAAATGTTTTGGAAGTAACACCAAAGAAAATAAGTCTAGGCTTTGTTGGTTATCCCTATTTGTTGTGAAAATGTCCTTCAGCGACTAGAGGATAACACTTGCACAGAGCACCTGCTTTCCTTGATGTCACACATTGTGTTATTTATTATATCTTGGGAACAATAGTGTTTGCTCCAGAGGCATATTGCTGAAGTGTTTAATTATCCAAAGGCCCTTGATTTCATCAGTACCTCTGGGTCCTTGACCCCTGACCTTTTTGGCTCCAGAAAGGCTGCAGGTACAGATCTATTTGCCGGTCAACAAGCTGGTATCAAGTCTCCTCTTTGCCCCATTCCTACCCCCTTTTCAGTAAACAATACATTCTAATATAAAATAGATGGGATGATAGCTTATCAGGGAAACTGCCAAGACCCCAGGGTCTCTGTCTCCTTGGAAAATTACTAAGCCACATTTAATACCGTGGAAATCAACTTCCTGAAGCCCAGAATTAGCCTGCCCTTTTGGTATTAAGCAGCACTGCTGATACAATCTATACTAAAGGCAGAAGAGAAATGGGGATCTCTACCCTACTGTCTTAAAATAAATACAGGCAAATCTGTTAGAGGAATTCATTGCATTTTAAAACTCAGAAGGATGTGAAAATAAGCATAAATAGATAGCTGCAAATGGAGAAAGGATAAATGCCTTTGGGGCAAATTCTTCATTATATAGGAATTAGAGTAGATGCTAAGAAGAATCAAAATGTTATACATGCTCTACCTTTAAAAGTTAATTATGATTTTAAAATAATTCAGTAGAGTGGCTACGATTATAAGCTTTCAAGGCAGACTGCCTGAGTTGGAATCTCAGCCATGCTATTAATTAGGTGTGTGATCTGGAATAGTTACTTCCCTTGCTGTGATTTTGCTCCTGCATCTGTGAGATGGAGTTCCGGTTATCTACTGCTGTCTAACAAACTACCCCCACCATTGAATTGCCTAAAGCAACAACCATTTTATGAAAACTAGTGATTTTGTGGGTCAGAAATCTGTGCAGGACTCTGCTGGCGGTTCTGCTCCATGTGGCACTGATTGGGTCACCTAGTGGCATTCAGTGGGCAGCTGCTTAGTTCTGGAGGTCCATGATTTCCCTCATGGTCTGGCATCTCGACGGGGCAGCTGGA
The DNA here is from genome assembly GCF_000001405.40 of Homo sapiens. Taxonomy (NCBI): domain Eukaryota; kingdom Metazoa; phylum Chordata; class Mammalia; order Primates; family Hominidae; genus Homo; species Homo sapiens. The sequence goes on from NC_000014.9 coordinate 58,845,651, forward strand.
AAGCTGCGCTCAGAGCCTCTGGAGGTGGTGTCTTCAGCAGGGTAGTTGGGTTTCTTACAATGGAGGCCCGGGGCTCCAAAAGTGAGGGCACAGGAGGCAGGAAAAGGAAGCTCTTAAGGCTTGGCCCCGGAAATGGGCACTGCGTCATTTCCGCATAAACTCATGGTCAAAACAGTCACAGAGCCTGCTCAGATTCAGGGAGGGGTCTTTGACTTCACCCCTTCATGGGAGGGGTGTCAAAGAATTTGCGGCCCTCTTTAATCAACCACAGATGGGGAGTATAGTAGTGCTGATCTGATAAAGTAATTGTGAGGATTAAATAAGACAGTATCTATAAAGTGTTCAACAGCATTCATCAGATTAAATGTTCCGTGTGTTAGATGTTATATGTTTATATATACTATTTCTCTATATAAATGTATACATGTATAATTATATTTATAAAACTATATATTTATAGGCAATCTGACATGTATGCATACTATAGCTATGTAGGTAGGTGATCTATGTATAATTACATTTATATGATTACATTACAACAAAGCAGAGGCTGATGTGGATATGAACAATCCTCAAGTAATTTCTACATCAGCTTTCTTAGTATTTGCATAGTGAATCGCTTTCCTTTCTGGGGGAAATAAGAGAATCGCTGCAGAAAAAGAGATTTATTTATTGAATTGTTTTATTTTAACTAAAACTAAACATCACTGGACACTGAAGTGACAGAACTGCTCCTGTGTGTGGACTCTCAGGAGGGGGTGGTGGCTGAGGCACTTAGCCCACTGGCCTTGAGGAAGGAAGGTCAGTCAGGCAGTATGTTTGATGGGGAACAGAGGACACTGGAGAACTATTTTACTCCTAAGAATTATTTTACTGCTTTGTGCTTTTAAGTCTCACCTTTAAGGAGCCACATTGTAATCAATAATTGGAGAGTTAGCTTCCATGCTGAGAGACTGAGAGAAAGAAGGTAGTGGTCCTCTAAGAAGAAAAATTTCCAAATACAAAACAAGGTCACACGTGAAAAGGCTAACATGACAAATGTGCCAGCGTGTTGTAGGAAGGCCAAGGATCTAGAAAAGAAATGGAAAATCCTATACATAAAGACATCAGAGGCAGCCTATGCTCATGAAAAGAAAAAGGGTTAGACCAGGGAATGGGGTCATTCAAAGAACATTAAGGGGTTTCAGAAAGAATAGTTGTGCCCCAGAGGGCCACTAGGCAGAATGGGTTACATTACAAAGCTGTTAGGGTAGCATTTCAGGATGCGAGATGCACCATTTGCCAACAGAAGGGTGTGAGCAGGAAGAAACTCAAATCAGGTTTAGGCAACTCTTATAGCAGGATACCATTCTTTTTTTCTTAAAGTTGAAACTTGAAAGCATCAACTGAAAACTAACGGAAAAGTTAGGAAAATTCTCCATTTTTCACTCCTAACTCATCTGGGTGAGTTTGTCTTTTTATACCACGGTAACATGAAAGCCATTTAAAATGATCATCCTAGAAGACAAACCACAGAAAGGTTCTTGGTTACAGCTTGTGTACTTGCATTGCTTATGAACAGTCCAGGCTCTGTCCCCTGCTGTGTAGAGGGGTCTGGTCTCAGCGCAGTCCTCTGGTCCTCTCTGGCCTCCCTGAGGTCAGCTTTGGGACTTGCACTCCTGGGTTTACTCATGTTATTTGTGAGATATAGAACTTTATTTTTGCAAACTGTGTTAATGAGCTGATTGCCTTAATTCATTTTATTCTTCAATTGTATTATCAGGTTTTTTTTCCCAATAGATTTTTATGAAGTCTTTGTAAATTAAAAAAATTGGCCCTTTTTGTATGTGTTACAAATATGTTCCCAATATGTTGTCAATTGACTTTATTTATAATATGTATATTTTCCAAATGGATGTTTAGATAAATTTGACCACACAAACATTTAAATTTCTTTTATGGTATCTAGGTTTCATGCGTATTGCCTAGAAGGGATTTCCTATGCCAAGATTGTAAATAAATTCATCTGTTTTCTTCTATTCCTATAAGTTTATTTTAAAAAATCATTGATTAATCTGCTTTTATAATCTCATTAAAGAATCTTTGACTAGTCTGGATTTACTTGGTATAAAGACTGAAGAAGGGGCCAGGTGCCGTGGTGTGTGCCTGTAGTCCCAGCCACTCAGGCTGCTGAGGTGGGAGGATTGCTTGAACCCAGGAGTTTGAGTTCAGCTTGGGCAACATACTGACATTCCATCTCTTAAAAAAAAAAGGCTGAAGAAGGGAGATATCTTTTTCTAAATAGATAGCTAGTTTTCCCACTGTAATTTACAGATAATTCATTTTTCTCCGTTTGATTATAATGTAAGTTCCCATGTGAATTAGAGTCTATTTCTGTATTCTCTATCCTTTGATCTTCTCATCTCCTCTTCAGCACCAACCTGTTTTTAATTATTATAGTTCCATGGAAATATTTTAATATCTAGTAGGATTCATCCCCCTTATAGCTTTCCTATATATAAACAAGATTAGGTAAGAGAATATAATGGAAAAAAGATTCCAATTACCATATTAACTAAAAAAAAGAGTTTGGCATTAAAGAAACGTGCAGACACATAAATTTTAAAAAATTATACTTAGAACATAAGAAAAAACTTAAAAAGTTATACTGACAACATAAGAACAACATTCCTTGATATTGGATAGGAAGACTCTGTAGTGTGAAGCTGTCTGTTCTCCCTTAATAAATCCAGAGATTTAATACAATGCCAATTAAAATACCCAAAAGATTTTGAGGAAAACTTAAGAAAATGACACTAAGGCTCTCTTGGAGAAACAAATACACCAGAATGGCCAGAAAACTCCCCTTCCTTTTTGTACCTTATTAAGTCTCTTTAATATTGTCATTTAGTCTTTTATTTATTTATTTATTTATTTATTTATTTATTTATTTTTTTTATTTAGACAGAGTCTTGCTTTGTCGCCAGGCTGGAGTGCTGTGGCGCAATTTCGGCTCACTGAAACCTCTGCCTCCCGGCTTCAAGTGATTCTCCTGCCTCAGCCGCCCAAGTAGCTGGGACTACAGGCGCCCGCCACCACACCAGCTAATTTTTGTATGTTTGGTAGAGACGGGGTTTCACTATGTTGGCCAGGATGGTCTCGATCTTTTGACCTCATGCTCTGCGCCCCTCAGCCTCCCAACATTTAGGCTTTTTAATACTTCTATAAGTCATTCATACTTGTAAAGTGACTGCAAACATTACAGAGGTGTAAAAACATTAACAGCCGACAGTGATTGAGGGTTCTAGATGCCAGGCCCTTTACTGAATGCAGCGTATACGAAATGTTCATGATCTCATTTCCTCCTCATAACAGCCTTACCAGGTTATCCTCCTTATTTTACAGATGGGTAAAATGAGGCACAGGGGGACTCAATAACTTTTTAAAGATTACTTAAGTGGTACCTGCAGAGCCTGGGTTTTTAACCAGTACACCATTTTGTCTTCCATTACATAAATAAGAAAAAAAGAAAAAGTCCCTCCTTCATCCAGCCTCATTTCCCAGACTCTGTGTATCCGGTTCACTTAGGTACATATAATCATGTAAAATATTTTCATAAAATAGTGTAATTTAATATATACAATGTTCTGTGCTTTATCACTAAACACTATATAAAGCGTTTCTCCATGTCAGCATATATAGAACCACAACATTCTTTTTAGCAGTCACTCAGGATGCAGATGTACCATAATTTAACTATCCTTTATTGATGTGCATTTAGGATGTGACCTCAATTGTTATATTTCCTTTTTCCTCAATCAGTTATCATTAACTCTTATTATTTTGTTGTGATGCTCACTTCAATCTTCTCTTGTAGGCCACTGACAGATGTTTTGTAAGAACGCTGCAGTGAATCTGCTCCACCCAGGAGCCTCTCTCTTTAACAATTTGACAGTGCAGCTCACTTTTTGAGCTGTATTTGTTCAATACAGTATTTGAGAGCTGTTCTTTCTTTTAATTCTCAAACATTATTTTGCATCTGTCTGTGCGTTTTATTTGCTCTCGAAATAGTTCCTCAAAGACGTCGTACATACTATCTGCAGTTTCTTGTTCAGTGCTACCTGCTGGTTTTTATCTTTCCAGGGTATCATAAAGAATTAATCACCATCATGAACATTTATTGACTGTTCCCTATGAACCAGGCCCCATGTTAATAGCTTCATTCTCATCTCATTTCCTCCTCAAAGCAATCCAGGATACAGAAGATAATGCAGTATAAAGGTCTTTTTTTCCTCTATCTTACACATAAAGAGAGATTGAGGCACAAGGAAGTTAAGAAAGTTGCCAGAAAAAAGGACAAGAAGAAAGAAAGTTGCCTAAGACATGGAGCTGGGACTAGAACTCCATGTGGCTAACTTTTAAACCCAGCCTTTTAACCTCTGTCCTTTATTGCCTCTTTTTAAAGCCATCATCATTTTCTCTGCTTTTTGGACACTAAAATGTCCTTGGGAAGAAATTCCATTCTTTCTTGATTTTCCTTTTCTTTTCTCATTGCCTTCACATTGCCTCAAACGCTTCTCATTTATTCATTTATTTGTTTTTTGGCTTCAGTTTCCATCCTTTTCCCCTTTCTATGTGCATTTCATGCTACCACAGCTGGGAGCATTTATTTTTATTTTTATTTTTTTATAAAGACTTTGGCTTTCTTCCTTCCTTTGAGTTTTCTTTGTATCATTTTTAAAATATATCCTGCCATTCTCTTATCCCTTCCAAAGTCAGGAGGGCTTCCTTCAACTTGATCATTCCTCTTACATCCTTATTTCTTCTTGTTTGAAGAAAATTTCATCATCTGACACATACTTCTGCAAAATATCCCTCATTTTGCTAAATTATTTTCAGTTATTTCCTTATCATTAATAAAGTAGCTGTATTTCTCTCATAGCTCAAAGTTTCTTGGTCCATTTCTCTTTGGGGGTGCTGTGTGCTAAATAAGTAACCTTTAAGGTATTTGTTCTTATTGAGTGATTCTAACTGTTTAGATTTTTGGGTCACTTTGATTTCCTTTCAATACTGTCACTTTTTCTTTTGCTTTCTTTTTTTTTTTTTTTTTGAGACAGAGTCTTGCTCTGTCGCCCAGGCTGGAGAGCAGTGGTGCGATCTCTGCTCATTGCAACCTCTGCCTCCCAGGTTCACGCCATTCTCCTGCCTCAGCCTCCTGAGTAGCTGGGACTACAGGCGCCCGCCACCACACCTGGTTAATTTTTTGTATTTTTAGTAGAGACGGGGTTTCACTATGTTAGCCAGGATGGTCTCGATCTCCTGACCTCGTGATCCACCCGCCTTGGCCTCCCAAAGTGCTGGGATTACAGGCGTGAACCACCACACCCGGCCAATACTGTCACTTTTTCAAAAAACTCATTTGAAATTCCTTCTTGCTACTGCTGCACTTAGTATCATGTGTAGGAAGTGAGAGTTGGAAATTCTTTCTCCTTTCCCCTTCCCAATTCATCCTGATCACCATGCATAATCTTACACAAATCTTATTAATCTTTTAAACTTCCAGATTGTATCTTTAAAAAGAGGAAAAAAAGAAAGGAAGGAATCCATCCTCCAGTTTCATTCCCTTTCTATATTGACTAGAATGATGATGTTCTTTTACTTGGTGTTTCTTTTATAATACATTTTCTTATTCATATTTAGCCTGTTTTCTTGTTCTAAAATGTTTTCTATTTTCTTCATCTCTTTAACCTCTCAGTATACTAACATCTATGTTATTGGGAGGCTGTGTGATACACTAGAAAAGATCAAAGATTTGGAGCAAGATAGAACTGGTTTTGAACCTGGTTCTGCCATTTACTATCCTGTGTGACCATGAATAAACTACTGAATGTCTTCCAGACTATTTTCTCATCTTAGTGGTAAGAAAATTTACCCTGTAGTTGGATATTAGAGGTAATGAATAAAAATGTGTAGTACAATGCCTGTACATAGCAGATGCTCTACAAATGGGAGCTGCTATTATTATTACTGTCATTAGTGTTTATTATTAGTGGCTTTCTAGATTTATGTTATGTAACTTGGATTTAATTAGTTGTACTCCTCTCTGTTTTTTTAGGTAGTTCTTTGCATTTTCTCTGTCCTTTTCTCCCCTTTCTTCAAATCTTTGCATCTTACCTTTTACCTCTCAGGATTTCTTTTACAGAACAGAAATTTATCGTCTCATAGTTCTGGAACCTAGAAGTCTGAAATCAAGGTGTTGGCAGGGCCGTGCTCTCTCTGAAGGCTCAAGAGGAGGATCCTTCCTTGCCTCTTACTAGTTTCTGGTGGTTGCTCGCAATTTTTGATGTTCCCTGGTTGGTAGACACATACTTCAGTCACTGTCTCTATCCACACACAGCAGTCTCTCTTTATGTGTGTATCTGTGTCTCTTCTTTTAAGGACACTAGGGATTGGATCTAGACCCTACAATGATCCAGTATGACATAATCTTAACTTGATTACATCTGCAAAGACCCTGTTTCCAAAAGATCACATCCATAGGTCCAACATTTTTGGGGGGCAGGGGGCACAATTCAACCCACAACACAAGGGGGAGAAAATGGGATAGATTAATACAGATATGGTGGGAGAGTGGTAGAAAGACCATACCATCAGGTTCCTCATCTATACAGTGGCCATGTGACTGCCTACCTCTCTGCCACATTAACCTTTCTGCTGATCATATGGTTACAAGGACCAGAGCTGAGGTTTGAGTAAGGGAGTCGAATTAGACAGGTCTCTGGGCTCAATGACAAACACTTGCTTTATTGGAGGTAGGTAACTGCAGCTTGTGAATTCGCCTACTGAGCAGCTATGGGCAGAAGACACAAGAGGCCAGGGTGGATTCACCAGTGAGTGGTCAAATAAGCCCTCATGAATATTGAGAGTCTTATATGTCTTATGTTTGAGCGTATCATGAATATTCATGTTACATGGTCCGTTCCTTCTTTTTAATCATTTTATCTTCCATTCCTTCTTTTTTATTCATTTTATCTTTTTTTAACTAGAAAACGTAAGTGGAACACATGAAATATGCTCCATTTGTTTTCTATGTCTCAATATGTTGTGTGTGTGTGTATATATATAATATATATATAAAAGCATATATCTGTTTACTATGTCTTATGAGTTTCATGTATCCCACTTATTTTCTTATCTTTTATAGCAGTATTGAATATTCCCAAACAATACAGTAAACACACATTACAAGCATTTAAATAACAGAAAACCTCCATTGAGTCCTTCCTATATACCATCAGCACATTATAGGCATTGACGAAGTTGATCCTAACTACAGCTCTATAAGGAGGCAGTTATTAGTGGAGTACATTTTAAACTGATTCATAAGAAACCAAGAAGATTTTGGTACCTGGAGGTGGGATGCCACTGTATCAAAAACTTAAAACCTGGATTTGGTCTGAGACGAGGTGGAGGGTTGAAGATGCGTGGGCCTCTAGAAGAGTGCTAGCAGAAGCCTAAAGGGCCTAGAGGAAGCTGTCAGTGAGGGCCAAAATGAAATCAAGAAAATGGTTAATGGATGCTGGAGGAAAGTGGACTCATGTAGTGGTGGAAATCTTGGTAGCAATGTTGCCTGAAGTAATGTGACAAATAAAAAATGCACTTAATGAATGCTCTAGCTAAGGAAATTTTCAGGAAGAATGTTGGAAGTGCTGCCTGGTTTCTTCTCACTCTCTATAATAAAAAGTGAGAGGAGATAGAAGAGCTAAAGAATAAACTACTAAATATAAAAAGCCAGGACTTATTGGAATTAAAAATAAGGCATTTCTCATTCCCAGCTTCTCCAGGTGGCCAGACAACTCTCAAGAAAGGGCTTCAAGCCAAAGATCAAATCCAGGATAGGTTTATTAGATCCTTCGTTCAGACCTCAGGAAGATCTGGGGCACTGTGTGGTAGGGCAGTTCCCAGTAGTACTTTTCAGATAGATGAAAGTTACTCTAAGGATGTTTTTTTAAAAATGGCTACATATTTTACATATTTATGCATTACATGTTTTATTTTGTTACATGCATGGAAAGTAATGATCAAGTCAATGTATTAGGGGTATTCATCTTGAGTGTTTATTATTTCTGTGTTTGGAACAATTCAAGTCCTCTCTTCTAGATACTTTGAAATATACAATATTTTATTGTTAACTATAGTTACCCTACTATGCTGTTGAACTTTAGAACTTAAACCTTCTATCTAACTGTATGTTTGTACCCTTTAACCAACCTCTCTCTTTCTCTCTCTTTTTTTTTTTTGAGACGGAGTCTTGCTCTGTCGCTCAGGCTGAAGTGCAGTGGTGTCATCTAGGCTCACTGCAACCTCTGCCTCCCAAGTTCAAGCAATTCTCCTGCTGCAGCCTCCCGAATAGCTTGGACTACAGGCGTGCACCACCATGCTCAGCTAATTTTTGTATTTTTAGTAGAGACAGGGTTTCGCATGTTTCCCCAACTGCTCTGGAACTCCTGGCCTCAGGTGATCTACCTGCCTCAGCCTCCCAAAGTGCTGAGATTACCGGCCTGAGCCACCGCACCCGGCCCGATCTCTGTACTCCCCACTCCCACCCACACACCCTTCCCAGCCTCTGGTACTCTGTAGAGTATCTTCTACTCTATATTTCCATGAGAAAACCTTTTTAAGCTCCCAGATATGAGTGAGAACATGTGATATTTGTCTTTCTGTAACTAGCTTATTTCACTTAAAATAATGGCCTCCAATTCCATTTGTGTTGCTGTAAATGACAGGATTTCATTCTTTTTTTATGGCCGAAGAGAATTCCATTGCGTATATAGGTATATATATACAACTTTTTTTTTTTTCTTTTTTTTTGAGACAGAGTCTCGCTCTGTCACCCAGGCTGGAGTACAGTGGCATGATCTCGGCTCACTGCAACCTCCGCCTCCTGGGTTCAAGCGATTCTCGTGCCTCACTCTCCCAAGTAGCTGGGACAACAGGCGCACACCACCATGCCTGATTAATTTTTGTATTTTTAGTAGAGGGGGGTTTCATGATGTTGGTCAGTCTGGTCTGGAATTCCTGGCCTCAAGTGATTTGCCCTCCTCCACCTCCCAAACTGCTGGGATTACAGGTGGGAGCCACCATGCCCGGCCCTATATACCACTTTTTAAAAAATCCACTTGTCCATTGATGGACACTTAGGTTGAATCCATATCTTTGCATACTGTGAATGGTGCAGCAATAAACATGTGAATGTAGGTATGTTTTTATATGCTGATTTCTTTTCCTTTGGATAACTATTGAATATTGGGGTTGCTAGATCATATGGTAGTTCTATTTTTAGTTTTTTTGAAAAACCTCAATACTGTTTTCCATAGTGGCTGTACTAATTTACGTTTCCACCAACAGTGTACAAGAGTTCCCTTTTCTCTGCATCCTCACCAGCATTTGTTATTTCTTGTCTTTTTAATCATAGCCATTCCAATGGGTAAGATGATGTCTCATTGTGGTTTTGATTTGCATTTCCCTGATGATTAGTGATGTTGAGCATTTTTTTATATACCTGTTTGCCATTTGTATGTTTTCTTTTGAGAAATGCCTACTATTCATGTCATTTGCCTACTTTTAACTAAAAATATTTGTTTCACTGTTGAGTTGTTTGAATATCTTGTATATTCTGGATACTTGTTCCTTGCTAGTTTAATAGTTTGTAAATATTTTGTCCTATTCAACAGATTGTCTTTTCTTTCTGTTGATTGTTTCCCTTGCTTTGCAGAAGGTTTTTAGTTTAATATGGTTCCATTTGTCTATTTTTGTTTTTAATTGCCCATGCTTCTGAAGTCTTAGCCATTAAATCTTTGCCTAGACCAAAGTCCTGAAGTGTTTTCCCTAGGTATTCTTCTGGTATTTTTATAGTTTGGGGCCTTTTGTTTATGTTTAAGTCTTTGATCCATCTTGAGTTGATTTTTGTATATAGCGATAGACCCAGTTACACTAAATAGGGGTCCAGTTTCATTTGTCTACATATGGATGTCCAATTTTCCCAGCAACATTTACTGAAGAGACTTTCCTTTCCCTAATGTATGTTCTTGGCAGCTGTAAAAAATCAGTTGGCTATAAATATGTGGATTTATTTCTGGTTTCTCTATTGTGTTTCATTGGTTTATTTGTGTAATTTGAAGTTAGATAGTGTCATGTCTCTAGCTTTGTTCTTTTTGCTCAGGATTGCTTTGCCTATTTGGGCTCTTTTTTTATTCCGTATGAATTTTTGGATTGTTTTTTCTATTACTGTGAAAAATGACATCAGGATTTTGATAGAGATTGCATCAAATCTGTAGATTTCTTTGGGAAGTATGATCATTTTAACAATATTAATTATTCCAAAACATGTGCATGGGATGGCTTTCCATTTATTTCTATCCTCTTCAATTTCTTTCATCTGTGTTTCGTAGTTTTCCTTGTAGAGATTTTTTCACCTTCATGGTTAAATTTATTCCTATGCATTTTTTGTAGCTATTATACATGACATTGCCTTCTTGATTTCTTTCTCAGCTAATTAATTATCGGTGTGTAGAAATGCTAATGATTTTTGTGTGTTGATTTTATATCTTGCAACTTTACTGAATTTATTTATCTATCAGATCTATGAGTGGTTTTGGTCAAGTCTTTAGGTTTTTCTAGATCTAAGATCATATTATCTGCAAAAAGGGACAATTGGACTTCTTATTTTCCAATTTAGGTGCTTTTAATTTGTGTCTCTTGCCTGATTGCTCTGGCTTGGATTGCCAATATCATGCTGAATAAGACTGGTGAACGTGGGCATTCTTGTTCCAATTCTTAGAGGAAAGGATTTCAGATTTTTTCTATTTAGTATAATGTTCAAGAAGATGTTAGCTGTGGGTTTGTCATATATGGCCTTTATTATTTTGAGGTTATGTTACTTCTATGACTAGTTTGTTAAGAGGTTTTTTTTTTTATCATGAAGGGATGTTGAATCTTATCAAATACTTTATCTGTCTCTATTGAGATGATCATGTGGTGTTGTTTTTCATTCTTTTGATGTGACATACCATGTTTATTTATTTGCATATGTTGAACCATACTTGCATCCCTGGGATAAATCCCATTTGATCATGGTGTATTATCTTTTTGATGTGTTGTTAGATTTGGTTTGCTAGTATTTTGCTGATAATTTTTGGGTCTATGTTCATGAAAGATATGGGCTTGTTTTTTTTTTTATTGCATCCTTTTCTGGTTTTGGTACCAGGGTAATGCTGGCCTTGTAGAATAAGTTAGGGAGAATGCTCTCCTCTCCAATTTTTGGAATAGCTTGAAGAGAACTGTGAGTTCTTCTTTGAAAGTTTGGTAGAATTCAGCAATGAAGCCATCTGGTCTGGGACTTTGTTGGGAACTTTTTATTACTGATTCAATTTCATTACTTGTTGTTGATCTGTTCAGGATTTCTATTTCTTCCTGATTCAATCTTGGTAGGTTGTCTGTGTCCAGGAATTTATCCATTTCCTCTAGGTTTCCAGTTTGTTAATATATAGTTATTCATAATCATCTCTGACAATTTTTCCTATTTTTGTGGTATCAATTGAAATGTTTCTTTTTTATTTCTGATTTTGTTTACTTGAGTCTTCTCTCTTTTTTTCTTGGCTAGTCCAGCAAACAGTTTATCAATTTTATCTTTTCAAAGAACCAACTTTTCATTTTGTTGATCCTTTGTATTTTTTTAGTCTCTATTTTGCTTAGTTCACTCAGATTCTTATTATTTCTTTTCTTACAACAATTTTGGATGTGGTTTGTTACTGCTTTTCTAGTTCTTTAGGTCCATCATTAGATTGCTTATTTGAATTCTTTCTATTTTTTTTTGATGTAGACATTTATTGCTATAAACTTCCTCTTAGCATTGCTTTTGCTCTATCCCATAGCTTTTGGTAGCTTGTGTTTTGATTCTCATTTATTTCAATAAATTATTTGATATTCTCCTTAATTTCTTCCTTGATCCGTTGGTCATTCAAGAGCATGTTTGTGCAGTTTCCAAGGTTTCTGTTATTAATTTCTAGTTTTATTCCATTGTGGTATGAGAAGATGCTTGATATAATTTCTATTTATTTTTTTTTGATATTTGTTTTGTGTGTTAATGTATGGTCTAGCCTAGAAAATGTTCCATGTGCCGAAGAGAAGAATGTATATTCTATAGCTGTTGGACGAAATGTTCTGTAAACGTCTGTTAGGTCCATTTGGTCTAATGTGCAGTATAAATCCAATGTTTCTTTGTTGATTTTCCATCTAGATGATCTGTCTAATGTTGCGAGTGGGGTGTTGAAATCCCAAACTATTGTCATTTTGGAGTCAGTCTTTCCCTTTAGATCTAATCATATGTGCTTTATATGTCTACATGCTCCAGTGTTGGGTGCGTATATGTTTAGAATTGCTATATCCTCTTTCTGACTTGATCCCCTCATCATTATACAATGATATAGTAATTCTTTATCTCTTTTTACCGTTTTTGACTTAAAGTCTGTTTTATCTGATATAAGTACAGCTACTCCTGCTTACTTTTGGTTTCTGTTTGCATGACATACCTTTTTCTATCCCTTTATTTAGAGTCTGTATGTCTTTACAGGTGAGATTAGGTTCTTATAGGCAGCATATACTTGAGTTTTTAAAAATTCATTTGGATAGTCTGTATCTTTTAAGTGGAAAGTTTAATCAGTTTATATTCAAGGTTATTATTGATATGTGAGGGCGTATTCCTATCACCATAGTAATTGATTTCTGGTCATTTTGTATATCCTCTGTTCCTTTCTTTTTTCTCTTATTGCTTATTATTTTAGTTTGGTGGTTTTCTGTAGTGGTAACATTTGAGTCTTTTCCTTATCTATTTGCTCTACCAGTGGGTTTGATATTTTTGTGTGTTTTCACGATGGTAGATATTGTTCTTTCACTTCTGGGTGTAGAACTTCCTTAAGCATTTCTGGTAGGACCAATCTAGCGCTGATGAATTCCCTGAGCTTTTGCTTATCTGGGAAAAACTTTATGTCTTCTTCATTTATGAAAGACAACTTTGCTGAGTATAGTACCTTTGGATGGCAGTTGTTTTTCTTTCAGCACTTTGGATATATCATCCTATTCTCTCCTGGTCTGTAGGTTTCTGCTGAGAAATTTGCTGTTAGTCTGATGGAGTTTCCTTTATAAGTGACTAGATGCTTTTCTTCTGCTGTTTTCAGAATTCTCTGTTTGTCTTTGACTTTTGACAGTTTGACCACAATGTGCTACGGAGAAGACTTTTCTGAATTGTATCTATTTGGTGATCTCTGAGTCTCCTGTATCTGTCTGTCTAAATCTCTTGCTAGACTTGGGAAGTTTTCATCTATTATTTTGTGAAATAAGTTTTCTAAACTTTTGGTCTTCTTTTTGCCTTCTAGGGTACAGAAATTGGAATATTTGGTTGCTTTATGGTCTCCCATATGTCATGTAGTCTTTGCTCATTCTTTTTAAATTCGTTTTCTTTTTTTTTTGTCTGACTGGGTTATTTCAAAAGACTTATTTTCACATCTTAAACTTCTTTTTTTTTTCTTGATCTAGTCTAGTCTATTGTAGAAGCTTTTGAATGTATTTTGTAATTCATCCAATGAATTCTTCAGTTTTAAAATTTATGGTTGGTTCTTTTTTATGAGATCTATCTCTTTGGTGAATTTTTCATTCATACCCTGAATTGTTTTTCTGACTTTTTTGTATTATTTTTCAATATTCTCTTGCATCTCACTGAGCTTCTTTAATATCAATATTTTGATTTTTTCTGGGATTTTGTAAATTTCTTTTTTATTGGAATCTGTTGCTGGAGAGTTATTGTGTTCCTTTAGAGATGTCGTATTTCCTTGCTTTTTTATGTTCCTTGTGTCCTTACACTGATATTTGTGCATCAGTGTAGCAGTCCCTCTTTCAATTTTTTGAATTTGCTTTCATAATGGGGTGCTTTTTCCCTGAAGATGTATGTATGGTGTTGATTGGGTAGGGCACTTTGGCTTTGATTCTTGGCGTGTGTAGTAGTGTAGTCTGTGTATGATTTCTTCAGCTATTAACAGAGTTAGTGGTGCCTGTGATTTACTTGGTGGCCTAGGGTTCAGTTGTTAGTGGAGGTTGTGGTGAATTTTTAATGGAGACTGGGATACCAGGTGGGCCCGTCTTCCAGTCCTTGTGGTACAGTGGTGGGCTGAGTATGCTTATTCTTTGGCCCCAGAGTGGTATACATTGGCACTGGTGTTATTGTGTCCAGGCAGACCAATTCTTGGGCCTCCAGGTGGCTTTCGAGAGTGCCAGGAGTGGCAGCCATGGACACTATGGGTGGGCAAATTCTTGGGCTCCTGGGCTGCAGACGTGGCATAGGTGATGTCAGTAGTAGTGGCAGGATACCCTCTGTGTCTCACATTTGTGTTGGCAGTATATGCAACAGGCTGTGCTTGCCAGTGCCCAGGCCTGCAAATGGCATATATGGGTGGGTATCAGCTGTGGTGGTAGCAGCAGGTTGGGTGAGCCCAACCTCAGGCCCCCAGGAGGAATGCTCAGGTGCCTATGATGGTGGAGTGGGATGGTGGATTGGGCTCTATGCCTCAGATAGTGTGCTTGCATACTAAGGGTATGGAGTCCAGCTGGGAGGACCTGCCTTTAGCCCTCGCCACTGGTGTGTATTCAGGCACTGGATGTGGTAGGCAGGGGCAGGGCAGTCTGCAGGTCACTGGTGAAATGCTTAGGTAGGGGCAGCAGTGACTATGCTGTAGGCCTGCTACTAGGAGGGTGGGGTTGCTTTCACTGGGAGCAGCCACAGGCAGGTAGCCAGGGGTGTATGCTTTGCTATTGCTTCGGCCCCTTTGCAGCAGCCCACAGCAACACCAGCTGCAAGCAGTGTGAAAGTGCATGGCCACCCCTTTGCTAGGGGTTGGGTTGAAGTTGCCTGTGGCAGCTCAGCCTTCATCCTGGCAGTGGCAGCAGTTGGCAGTGGTAGCAGCATGGTGTGGGGTGGCTTTTGTAATGGATGCCCCTCTGCTGGTGGGGTCGGGTCACTGCCAGTGACTTGTGTTTTGGCACTTATGGTGGCAGCAGCCAGCTGTGGCAGTAGCTATGGGTAGGTTACCCTTCAGGGGAAGTAGCTGCTGGTGGGGAATGTCACTGGGGCTCTGGGGATATGCAGATGCAGGGGCTATTTTTCCCCAGGGCAAGATACAGACTGGTAGGAAATGGGATCTCAAAATAGTGTTGTGCTCTAGCTGCTTTGGACTTAGGAGGTGTATAGGACTCAGTGTGAGCTTCCTTTCTGGAACAATGCTGTTGTGCAGTCTCCAGACAGCTCCCTATGTTGGTCTTAGGTCCTGTGAGGGTCAAGGGGCTCTCCTGTGGCTATAATTGCAGGAGTCCACAGTGGGAATGTGGACCACTTATCTGTTTCCCACATTGAGGAGTCTCTCCAGGCTCCCAGCCAATCTTGGCTGAGCAGGCTGCTCCTCTCCTTCCTGTCTTAGGTATGTCCTTTCACTCCTCTGTTGAATTTCAGTGTTCTCTCTTAGATGTCTATTCAAAATGTGATTATCTACTTACTATGTTGGCTCTTCCTTGTGAAAGAGGTGGTGAGTACCCAATGTATCCAGTCAGCCATCTTGAAGCTGAGCCTGCTAAGGATCTTAAAGGGTGCCTCCTGGATGCACCTCTTAAGCACAAAGGCTTTTAGAAAGTATCTTAGAAATGTTTGGAGCCTCAAAGGGAATCTCAGGAGCCTCAAAGGGAACCTGAGTGAGAAGTTATCTCAAAGAGATTTGCAATTGTGGCTTTTGTCTAATGGAATGAACTCCAATAAGATTTATATGAAACTCACAAAGTTTTCCAGAGAGTTACAGTGAAATTATCACTAGCTGGTCCTAAAAAGACAGAAAGTGCAAAACGAAAAGAAGCTTGTTGCTTTAAAGGGAAGAAATCTGAGGGTCTTGGGAGACTGAATGTATTTTGCATGTGGGAGGAATAAAAATAACTTGTGGGCAAAGGGCAGACTCCTGTGGTTTTTAAAAAATGACCCCACGATTTTTTGATACTTTCCCTATGGCCTTATGTCCTCTCCTCTTGAATCTCTGCACTGTGGAATGCATATGAATTGCCCCTGCCAAGCCCTGCTCAAATGGCAGATTTGTAGACAAAATAAATGATTGTTGTCTTAAGCGACTGATATGGTTTGGCTGTGTCCCTACCCAAATCTCATCTTGAACTGTAGCTTCCATAATCCCCACCAGTCATGGGAGGGACCCAGTGGGAGGTAATTGAATTATGGGGGCAGGTTTTTCCCATGCTGTTCTCATGACACTGAATAAGTCTCAGGAGATCTGATGGTTTTATAAAGGGCAGTTCCCCTACACACGCTGTCTTGCGTGCCACCATGTAAGACATGACTTTGCTCCTCCTTTGCCTTCCACCATGATTGTGAAGCCTCCCCACCCATGTGGAACTGTGAGCCCATTAAACCTCTTTTTATTTATAAATTACTCAGTCTCGAATATGTCTTTATTAGCAGCATGAGAACAGACTAATACAGCAACTAAATTTGGGGGTGCTTGGTTATGTAGAAATAGACAACTGAAATGCCCCATTTTATAAATGAGAAAATTGAGACACAGAGAAATTAAATAACTTGTCCAAGGCCACATAGCTAGCAAGTGACAAACTCATGTGCTTCATTGTCTAAGCTTTTACTCTCTATGCTACAGGACTTCTCTTGTGCCAATGCCATCTTCTCCAAATGATCTTCCAATTATTCTTTGCTTTCCTCTGAAGACTGCCTGAGGAGAAAAGTGCACTTCTGCATGTATACATTGACATCCTGGTTTACCTACTATTTGTGAGCCTGAGCTCTGGATCCAGTCTCAGCTTTGGCAAAATTCAGCTTTTGAGCAAGCAAAGCTGAAATCCAGACCTTGGAGCTGGGTGGATCAACTCCATCATCAGCACATGCAAGGCTGCACAGTAAGGCTGGCAGCCAGCACCTTCTCTGGCTCATAGGTTGGTGGAGTCTTCAAACAAAAAATCCTTACTGCTATAATATGTATTCATGTATCTCCTTTCTGTTTCTTGAGGTTTATAATTTGTGTTAGTTTTTTTCTTACATTTTTAGTGTCTTTTTATTCTACCTATTTCATTTTCTAACCTCTTCACTCTCACTCCTGAATCCTAAATTAATCACCTTTATTTTTCTCATTTTCTTCCGGAAGCCTCTTCTCTGGTTTCTCCTTTTAAAGCCTCTGGAGTTCTCTCTACATTCATTTGGCAGATGTTACTGGCTAAGTTATTCATTCATGTTAACTGGCCCAGCTGTGTAGGCCTCTTCTTGTTTTGATGTGAATTGGACCGTTTGAATAAATATGTTTTAATTTTGTCATTAAAGAGATTGTATACAATTTGTTTGAAAAGGATGAAATATGGGTGCCTTGTTCTTTTAAAGTACCTAAATGATTTTTTTGTGCACATAGCTTAGTCTTTTGGATTTATGTGTCAATCAATTGACCTCCTTATCTATATTCATCCATCCATCCATCCATCCATCCATCCATCCATCTTCCACTTATTCTTCTATCATGTCTTTTTGGCTATCTAATCTTACCTTCCCTATCTTTAATTGAAAACAACATTGTGGGAATTTAACCCCCCCGCCTTGCTACAATTCTCTTTCTCATGTGTACTTTCTATGTACATATTTCAAATGTGCTGTTGCTTTCCCTGTAACAGTTAGAACATCATTATGTCCCTCTAATTTTAACACAAATTGCTTGTTTTCATTGTTGTCATTTTTGAGAATAAAACATTTAGTCTTGGCCTGTTAAACAGAATTGCCAAAAAATATTTGTATATCTAGTCTTTTTCTCTGAAATAGGCTTAAAAAAATCTACTTCTGTTGATGAATTGAAGCTCTTCTATTTTCTGGAATTTAAATGATTACAAATGATACCCTGTGAGTTCATCCTGATTTCATTAATAACCAGAGTTCTTACCTCGGTATCTGTCTGGGGAGCTGCTCTCATCAATGCCGAGTGAATCCACACCACAAATCTTCCCCTGAAAGCCTTCCTGCTGTCCTCCCTTCACTGACGTGGCTTAGCTTTTCTTATCTTCTGCTGAAGCCTTAATGGAAGACAAAATCGACAGGCTAGCATGTTCTGCTTGGCTTCTTTTCCTGCCCCCTCCTTCTTTGTTCCTTCTCTTCTTTATCCTGCCTCAGTTGTCAGCTTTATTCAGTCTCTCCTGTTTAGACTTCCCATCTGCTGCTGGCAGTGGGTACTGTCTCGGTTTCTGCGGAAATCAGGAGAAAAAGCAATATTTAGTCCATCTCAACTTTCACAGTTATTTTCTTTCTACTATTAGCTTTGAAGTTCCTACTTTCCTACCCTGAGTGTTGACATCTTTTGTTTGGAGCGTATTTGTACTACAGCTTTCTCTCTCCCCCTCTAAGTTAGCTCATATTAACCACAGCATCCAGTCTCATTAGCTTATCTATTGTAAATTATTTTCAACTCCCTACTCTAAACAAAACGGGAGGCCAGTTCATACTTCCTGACTTATATATGTTACAACCTGTATAATAAACTTACTCTATGCAGATACCCATTTCTAACTCTTTCCAGTGAAGTGGCCTATTTAGGACCATTTAAAACTATATTCGAGTCCTATTCGCTTTGCCTTGAGATGGTTGCAGTCACCTTATTTTTTAGTACATGCAACTGGCTTTCCTTGTTTTCTCTTTCAGAATCTCGGAAGTATATTTTTTTAAAAAGAAAAGTATTTTGAAATTATAACACAAAGCTAACTCCATGTCAAAAATATTTGAATAAAAATTCTATTAGAATAAACATATTTGGATTCTGTAAGACTATAATATATAATAGTTGGATCAAGGAGGGTGAATACATTTTGTGGATGTTATCGTGTGGAAGATTATGTTTTACTTTTTTATTCATGGTAAAATTTTAAGGGGAAATAACAACAAATATTTTTCTTTCCCATTTATTTCTAGTAAAAGTTATGTAGCTTTTTTTGTTCCTGATGGAATTCTATAATGACTAAGTCACTGAAACACTTGCATCTCTCTTAGGAGGGACGTGTGGAATTTTTTCACAAAAGAAAGAGCATGTTGTTATAAATGCTTCATGTAACCAGTTTAATACATCACTGAGTAAGAGACACACAGAAAACAATTCCTCTTATTTGGTCCTGGGAGACTGGGCATATGCCTCAGTGTAAAGGTGGGAGGCTTGTGAGTGCTTATTTCCTGGAAGTTGAGAAGCGTCTTTAGTCTACTGTGTTGACAGCAAAGCCAGGATCAACAGATTGTTTTATTAATTTGTTGTAGGTTGAGTTGCTTTTGCCTCTGGGCATTCCTGTGTTCAACTGGGGCTTTTGCCAAAAAAGCCAGAACGCCCTTAATCTCCTCTTTCCTCATGAAACTCACAGCTTTGGTTCGTCACAGATCTTGCAGATCTTGGCGGTGCTCTCCTACTCCCCAGTTTTGTCTCAGCACCATATGGCTTTTGACAAAGTCAGGCCACAGCTTCAACCTAAACAGCTTAACATTATCGAAAGCCCAGCCCACTGAGGAAATAACAGTTCTCGTTTATTTCTGTAAGTCATCTGGCTGGGAGTGGGAAGAGGGTAGGGAAGTCAGTGTGGTGAGGGATGGGGAACATGTGAAAGATGCAAGGAAAATAGGTGGATGTGGGAGTGGGGAGGGGGCAGTTCTAACAGATAAGATGTAGTGGATTCTGAGCAATATTTTCCAAGTCCAAGAAAAATACATTGCTCATATTCATTTTTTCCCCCTAAGGATAATGAACTTTCACCTGGATTTAAAAAGGAGGAGCCAAAGTCTGGTTTCAATTAACATGTTTTACAATATACGGGGGTGTTTTCCATATTGCTTCCGTAGCTTGCAATGGATGCTTAGGACATAACGATGTCTTACATACTCGGCTGTGGGAATGTGATGTCAGAATCCTCAGGGCTGGGGTGTGGGTGGTGTTGTTTGCCTACACTGAGGTTCTGTGTTCCAGACCTCACCCAACTGCATGCTATTTTTGGCTTGCAACCTCCTACCAGGCAAGCCTGATGAATGTCTAACTTCAAGGGAAAAAGAGAAGAGCAAAATGTAAGGAGCTGAATATTTCCCCCCGCCCACATCAAATTTCACTCCACCCTGTAAGACCTGGAGAACCAGAAGCAAGTTTCAAACCTTTCCACTAAGATCCACAGCAAACTGTGACTCCTGAATGAAGATGATTCTAATGGTGGCAAGAAACCAAGAAGGCCAGATGCTTCATTTTCTGGTCTTCTAAGAAAAGACAAATGATGTATCCATCCAGTGTATAATTTCATGAACTAGCAGAACACTTGGCCTTGTGTAAACACTCGGTTCCAAAACCCAGAAGCAAAGAAACCCAGTAGAGAAAACCAGCTTTATTTTTTAAATCCTCTGATGAATTTGAGGTTGGGAAAGGAAAACACACCATAAGAATGACTACTATTGTTCTGGATCATGATTTATCTTCAGTCAGCTTGTGAAAATTAACTAGGCTACTTTCCTGAAGAGCTGAGGAGTGGATCTGAGTTATATAAGCTGCTCATCTAACAGCATAGAAACTGATACACAAAGGAGTTAGCTTTCTTGAGTTCACCTTTAAAAGCTCAGACCTCAAGAAATCTGCACGTCATTCAGCTCAGGCCATGCCTTCTCCCTGCTGGGAAACCTGCTGTGGTTCACTTCCCTCTTGGACTTGGTTGGCCAGACGGTATCTAGCCCTAACCCAGTTTTCTAATCGTACTTCCCACTTTTAACTTTTTCTTTGCTCTCCAAGTTCTTTATATCTAGGCCCCATTGGTTTACTTGCTCTTCTCCCAAGATACCAGGGATTCTTTGGATGCTGAATATTGCTCATATTTTCCTTCTGGAGTTGGAATGTCCTACCCGCCTATCTCAAATATGTGGACACTGACCTTCCCTTTAGGAACCAGATCAAATGTCATGATATCCACAGAGCTTACTCTAGTTAGCCTATTTAGTCTAATGTATAGCACAATGGGTAAGGGAACAGCCTTGGGTTAGCTAGGCCCAGGTTAAGGTTGTTTTTCCTTTCCTGATTATATGACCCTGGCAAGGTACTTGAGCTCTGAGTTTTTCAGCCCCTCCTCTGTAAAAAGAATGATGAATGTAGAACCAATAAATAGGATTAATAAAATTGGGATCAACTCAACAAATATTATTTCATGAATTTAAATTTCAGGGATAAAAAGAAATTTCAAATCATCAAAGAAGATATTTATACATCTATATCTATTAATATCTATCTAAGTATATATTTTGGCCTATTCCAGAGAAAAAATGCTAGACCCAGTAAAATAGTTTGTATCAAGTTCATTCTTCCATTTGTTTGTATATTGATTTAACAACCATTTGTTGGATAGCAAATGTATGCCACGTATATGTTAACATGTATAGTTTATTCTTTCTTAAGGTTTAGTTTGGCAAAGAGTGCCAAATTATGAAAGACCTGGGCCCATGGCTCACATCTGTAATCTCAGCACTTTGAGAGTCTGAGGTGGGATAATTGCTTGAGGCCAGGAGTTCGAGATCAGCCTGGTCAACATAGCTAGACTCCTGTCTCTACAAAAAATAAAATTAGCTGAGTGCAGTGGCATGAGCCTGTAGTCCCAGTTATTCAGGAGGTTAAGGCACAAGGATAACTTAGGTCCAGGAGTTTGAGGTTGCAGTGAGCTGTGATTGTACCATGCACCCCACAGCCTGGGAAACAAGAGTAAAGCCCTGTCTCAAAAGAAAAAATTATGTAAGAGAAGTGTAGGATGTTTAGGAATAACAAAAGGGTGAGCTGAACTATCTTGGGTTCAGGTTTTGGAATTAGCCTCCCCTTGGGCCTTTCTGCTTCTGGTTTTATCCCTTTTATTTATTTATTAATAATAATAATAATAATAATTATTATTATTATTATTTTGAGACAGGGTCTCACTCTGTCAACCAGGATGGAGTGCAGTGGTGCGACCATGGCTCACTGCAGCTTTGACTTCCCAGGCTCAAGCAATCCTCTCATCTCATCCTCCTGAGTAGCTGGGACTACAGGTATGCCTCACCATGCCTGGCTAATTCTTTTAGTTTGTTGTAAAGATGGGGTCTCGCCGTGTTGACCAGGCTAATCTCAAACTCCTGGGCTCAAGTGTTCCTTTCACCTTGACCTCCCAAAGTGCTGGGATTACAGGCGTGAGCCATCACACCCGAACATCTCTTTTATTATTATTATTATTTTAGAATTACATCAAAACCAGAGTGATTATTCTCAATCTACTTATGACAGTTCTCTCCTTCAAATTCTTCCATGATTCCCTGATACTTGTGCAAAGCTGTCTTTGAATGAGACATGACACAGATGTCTCTTCTGGTCTTCTCAGTCAAGTCATCTTTTCTGTTTTTCTCCTCTGGCAAACCCCTCTGGAGAGAATAAATGTCTGCTCTTGGGGGTCTGGAGGTGTAGCTCTAAGCATACCACTGTAAGTTCTAGATTTCATTGAAATCCCTTACAAAGTTATCCAAATGTTGCAACCGTGCCACAGTATCTGAGTTTATTATACAAACGTTGCAATCCACACCACAGTATCTGAGTTTATTTTAATAGAAAAATAAGAGTGTATATTGTCATGCCTGTTGTTAAGTAAACTGTGCTTCTAAGGCTGGAAGAACCTTTTGACATATTTTCTTCCAAGGCTCCAGGTTGAGAGAAGGGAAGGCTTTACAGGATAAAGTTTAAACTCATAAGCATGAGATATGAAAGGTTTCATGCCTTGATCTCTGCTGATACTTCCCAGCATCTTCTGTCTCTTCTTCCCTTCCTCTCATTACCAACCTAAGTACAGCCTGCCTGACTTAGTTGTATGCTGCCCTGCCTTGCTCCTCTTCAAGGTTTCTCGTTGATTATTATGCTGCCTTGAATGTCCTTCGTCTCCTTGACAAATTCCAACTAACCCTACAAGACTCAGACTCCCAGAGGAGAGACTATTTTAGCTTTGCCCAGCATCCTTGGGTAGAGTTAAAAACTTCCTTCTTCATGATCCTATTGCTCACTGCTTTATGTCTATGGTATCACACTTTTATCTTTGATGTAGCCACCTTCTCTATTGAATAGGAAGCCTTTGGAAGCCAGGGACTCTTCATGTCCCGAGTTTCTAGTCTGTGACTGAATACAAAGGAGTAATTCTAACAGCTGGCATTTTGAGCCCTTAGGTTCCAGACACTGTTTTATGTAAGTTATTAGTAAGTAAATTAAATAAATATATCGTCTAATTGTCACAGAAATCTTCTAATATATTATGCCCATTTTATACATGAGAAAACTGAGGCACAGAGAGGTTAAGTAACTTGTGTAAGGTCACATAATAAGAGCTGAAGCCAGGATTTGAACCCATGAAATCTGACTCCAGCGACCATCCCCTTAAAAATATACTCTACTGTATGCAATAATTATTTGATGAATGAATGAGAACAAGTTATACAACTTGTGATTCACTCTAGAAATATCAAGTGGACTATTTTCACCCAGAAATAGAGTCTGAAATTGAATTATGAAGGAAGGTATATTCACATGTGGCCACTTCTCATCTGTTATCTCTATACATGACCCAGAAAATCAGCTCCATCCAATGGTAAGCCAGTGATGACTGCTGACAAGGAAAGGCCTTGGCAGGAAAATGGGGGTGAGCTGCTCTGGCCCTGCAGGGCTCCAGGGACAGCAGCCTGAGCTAATTTACACGGGCTTGGAGGACCTCTGAGATGCTGAGGAAGGTACTTTCTCCCAAGAGCCTGAAGTAGCCTCTAAAGAGATCAGCTAAACTCTGTGGTTCTCCCATGAACCTGGGCTGGCCTTAGCTCATAGGACTTCTGAAGACACACCTGTACTTTTGGTTCTAATTCACCTTGACCCACGTAAGCCCACTGTCATGAGATGAATGATCAGAGACTGGCTGGCCCTGCCTGGGGTCCTCTTCCTTGACTCCTAGGACTGGGCAGCCCCTGGGGGAGAGTGTGACAGGGTGGTGTCTACCCGGTCCCACATCCACACCCTTTGAAAAATGGTGGAACATTTCATTAGTAATCACAAGGGCTCATTTTGGCTGAGTAGGGTAATTGTGGTTACTGATGTTAACAGAGCAAAGCAATGATGCAGACTACCAAGGGGTATTTATAGTGGACTCTGGAACATATAAGATTTTTATTTAAAAAAAGATACCCTGGATCACTGTCTATGAGAGGGTAAATTGATTTAAATTTTCCGGAAAACATTTTGATTATATGTATCAAATACCTTAAAAACTTTGATACCCGGCCGGGCGTGGTGGCTCACGTCTGTAATCCCAGCACTTTGGGAGGCCGAGACGGTGAAACCCCGTCTCTACTAAAAATACAAAAAATTAGCCGGGCGTGATGGTGGGTGCCTATAGTCCCAGCTACTTGGAAGGCTGAGGCAAGAGAATGGCGTGAACCTGGGAGGCAGAGCTTGCAGTGAGCGGAGATCACGCCACCACACTCCAGCCTGGGCGACAGAGCGAGACTCTGTCTCAAAAAAAAAAAAAAAAAAAACCAAAAAAAAAACAACTTTGATAATACCCTAGGCTGGGCGCCATGGCTCACGCCTGTAATCCCAACACTTTGGGAGGCTGAGGTGGGCAGATCACTTGAGGTCAGGAGTTTGAGACCAGCCTGGCCAACATGGTGAAGCCCTGTCTCTACTAAAAATATAAAAATTAACCGGACATGGTGGTGCATTCCTGTAATCCCAGCTACTAGGGAGGCTGAGGCAGGAGAATCACTTGAACCCGGGAGGCGGAGGTTGCAGTGAGCCAAGATTGCGCCATTGCACTCCAGCCTGGGCAACAGAGCAAGACTCTGTCTTAAAAAAAACAAAAAAGTTAATATTCTTTGATCCAGCAATTTGACTTTTAGGAATATATCTTATATAAATAACAAGCATGTGAAGATTTATATTCAGTGATGGCCTCCAAAGTGTTATTTATAAGAGCAACTAAAGATTTAACAACGGAGAATTTGGTTAAAGAAATTATGGTTTAATCTTACATGATAGACCATACCATTACTAAAACAATATCAAAGTTGAATATTATTGACTTGAAAAAGTGTTTATAATATATTAGATTTATAAAAACAGTAGATGTATATAATGCATTTTTCTTAAAAATTCTGGAAGGATGGGGTGGGATTATAAGTGATTTAAATCTTTTTTTAGTTTATCTGTATTTTCCAATTTCCTAACATAGCCAGTTATCATTTTTTGTTATAATATTTTAAATTTCAAAGCTAAAAAGATATAATATGGACATTAATAGGCTCTGTTCTGTGTACTCGGTGATCAGCCACCCTGGCACAGCTCACTCTGGCTGTTGCTTGGGCACATTAAGGTGTCTGTCATTAGCAGGGAGATGAATGTGGCAGCCCTGGGCTGGAAACTCTTCATGGGATCATGAACAGCCACTTGTTTTGCTCTCTAGAGTATGAAATGAGGCATCGGAAGCCCATAGAAATTACTCAAAGCTTGGCTTGCAAAGCGTTGCAACCGTGCTGCATACATTTGTATCAAGCAGTTTTCTTTTTTGAATATTAATTTTATTTCATCTTGAAATAAAACTATTCTTCTAAAACTGTCCAGGGCTGGTCTGTATCAGTTTAAAGAGTTGAACAACGTGCATTTCGATTCTTCGGTGTCATCAGTTACAAAAGCAATTCTAAAATCTGCATTGTGAAGCCAGTAGAGGAAAGCAAGCACCAGCATGTGGCAAGTCAGGAAAAGAGGCAAGAGCTCAGGAACTCAGGCAAGATGAGTAGGATGGTAGCATCCAGAGACTCCTCAAACTGCCAAAGGCCAACAGTGCAACGTCTTTATAAAGCAAAACTTTCCCAGTCTGGAATAAAAGGTGTTTTTTTTTTTGCCAATCAGCAAAGATTTCCCAAGCACCCATCATGTGCCAAAGACTGCACTGGATCTTACAAAGTAATGAGATTATGATTGTGACCTCACTCGGGGAGGTTGGGGGAGGGTTACTACTGTGCTTCAGGGCTTCTGAAAATTGGGATTGCATAAAGGTGGCATTAGGCTTTGGCCTTAGTAAAGGCGGGGTTTTTCTGCCTTTGTGTCATATGATTTTGGAAAAGTTACTGAACCTCTCTAAACCTCAGAATGAAGACAGTAGCAACATTTACTTAACCTGTGGTGTATCTAGGGGGAACGAATGAGACACCATGCAAATTGTATTTTAAATGGCGTTTAGTATGTGCTAAAAGTATGGGCTATAATTATAATTATTTTGTTATAAATTTTCATTGTGTGAGCCATGATTTGTCTGATGAGAGCTCTGTATCAACAACACAGCGAGTCACATGTAAGAGGCTCCCTAGCTGATGGCTATTAGCCAAAGGCACCAGTTTCTACTGTGGTGTGCTCCGTCTTCTGCCCACCAAGTTTCCGAATTAGCCAATAAGTGCTTACCTCATGAAGCGCAAATACAAGATCATATTTTCATTTTGGATACAGAACTGAGAAGGATCTTGGTTGTGAAATACCAGAAATGTTATTTTGATTTATCATGTAATGTTTGAACAGGGAGGAAATGGGCACAACCCCTGGGAATGGGAGACAAAGTGCTATCCGTGGCATCTGAGGACCGTATAATTTTGAAAATATACTTCCTTTTTATTATTCTTTGTAAGTCTACCACAGCATGAGGCATGCAAGCAATTTGCTTGCTGGTGAATTAGAATGTTCCCTGAGGAACATTTGGATTCCAGCTCATATAAAACTTTTAAAAGATATGCATTCATTATTTAAACAGGATGGTAAACGTAGGTGCTCTGTTTTTGCAACAGGTGTAATGTAGGACATCATGACATTGAGTGCCTCCAAAATCAGGCATGAGATGGATACCTAACCTGAGCCAGGTCCTTTGGGTTTCCTTCAGGAAACAGGATTAAATGATTTTGGCTGCATTACTTTGTTTCCACCTGAGAAGCATTTTTGAATTCAGACAAATAGAAAAGTAGTCCTTTAGCAAGCTGGCCACAGGTGCAAAGGTACTCTCATCTGTAATTTAAACAGGAATCCAGGGCTTGGTGAGAGTCCAGGTGGCTTGCTGGCAGAGGGGTAAGATGGAAAAAAATACCCACACAGTCGGTATTTCAGCCTCAGACCGAAGACTGACTGCCAAATGTGAGAAGACAACTGAGGTCCTACTCCCCTCCTAATCCCAGCTGGAAAATATCTCTGCCCTGAGCCCTTCTGTACCCCATAGGAACATATCATGCCTCACACATATACTTTACATAGCAATGTCCAGAAAAAAGAACATTTAAAATATTGTCCCCAAGACATGCTGTAATTCTTGAAGTTAAATGTTAAGTGGTGCAATTAAGTTAAAGAACTCAAGTTTCTGTCGAAGAACCGAGTTAGGGAAGCTTGGTTGAAAGTATCTTACCACCATTAAAAGTGCTAGGTTTGTATGAGCATTTTTGTAGAATTTCCTGTACAAACCTTATTGGCTGTCACTTAAAAGAGATAGTGTGAATGATCCTTTCTGAGCCTGACCAGCTTCCTTGTCATTTAAGCATTGGCTATGGGATGAATGCAGGGGCCGGTTGCCACAGCAACGACATCTTCAGTCAAGGTGATGAGAGAAATCATTTCTCTCTGAATGCTAATAGGTTGTCACTTTAGTCTTAAACTGGCTGTTTCCCACTGTTTTCCTGATTGCCATGAAGCCAGAGAGATTATTTACAGATTAAGGGCTGCTATTTGATCTGATCATCTCTGTCCTAATTTATGCTGGATCTTTCAGGAGAAAGAAAAAAAGATTTGAAGCAAAATGTTAAGGATTATGTTTTCAGAAATTTGAGGCTTGTGACTTTTTCTCCAGAGAAGTAAGACTTTTCCGTAGTACTGAGAAGGTCACTTTTCAAGCAGAGACCATCCAGTGTTGAAAGTAGTCCAGCCACTGCCTGTAAATTACCTGCCCTGTAAAGGCTGGCCCTTTGCCAGTGCTGAGCTTGGGGCTAGATGTAAGGGTGGTTCTCTCACTAAAAGGCAGTGTGAGTTTGTGAAGATGATCATCCGAAGAGGAAATCTGCACATGAGACTTTTTAAATCCTGGAAGTTACTTGAAACAAAGGATTTTAGTTTTTCTCATCCTTTACTCCAAAACACAAGATTCAAGACCTTATTCACTCACGGAAGTAAAGGATTGTTGAGTAAATTATGCTTGTGTGATAGGATAAGGAGATAATTGCTGTGTGGGCCGTCACCCTTTCATTCCTGAAGAGAGTAGAAATTATTATTGGGAAGGCATGGGACAAATTATACACAATGTCCAATTCTCTGGATTAATTGAGGTTGAGCCCTAGGTCTGCCACATACTAGTGTGATTTTGACTAAATTACATAACCTCTTTAAGCATCAGTGTTTTTTATGAAAAAAATATGGAAAATAACTCTTTTATGTTAAAAGGGGTTGAGGAAGTTAAATGAGAAAATGCATGGGAAGTAGTACTAAGCACAGTGTCTGGCATATAATGGGTGGACACCTATAATCCCAGCTACCCGGGAGGCTGAGGCAGGAGAATCATTTGAACCTGGGAGGCGGAGGTTGCAGTGAGCCAAGATCATGCCATTGCACTCTAGCCTGGGCAAGAAGAGCGAAACTCCATTTCAAAAAAAAAAAAAAAAAGTCACCTTAAAAACAAAAAAAAAACTTATCCATTAATATTATTATTTTCTTGACATGAAAAAATCCTGATGGCCTGAAGCCTTGGATAAAAGTACTGTCTAAGGTACAGAATTATAAAAGGGGTTTGTTTACAGTCTCTATTCCAAATACCAGGGTCCATCAGAATAAACCAGGGCATTATGAGCCTGTTTGTTCTGACCTGTGAGTGGCTTAAAAAGTATGATCTAGATGATGCAAATATATTTTTAAAGGAAAAATTTATCTTTGAATACTAAGCAGCCACTAAAAATAATACTGGAAAAAATTTTATGACATGGGAAAATGTCCATGATATACTGTAAAATAAAAAAGTAAGTTACAAGTCAGTAAGTACAATATCATTCCATTTTAGGATGGTATAGAAGAAAAACATATGTATATATACACACACATACATACACAAATATACACAAACATGAGTATATACTCACTGAAAGAATATGCTTGAAAATATTGAGTAGATATCTCTGGGTCTTCAGATCATGAGTGTTTTATTTTTTTTATTTTCATCTTTTATTTACTGTATTTTCCACAATGAACATGTACTATGTTTGGAGTTTGTTTGTTTTTTTTTCAGATAGTGTCTCACTCTGTCACCCAGGCTGGAGTACAATGGCACAATCTCCACTCAATGCAACCTCTGCCTCCTGGGGTCAAACGATTCTCCTGCCTCAGCCTCCAGAGTAGTTGGGATTACAGGCGCCTGCCACCACATCCGGCTAATTTTTGTATTTTTAGTAGAGATGGAGTTTCTCCATGTTGGCCAGGCTGGTCTTGAACTCCTGGCCTCCACTGCTCAGCCCGCCTCTGCCTCCCAAAGTGTTGGGGTTACAAGCATGAGCCACTGCGCCCGGCCTATGTTTGGAGTTTTAAAAAATAGTCACCTTAAGGCCGGGCGCGATTGCTCACGCCTGTAATCCCAGCACTTTGGGAGGCCGAGGCAGGTGGCTGAGGTCAGGAGTTCGAGACAAGCCTGGCCAACATGGAGAAACCCCGTCCTCTACTAAAAATACAAAATTAGCTGGGCGTGGTGGCGGACACCTATAATCCCAGCTACTCAGGAGGCTGAGGCAGGAGAATCATTTGAACCCGGGAGGCGGAGGTTGCGGTGAGCCAAGATCATGCCATTGCACTCTAGCCTGGGCAAGAAGAGCAAAACTCCATCTCAAAAAAAAAAAAAAAAAAAAAAAGTCACCTTAAAAACAAAATTGCAATTGACCCTGAAATGTGAATTATCTGGTAGCTTCTTGTCTTTCTTATTATTAAATCATGCCTGTGGCTGGAGAAAAGAAACAGAAACCTCTGTGGGGCTTGTGCACTAGTCTGATGCCTCATTAGAATAACCTCTTGTTTTATGAGAACACTGGAATCAGCTTCTGCACTTGGGCTTAAGGGGTAGGAAGACTGAGTCACAGATGTGACCTTGTCATCCTGAGGTCCCTCTCAAACGTGTCCCTTTTGGGACAGGGCCCCTGATGAGCCCATGTGTGCTGCTGTCCAGTCATGGCTCCTACTGACTCTCATCACGGCTCTGAGTGACCAGTTCTGAGCCCAGAAAACTCTCTCTCCTTGGATCTGAAGCCAGTAAGAATAGAGCTGCTAAGGCATCTGGAAAGGGGTATATTTTCCTCCCATCCTTAGGGCATAGGCGATTTTCAGTAGAGACCAGATGAGCTCCTTTAAGGGGAAGTTATGCCATTAGATTCAGAGGCACACTTGGATATAACTAGAGGTTACCTTTCCAAAGTGGCACTTTGGGCTTCCTGTGCTGAAATCCAATTACTATTTTCTATGGTCACCTATATCTCTTCACCATGGAGTGCTGTGAAACTGCAGCCTGGGACTTGGAGGAAAAGTCTGTGTTGCCTTTGTGAAGGTGAGCAACCTGGAGTTAAGAACTCAGAAGTCTGCCAGTGACACTGAGCTATTGTTATCATGTTAGAGAAAATAACCTGAGTTACTGCCCCTAGCTTACAAATGTTTTCCCGTGATTATCAATTACTATAGTTTTTTATAATTTATCATATTGAGAAAACACAACCTCAGAAATAAAATTTAATGAGTAGACCCAGTGAAATATTGCTGTTGAACCATTTTAAAATTTAAGAAAAAAAATCCATTCAAGTAGCAAATTTTGTTGCAGTAGTAGACATTTCACAGGACCATGCAAGAAGCAGTTTATTCTCTAAGATCAGAAAATGCATTATCCTATAATCTTTGGCATATCTCATGTGTTATATGCAGTAACAAATTAAGTGAAAAGTAGCTCTTGCCCAAGAGAGCTGCAACTGATGCTTTGGTGAACTGCCAGTTTCTTGCAGCTATGGGAGGACCTTAAGATGATGAAATGTGTATTGTCTATTACTGGGTTGGGAACATTGTCAGGATCCTACTGGAAACCCATATACTGGGAAGTGGAAGAGTGAAAACTGTGCTTTAAGAAATTACTTGAGTAAGTGTATGTTCCTGGGAATCTTGGAGGCAAGATGACATCAGGGACTCAGTAAAGAATTGCTGGTGGGATGGACAGAGGGATGGAGTGAGAGGGGGCAGGAGAGTTAATGGGTTGTGCTCAACATGCTCTTACAGAAAATTGACCATGGAGGTGGATCATTGAGAAGTTTATGATTGGGTGACACATATTCATCACAAAAAAGAAGACTGGAGGAAGAGCTGGTCTGGTTGGAAAGTAAGGAGAGGACAGTTTTGCATTAGGTTGCTAATTTGTGATCACAGTGAGACAACCAGCCAAAGATCTCTAGCAGGCAAATTTAAAAGATAGGGCTAGAACCATCAGAGATACTGGCTGCAAAGAAAGAACTAGGCATCATCCACATAGAAAAGTTCAACAATGGACAGATTTGAAAATATTATGCAAAAGAGTTTAAAAAATCAAGAGAAGAGCACTGAAGGAAAAACTTTTGGAGCAAGAGGGAGAAGGAGAGCTGGCAAAACACGTCTAACTTTTGCTACTGACATGATTCTTCCAATAGTTTCATGGGTTTAAAATCTTAAGACAGTTTTTACTCTTTATTCTTCTTAGATTTCCATATTTAATTGATCAAGTCCCATTGATTATATCTCTAGGTGACCCTTATATTAATCTTTCGTTTCCATTAACAGGACAACTACCCCAGTTCTCACTTATGAAGAAAATTAAACTGAAACATAGGCCTAGAGTTTATGTGTTCTTGAACATTGCACCAGGTGGGATGTATTTCTGTGTTTTTTGGTTTATTCATCTTCAACACCATCTCTAGAATTGACTTCTAAAATAGCTTTTATGGTGTCGCTGTCTCAACATCTTTCAGTAATTATTCTTCACCTACAAGGTAAAATCCAAGGTATTGGCATCTCCTTTAAGGCCATTCCCTACACAATTTGATCGTGGTTTACCTTTCAATGGTATTCTTTACCATTCTCCCACTAGAATATGACAACTACACCACACTACTTACCAAATATACTATGCTTTTGTGCCTTTGCTTGTGCTGCGCTGTCTGCCTGCAATGCCATCTCCCTAATCATTTGCTACATCTGACATGCTCTTCACTCTTCAAGACTCAGGGCAGTGTCACTTCCTTTAGGCAGCTTTTCTTGATCTCCATTCCTGTCCTTTGATGGAGATAATTTCCCCCTTTTCTATGTTCTCATTTCATTCATTCTACTGGGTATAATTAATTAAATATATAATAGTCTTCTTTCCAAGACTGAAAAACTTGAGGGAAAGAACCATGTTTTTGATGTCCTCGTTGCCTGGCAAACTGCCTGATTCATAATTGGAGTTCAGGAAATGTTTTGTATATTAAAAGAAAGCAAAGAATGAACTGTTAGAAATATAGGAGGAAAAAACCAGGTTAGTGTCAGTGCAGATAAGAGAATAAAGTTTTATGAAGTGGAGGTGAGCTACAGGATCAAGTGAATTCCAAGGAGGGAAGTTTCTTGAGTGAAGATAGTCTCCACTTTCTTGCCACCCACTCACCTCTTAACCTCCTGTAGCCTGATTGTGTTTTTATATGTTAACTATAACTGGAAGGTCACCATTGATGTCCTAACCATAAAATCCAACGATTCTTCTTCCTCTTTATGCTGTCCTGGCATGCTCCATGCTGGCCTTAGACATGCAGCCATGGCTAAGGTTGAGCAAAAGTGCAGTGGTCATAAATGTCCCTGGAACTGAGGAAGTTGAGTAGGTTGGTCAGTATGTTATAAAGGTCATTTTCCTGGATACTGATGATGGTAGCAGAAGTTTGAGTTGGGGAGATACATTACTACCAGTGGTAACGTCATAGAGGAAGGTAAGAATAGAGCATTGGAAGTAAGCATATGGGAGCAATGAGAATTGATGACCAGTGGTGGTAAAGGTGAGAAGGGGAGGCTGTCCAATGGTGGGAGAAGCACAGTCATTGGAGAAGGAGCTGTGGGAAGCATGATGTGCTCACCCAAGGAAGTGGTTTGACTGAAGGGGGTCAGGTTTCAGTCATGGGGAGGAGCAAAGGGAAACATGGAATGAGATCAATATAGGAATTTCACAGGGTAACATGAAAGGGCTAGTGGAGGAAAGGGGCAGGGAGGAAATGGAGTTGGAGTAGAGCATGGATGGGGACAAGGTTGTGGGGCAACAAATCTAGGGGCAGGGTTTTCTCCTAAAGTGGGAGGGAGAGTTCAGTGGTCCCTGGAGGCAGATTTTTATGGGCCTGTTTTTTAAAAATGGTGATTGTTTAACTTCCTTTGACTATCATTTCATAAAAGCTTAGACATTTGAGCATAATCTCAGAATACAGAACAGTTCTTTGAATTGTATATACTTATTATACAATTATATATTTTAAATTATGTATAGTTATCAGAAAGTAACTATATTGTTCTTATTATTTTCAGTTTGCTATATAATACTGAAATGTTTGTCTATTTACTACCATTTACCAGCAGTGTGACCTTGGATAATTATGTAACCATTCTGTGACTTGGTTTCCTCTTCTATAAAATGGGCATAATAATAGTATCGATAACACAAGGTTGTTGTGAGGACTAAGTGAATTAATATTATGAAGAATACTTA
Organism: Homo sapiens; assembly: GCF_000001405.40. Taxonomy (NCBI): domain Eukaryota; kingdom Metazoa; phylum Chordata; class Mammalia; order Primates; family Hominidae; genus Homo; species Homo sapiens. Next base: position 58,879,548 of record NC_000014.9, read on the forward strand.
GACAGTGCTTGGCACATAGTAAACTATTATTCATGAACCAGCATTTGGGGCCAGATGGGTAGGATAATTGAGATAAGGGGAATATGGCACTGGGCAATAGACTGAAATCACATGTTAGTCATAGGAAAAGGGAATTTTCCAAGGCAGAATTTTGCTGCTGGAGGGTATTTTAGGATTAACTATCTCTAGGTTTTCAGTGGAATGTCACAAACTTGGCTCTTTATGAGATTGGCTGGGCTCAGTGTGCTCTTCGATCATATTAATTAAATGAAAGATCGAGGCATCCTTATTTCCCTACTACAGGTGGCTCTCCATTCTCTGTAGCCTTTGCTGTTTCTTCCTCCAGGAGATCTCCTGTATCATGCCTTGGATGATAACTTCCATGAGAACATGGACCTCCACCTGTATAAGATTTGTGAGCCCCACAGCACCTAACACAGGGCCTTACATACTCACTGGCCATTATTTTTTAAATGAATGAATAAAATACCACCTAGGCCAATAGGGCTCTCAGTCCTTCTTATGTTCTCATTTATTGACTAGGTTTTCCAGTACTTAATAAGAGGACTTAAAAGCAGTGGCTTATTTAATTTTGCATTTAGAAAAAGAAAGTTTATCTTTACCCATTGAATCTGACATCAATGGGAAATGGTAGATTTCCAGATCGTTAAAGACTACCATCCTTTAAGTGCTAAGACTTTTCTTATTTTAGCTACTATATAATATAATGTACATATACTATATAATACATATACATGTAATATAGATACATATACATATAAAATACATTATGTATAATTTAAAGATTATATATATTTATCTTTATTAAATGTATGTCCTTGGCTACTTAGAATACATAAAAAAGAATTCATTTTGATATATTGATAATTCAAGATAATTATTATCAATATCAGTGACTTGACTTCCCTTAAAGGCTATTGAGGTGTGTAAAATTGCCTCTATGCTAAATGAGTTCTTCTGTCTAATTTTCATAAGAAGGGGAGAAAATGAAGGTTGTTGAGTTCAGAAGATGCCATCAGGATGACCATTGTTAGTGCTTCCTATAATACATGTGGTTTCTCTGGAAGCCTTTTGCCCTCTCAGTGTGCTGTATCTAACTGCACAGGAGACTGAGAAATGTAGCCTTTATTCTGGGTATCCATGTGTTCCCACAAACGTTTGGGTTTTTTATTAGTCATTTATTTATTTGACAAACTTTTACTTAGGACCTACTGTATGTCAAACACTCTTTTAGGTATTTGGGATGTATTTATGAACAAAGCAGGCAAAGATTCTTGGTCTCTTACATTCTTAGCAGGAAGAGACAAACAATAAACAATACATTCATAAATTTTATAGTATGTTAGAAAGGGATAAGTGCTATAGAAAAAGGTAGAACAAAAAAGAGGGTTGGGAATGCAAGGACAGGGGTCAGGACACAGGAGGAAACAGGTGGTCAGGGTAGAATTCATTGATAAGGTTTGAAAACCTTAAAGGAGCTGAGGGAGGGAGTTAACCATGCGGGCATCTGATGAGAAATCCCTAAGGGACAAGTACAGATAGAGGAAAGAGCAGCAAGTGCTGAGCCCTGGGGTGTCCCTCCAGTAAGAGGTGTGGGAGAAATGAAAGAACCTGCCAAGGACACTAAGAAGGTGGCCAATGGGGAAAATCAAGAGAAGAGGATGACAAAAACGTGTGTAATTTTTTTTTATTACAACTGAGAAACTATCTATCCATACACTTTTAGAAGTGAATGAATAAATTCAATAGAGCCCAAGGGCCTCTCCTATGGCTAAATTAGTAGATGTAATAACAACAGTAATAATAAAAATAACTATAAAATTAACAGCAAACATTTATTGAGCACTGTTTACTATGTGCTTTGTATTTGTACCTTCATTAACAGGGGAGGAAACTGAAGCATAGAGAGGGGATGGAACATGCCCATAGTGCAGGTGCTTTTGGCTGGCCATCTAATTTGGTGCTCAGAGGAGACTGGCTTTGTAGCCTTGAATCCCTCAATTATACCCTGAATAAATGAGATGACAGGGCGTGACTCTCAATTAGATGAGGTACTTCTATGCAGTGTTTTTCCTTTTTTTGCCTATTAACTCAAGTAATAGACTCACATGCTGAGTGACTAGCTTTTATCTTCAAGTGACTCTAGGAGTTTTTTTTTTAACATGCCAGTTAATTACTGTGAAAATTTCACCTAAGTTAGTCCCCAATTAGGATATATTCAACTCATTCCTATGATGATCTCTTTTTAGATTTATCTTAGTGCCTTTGAAACAGCTGATAAATGTTCTTCCATTTGCTGGCAGTTACTAATATTCACCCTAAAATTTTTCTTTTCTATACACTCCCTCCCAGCTATCCCTTGGCATTGCCTATGACAATGCCACTTGGTGTAGTTACCATTTCTATTACTACCTCTAACCCCAAAGATGACAGTTCTTGAGAAGTGGAATCTGGGAGTTCTTGAAGTGCCTAACACATTTCTCACACTTTTTTTTTTTTTTTTTTTTTTTTTTTTGAGACAGGGTCTCACTCTATCACTGAGGCTGGAGAGCGGTGTTGTACACCACTTACTGCAGATTTGACGCCCTGGGCTCAAGTGATCCTCCTGCCTCAGCCCCCCACGTAGCTGGGACCACAAGCACGTGCCACCACGCAGCTAATTTTTGTATTTTTTAGTAGAGATGGGGTTTAGCCACGTTGCCCAGGCTGGTCTTGAACTCCTGGGCTCAAGCGATCTGCCTGCCTCAGCTGGGATTACTGGTGGGAGCCACCGAGGCTGGATCCATTTCTCATACTTGTATTCTTTCTTGGCCATTTTAATTTAGAAGGTAGTAGGGCCAACCTAACACTTGGGGCTTTAGAGGTTTGCTGCAGACAAAATATGCACAATTGAAGAGATTTTTGGAGTGAAAGAGATGGTTTCATTAAAAATATTATAATGATAGAGTAGAGGTTGTCTTTTTCATTGTTCTGCAGAAAAAGGCTGCTCATGTGTCCTAATATATGTAACATTCTGATTAAAGGCCTTGAGGAAAAATTTGGCATGTGCTGTATTAACAAAGGCAAACTCCACTTACATCTGCCAACAGCTGAAAGGCAGATTCTTGTGGTAAGATCTCTGAACTATAAACAATGCCATAATAACACTTGTAATTTGCGATGTCATCAGCTAAAATAAGAGACAATTATTACAAATCATATTGCTAATATTTTGAGAAACTGAGATCTAATGTTGCTAAATCAAATTCCTGTGAATTCCACAGGGCGCTCAGCGCATTATAAGATTACCCTGTGCTCTAAGCATGTCCTCATTAAGGCTGCTGGCTACTGTGTTTTTATTGCTCCCCTGGGAGGTTTGTTGAGTTAATGCTGCCAGTAGGAAGTCGTGTTTTCCTAGCCTCCCTGGTATACAGGCCTCCCAAATAGGTCTGCAGCCAATGATGTGCTAGATTAGGTTATGATGATTTGTCTTGCCATCTCTGTGAAAAGTGAAGGCAATCAGAAATCAGTGTGAAGTACGGTCTAGCCATGTAAATATCTAAATAATCTCATCACAAAAAGGAATGCTATAGTAGGTCCAGGATGAAAGTATTGAAAGATAAGTAAATCAGTAGCATTAACGTTTTAGATTGGTGCTCATAGAGTTTGTGCTTTTGTCATCACTATCACTATTGTTTAATTACGGTTAGAAAGGGCTACTGAGCACTTACTGTGAGCTACGCACTGGGCAAAATGCTTCATGTGCATTATTTGATGATCCTTACCAAACCTTATTAATCTAGGTGCTATTTTCAGCCCCATTTTACAGAGAAGATAACTGAGGTTCCTGGTTTACAGACTATGTTTATAGCCATGTGGTAAAGAAGAGGCTGAGCTGGCGTTTGAACCTAGATCTTCTTGTCTCATGAGCCTTCATTATTAACCATTATGCTATGCTGCCAACTTTATAGAGAACTTATAAATATGGCAAGGAAAACACCAACTTAGAATAGTTACAAAATCTTTGCTTATTGGCTTTTGTCTAGCAGGTTGTAAGGGTTAAAAAGTAAAGAATAGAGTTTTAAAGTATTAGAAGATGATAACCTTCTAGTAATAATTTTATTTATCCAGTGTAAGACATATTTTTTCTAATTTCATTAAAAATTACAAGACAGGTATCATTATTCACCAATAAGCAAACAGAGAACCAGAGATTTAAGCTGCTTAAGGTCATCCAAGTAGTAAAGAGTAGAGCCAAGATTTGAGGCCCCATCTACCTAATTCCAAACCTTGAATGCTTTCAGCTTCCTCTGACAACCTCCACTGTGTGTGTGTGTGTGTGTGTGTGTGTGTGTGTGTGTTGAAGGGTGGTGGGATGTGGGTGCATTATTTGTGTCTCTGAGAATAGTGAGTTATGTGTGAGTTTTCTAGAAATACCCTACTAGTCTTATAATAAAAAGTTTACTATAAAAATTCTTGGATTTGGAATAAGCCTTAAAGGTTACCTTCTAAGACCAGCAACTCATTTGATGCTTGAGTGTGTCCCACAGTCACCCTATCAAGTGAGTCTCCAGTTTTTTGTTTTTTGCATATCCCAAATGTTGAAAAATTTATTGCCAAATCAGTCCTTCCGTATTCTGACATCTTTTACTATAGGGTGTCTAGCTTGGGCTCCCTCTTTCTCCCCTCTCTTGGTCCTGGTTTCAAATCTTTGAAATGTACAGAACAAGTCTGATCAATCTTCCGCAAGGAAACCATGTAAATATTTAAAGATGGCTATTTTGGTCCACCTTGAATCTTTTCTAGTCCTCGGGGACCTCCCATATTCTTCAGCCATTCTTCTTGTGAAATAGATTTGGTTCTTTCTTGATGCCATTTAATCTGTGTTTTGGCTGTAGGAAAACACAGATGTTTCAAGGGATCTGTTCACCTTCTTAGAACATGATGCTTAGGATTAATCACTTTTCTCTCAGTGTGGTCTTACCAGAATAGACCAGCAGAGCATGTCCATAACTTTGTTCTTTCTGGATACCACATTACCATCTTTCGTGACCTCTCTCTAAGCTTTTTCTCTTATGATGCTGTGAAGTTATACTGCCTCTAGCTGACGGATGTGCAATTGCTTTTGAACCTACCTAACAGACTTTTATCCTTATTCAGTTTTATCATGTTATATTTGCCTTTAACCCTAATTCTGTCATTCAATGTATTTATCAACTCTTCTAAGTAGTCAGTATTCAGTGCAGGAGACAGAGACCTCTCTAGGGATTTTCACCATGAAGAAATTTCACACATACTATTCTTAACAAATCATTGGAAGTACTGGAAGAATAGATTTTAAGTTGAGCCTTCAGAAATAACTCTCAGAACATTACAGAATTTTCCCAACAGAGGAGTTACTACCTCCAAGGCCACTTCTGAAGTTGTGCATTCAAGAACACAAAGTCTTACGTGTGATCTAGGAATGAAAATGCTACCACCATTGTTGCTGTCACACCTTTTGACACCTAGAAAGATATCGAAGAGACACTGAAACACTGCTGCAGGAGAGCCTCGCATCTCCACAGCCTCTCCATGAAAAGTGGAACACAGAAATATCAAAAAGGGCAGAAAAGTGGGATCTGCTTCACTTCCACCTCCCACATTCTTCATGAGAGGTGCTAATTAGGCAATTTGTATCCAGAATCTTAGTTACAAGAGTTGTTTGCTTTTTCTGTTTTTAAAAGTTCTCCATAATCTTCAGCCAGAAGGAAGGCAAAATGGAGATTGAGCAGCCCAACCCCCAGTATCTATCACATTTCCCAATTGTATGTAATCTACAAATTTACTATACTTTGCTTCAGGTGAATGAGTATACTGTGTATGTGATATGTATGTGTATGAGAGATAGAAAGAATATAAACAGAGACACTCAAGTCATTGATAAAAATCGTTTTTGGCATGCTACTAGAATTTTCTGAATTTTTGTATGAGTGATATCCGTGGGTGTCCATGGGAATACAAAGGTTGAATTTGTTCAGCTATATCTTCTGATATTATGCCTTGCATAATTCAAGAGCTTTCAAGAGGAGCTTCACAATCTTGAGTGGAGATTCTTGGGTTGTTGGCTTCTCCTGCTCTAGACTGGAGGGCCTTTCCGAGGGAGGAGTTGAAGTCTCCTCTGGATGTTGAATAACTTTATGTGTGCTGTCACTACTGTGTGTCACAGGGCCACAACTTCAGGGGGCATGAGTTACAGTGCATTTGATATTGTGTTCTAGAGAGCTACATTCACCCAGAATACCATGTAAATTGTATTCTTTGAAGCTGGGCAAACTGGTGTCTGAGTAGGCCATTGGATAATGATAGCTTGTGGTTGAGCTTGGTCAATTTCATGCTATCTAAGGAAATTAGACCTGCATACAATAGTTACATTGGTCTATAACATTTCTTCCACCTACCGGTTTAGTGACCCTGTTAAAAAAGAGAGATGAAGTTAATCGAATAAGGTTCTTGCTGGATTCTCATCACTTCTGCTTTCTGTTATAGTTACTCCAAAACATCCCTATAACATATGTTTATTGCCCCCAAATTAATGTCAAGTTCTCCAAGATCAGTTGTAGAACTCCACTTTCCCTCTTTGAAAACTAGGTCTCCATTGATTTATCATCAGTTTCTTGCCCATTTCCTTCTCTTCACATGTGGTAAGTACTGTTGAAATCCCTCTCATACTGCCTCAGCTCTCACCATTCTTAGCAAGCCTATAGAGTTCTATCACAAGCACCTATAAATCTCTACCAGAGTTGTTTTTTTAAGGCTCAAATGATGAGGAAGGTTGGAATGGCGGAGAGTCAATGACCCAGAAGGAACTTTTGGCTACTGACTGATAGAGTTGGAGGTGATGTCCCAGCTTCCTTGTGCCATGGATAGGACCACTCCTAGACATTTTTACACTGTCTCACAGAGTTCTCTCGGCAGGATGGAGCCCCAGCTGTCTGCAGAGGTCACCTGGTCAGTAACTCTCCCTATATTGTCTTCTTTCTCTTTTCTCTCTCTTTTCCTCACTTTCTTACCCATGCTTGCTGACATCACCTCCTAAATAAAATGCTTGTATGCAAATCCTTTGCATCTACTTCTGGGGAACCCATCCTCATGCATTTTGTACTTCAGAAACCCCATCTGGGCTGTGATGATTATTCCCAATCATCCAGAAACCCTGGGGAAACTTCACTGGAATTAGAGGCTTCCTTACAATGTCCCTGCTATGGCCTTCTTCTCTATCCAATCTGTGTTATCCTTTTCCATCTGAAGGTCATCTTTCTTAAAGAAAAGAAAAGTAAGATAGATGTTCACCAGCTTGTCTTGTTAACACTCAGCTGTAACTATTCTACAATTGGCTGCTCAAAAACAAGTTTATTGCTTCATTGCCCATGCTCGAGTATAACTAAAGTTTCCATGGATCATCTTCAGTGTTTTCCTTAAGTTTCAGTTCAGTTAATGCCAAAGTTAACCTACTTTTTTTTGTCATTGTTCATAGAAGTCCATGTCATCCTCTTATAATTGCTTTTGGTAACATCTCTCTTAACATATTATCTTTGTTTTTTAACATGCTTTTGAGATGAGTTCATCGGAGAGTTCCCTATGGTTTAAAAGAGAAGGAAAGGTCTAGAGAGTAGATAGTAGTTATTGAGAATTATTAATCATCATTACACTTTGAAGCCAGCTTATTGCTTCAGGAGTAAAAAATAAGTGTTGCTCCAAAAGGTTAACTTCTCCCCTCTCCTCCTCCTTCCATCAGTACCCCCCAATGCTTTGAGTTATATGGACTAATCCCATTTGGCCAGAGAGAGGTATGGGTTCAAGAATTCCCTCAATTCTGTGAGAAGAATGTGGAAGAACGTTATTATAAAGATTTGTACGTAGAGGCAAATTTCAACACCCTTTAGATAACACATTCATTTCTCTCCATCAACTAAAGTTATCTAGCTGAGTCGGATTATCCTCTGCTGCATTCTGTAGGTACTAATTTTCACATTATTTTGATGCTTTTTGTCTCCTATCAGAGCCCTTATGGCTCTGTACTGCAACTGTATTTGGTTTGCTTGTCTCATCCCTTGAGTTGCGAGATCTTGGAAACTTCAGCACAGTTGTGTGCCCACTGCCCAGTGTAGGGTCAGGGACATGGTGGGTTCTCAGTGCACATTTGTTGGACAAAGCAGAGCATGCCTGGCATGTGCTACTCAGGAAAGATAGCCTTTGTGCAGCATAGGTAACTGACTTTGGGAAGCAGAATTTTCCATGCAAAATCTTGAGCTTGCTACTGGTTACTGAGAAACCGACTCAGTGACTGGCATCTTGCCATACTTTGTAATCCTCTGGAAATTACATTTTGAGAACACAACCTCCCCTTTGTGACAGGCAATTAAATAACACATGACTGACTGAATATAAATTATACAGGTATTTTGATTAAAAAAATGTTTCGAGCACTTTCAATTTCAAAATATTTTTGATATTCATGACACATTAGTGTTAGTTTATAAAGGTGTCTGTTCTTCCTGTCAAGTTCTATTTGTGAATCAGGACATGAGTAATAGTGCTCAAATGCTGGTCATGTAGAATCTTATCTCTACCTTCTTGCTAAGGCAGGGCTGTGAGTGGCAGGGTGGAAACCATGGTATTATCATCAAAAAAAGTCTTCATTTGAAGTCAATGAAAAAATAGCGGCCCAAGAATTTGGGTCAAAACTCTTCTACTTGGAGAAAATACATACTTCTCTTTGAGAGTTCTTTAATGGAATATAAGCTAATGGTGAAAGTGAAATTGAGGGTTTTATTAGCATAACCAGGGTCTTCTGTTGTCCCATTCATATCCCTTGCCCATCTGCTTCAACACCATTGCACAATGAATCTGTTGCATTTTGTGAGATTTTACTCTTCTTTAGTGGTATTTTGGGAAATTGGAATTGGCTCTTTCATATAGTAAAGCTCAGAAACCTTCATCCTCCCTGAATGATACCTGTTTATCACACTGCTTTTGGAAGGAGATGAAAGAGTTGTGGACTTAGCAAAATGTAGAGTCATTAAGGATTTTCCAGACATATTTAAGCATGCTAATATTCTAAGAATGATATTTTAGCAGAAACATCTAATGTTTTGCCACTAGGTTATTTACAATACTAGATGAAGTTCAAGGAGTCTTTGGCTTTGCTTTTCATTTCCCTACAAATTATTTTCCAGCCTCTGTGGATTTTCTGAATTTTGTCTCCTAGAATTGACCACAAGAGAAGACTCCCTTTCAAACTCTTCATTCTCTGGTTCAGAGGTTTGATGTAATGGTTGTCTCATCGTACATGGTCAGCCACAGGATATACTTCATCCATTTCAGAGCTGTACTGTGAGTTCCAGAATAATCAATCTTTGAATCTTTGAACCAGGGTCTTCTGTTGTCCCATATATGTGAACATTCTAAGAGTACAATTATATCCAGACACATTTTTAAAACTTTGATTTTTGTTTAGATTACACCAATAGACAAAAGGCTAGAAAATATGATCAAGAAAATGTGCTAATCTTTTGGAAGTCAATGGAGTTCAGTGGCAGCAGAACTATTTATTAAAAGTCCAGTTCTAGATCCTTGAGGATAAATCATCCTCCTATAAAGACACATGCACACACATATGTTTATTACGGCACTATTCACAGTAGCAAAGACTTGGAATCAACCCAAAATGTCCATCAATGATAGACTGAATTAAGAAAATGTGGCACATATATGCCATGGAATACTATGCAGCCATAAAAAAAGGATGCGTTCATGTCCTTTGCAGGGACGTGGATGAACCTGGAAACCATCGTTCTCAGCAAACTATCACAAGGATAGAAAACCAAACACCACATGTTCTCACTCACAGGTGGAAACTGAACAATGAGAACACTTGGACACAGGGCAGGGAACATCACACACCAGGGCCTATCAGGGTCTGGGGGGTCTGGGGGAGGGATAGCATTAGGAGATATACCTAATGTAATTGATGAGTTAATGGATGGAGCAAACCAACATGGCACATCTATACCTATGTAACAAACCTGCACGTTGGGCACATGTACCCTAGAACTTAAAGTATAATAATAAAAAATAATAATTAAAAAAGTCCAGAGTCAAGTGTTGACACTTTGTAATTCAACAAATTACATTGATTTATTACATTTATTACACTAATCCTAGTTGCAGAGGTAGACAGATAAGTAAACAGAATAAATCACATTAGTGTTCTGAAGACTGTGATAGATATAAGGTTCGTGAATACATGAAACAGGGACAGCCAGCCCAATTGTTGGTTTTAACAATAAACCCTTTTATTGAGTGTTTATTATGTGCCAAGCACGAAAGTACTTTATATACATTATATTTAATTTAGCTACAGCTTTATGCACTCATTTATTTCATAGACAATAAACTTAGTATGGTCACCGATGTTGCCACCAAATTTGAGCACCACTTTTGCTGGCCAACTCTTATTTGCCATTTATCATGAAGCACGATCATGGCAATAGCTCTCTGACATACGAGTTGGTTAGAATTAGAACCATACTTTGTAAAATTCATTTCCTCTGACCAGACAAAAAAGGAGGACTGATTACAATAGGACTGCTAAGCTAATTACTTAGTGGCAAGCTGTAATTCCAAAACCACAAAAGAAGAAGGCAAAAGACATTCTAATAAAAATTTGCTTCAGCAAGGCCTTAGGTCATATGGTATGAACATTTGCAGGATTTGTTTTGTTTTGTTTTGCAGCCTGAGTTCCATGCTATAATCAGAAATATGTGGCACATTTTGAACAAAGGAAATATATACCCAACAAAGTGTTAAAATGGAGCTGCCAACCAGACAAACCCTAGAAATATGTAGCCACTTACAGGCAGAACACAACTACATGTGTTCCCAATGTGGAAGGCATTCCGGAAGTGTATGCATCCACATTTCTACATGAGGTTAGTTTCACTGTCAATGTATCAAAAATGGGAGATGATAATGTGCAAATTATAACCCTTCAATACAGGAATGCATTGTCTTAATTTTTGTTGTAGACATTAAAAGTGAACAAAAACGGCTGGGCACGGTGGCTCATGCTTGTAATCCCAGCACTTTGGGAGGCTGAGGTGGGTGGATCACGAGGTCAGGAGATCGAGACCATCCTGGCTAACACAGTAAAACCCCATCTCTACTAAAAATACAAAAATTTAGCCGGGTATGGTGGTGGGCACCTGTAGTCCCAGCTACTTGGGAGGCTGAGGCAGGAGAATGGCGTGAACCCGGGAGGCAGAGCTTGCAGTGAGCCAAGATTGTGCCACTGCACTCCAGCCTGGGTGACAGAACGAGACTCTGTCTCAAAAAAAAAAAAAAAAAAAAGAAAGAAAGAAAAAGAACAAAAACTAAACTTCCGATAAAATCTTTGCATTTCAAAGGTATAGTTTTGACAACCATCCAGGGATTCTAAAGATGTTTTATTTTTTTCCAAATCTCCAGTGGCCACCCACCTTTTCTAAGATTCTATTCCTCCTAACAGCTTGGAATTGCTTTGGGGCCAATATATTTTATTCATTACTGATATCCTTCAAAACGCACCTTTACTTCACAAGTAGAAACTTATTGACAACCTAATAATTGGGTTGATAACTTGTTAGGTGGAAACCCAATTCCTGAGAAAGAGAAAGCAACACTGATTCTTCCTTTTCTCAAGCAAACACCACAACACAAAACTGAGCAAATCTACCAGTGGGCAAGAGCCTAGGATTGATAAAAATGGAGGTTCCCATCTTTATTTTTCTTCTCTCCCTCCTGTTTCTCCAGGGCAGCCTGCCTCCTCCCCTCACCCCCCAGCTTTAGTTGCTGGTGCCCAGATCATATCGTGGAATTGTACAGGTGTAAGTTAAAAATAAACTTAGAGCAAATGATTCTCTTTTGATTCCCTACCCAATCCACACTCTTCCCTGTCCCCTCTATGTCATTCCTGGCAGGTGGACATGAAGCTCCAGGTAAGAGGCAAGCATCCGTGTTCAAATTACCATTCCCAGTTTGAATGACTTTGTTTGCAGGATCTTACTTCTGCTTAACTAAATTTGTACCCCACCCTCTATGCACTTAAAATCCCTTTAAAATTTGTTGATCCTTAGTTACCTCCCTGGAGCTCCTTCTATTTATACACAATAACTGGTTTCCAAATATTGAAAATCAACTCTTGTAGCCCCTCTAGTTTTTGTTTACTTACTTGCTTCATTCCCCACGGGCTGAACACTCCAGTTCCCTGGACTTTTCTCATATGATATGTACTCGAGCTCTTTATGCCCAGATTTTTGGGGGGTGATTTACTATCTTAGCAGGCTATCAAATCTCTGGCTTTGCTCCCCAGCATAGGACTATGCACCTCCTCACACTGTCCGCCTGCAGCCATGCCTGATCTATGTCTCAGGTTGACTTTATATTTCAGTAGCCCTCTTAGGTTGCAACTTTTCTTCCTAAAAACTCATGCTGAGCTCCTCTGAGGACCCAGGTGTATGACTTGATGTCTCTGCCACTCTCCTCTTTTTGTGCATCAGTCTAGGCTGTCAGATTTAATTTTGGTTTTTATTTTTCATCTGGAAGCAATTGGTCAGTGTGCCTTTTATATCTTTATTCATTCCCATACAATTGCTGAACAAGACTGAGTTAAGCACAGAATTCAGTAAGAAGTATTGGCTAAGAGAGCAGTCTCAGGAGTTTGGCAGATTTGGGTTAACCTCTCAAAGTTCCCATTTCCTCATCTTTAAAATGCTGGCACTAGTTCTGCCCTCATGAAGTGGTTGTGTGGATTAAATTAGATAAATTGTCTAGCACACTATCTGGTCTACAATAAGGACTCATAAAATGTTAGCTGCGCTTAGTATTTCAGTATCATGAATGACCTTTTTATAAATGCTGATGTCCTGATAAACATCTTCTCTGGCCCCTGTTGTATTGAGAAGAGGTAAAGAGCAAGGTGTCCTGGGTCTCCAGGGATGCTAGAGAAATAAGTAGAGGTTGAGTGCAGGGAGTCTGAAGCTCCAGCATGGCTGCTCACTGAGTGACCCAGGCAAGGCATTTAATCTCCCAGGGTCTCAGAGTCCTCATTTGTAAAATGGGGATGATAGCCTTGACCCCTATAGGGCTGAAAAATTGGGTTACCTTTCCTCAGCCATCATAAGGGTCATGGCCAATACACCTATAACGAAAGGTAGGTTAACAAGAGAAAACCCATAACAAATTGATTTAATCAAAGTTTTGTGTGATATGGAGCTTCAGAAATGAAAACCCAAAGACCCAGGGAAAATTGTCCATTCCTATGCTTAGGTTCAGTAAAGTATGGACAGCTGTGTAGAAATGTGATAGGAAAAAAGAATATGATCTATTGATAATAGACTGAGAGGGAAATCCAGCAAGGCCTGTCTGTTTAGAGCCTTTCCGGCCTCTCTCTGCGGCATTCCTTTCCTCTGGGTGTGGGTCAGGACACCTGTCACATGAGAGTCTTCAAGGCAGAAGGGAGAAGATCACAGAGTGACCTCTCTAGGTTTTACTGGCTTGCTTTGGGAAGAGGAATTCTAGTGTCTAAGATCTACCTTGGGGGAGAGAAATTTTGGTTTCTATGAATTGCTTTGGGGACAGAAAAAGGGGCAGGAGACAGGAAGATGGGAGAAGGTCAGAGAGACCTTGCTTCTGAGGCCCCTCCAATGTCTTTCAGTTCCAAGTACTCAGCATGCCAAGGCTCCATACATTTAGGGTGTAATATTCTGAGCCCTGACACTTCATGGGGCACTGGGAAGATTTAATGAGGTAATATATGTAGAACAGCACCTGACACAATAGAAATAATAGTGTTTATTATGGTTGTTGTTGTAAAGGCCTCCATATGTTATGTTCACATTTCAGGATTCCTACTAACTGCTTGTTTTCTAGACAAATCTATTCTGGTGTGTTAAGGTATTATGCAAACTAGATCTTCAAACAGTCCACATTTTGGGAAAGATCTAGGGAGAGAAAATCAACCGAAGATAACTTTGAGTATCAATATGATACTCAAATATGTTATTGATGTCTGGGTGGTGATATGTCAATGACAGTGGCTATCAACTGTATTTTATCTATTAAATCTGAATCTAAATGAGAATGTAGGAGAAGGTGAGACTGTATATAGCTTTCGTTTTTAGAAAAAGTATACTTTCCTATATTTCCCAAATTTTCTGTAATGAGCACATATTCATGTTAAAATGAGTAAAAAAATTGTTTTAAAAATAAAAGAAATAATATAAATCTAGCTCTTTCCATCCTCCCTACCCCTTGCAACCCCACTAATGTATTGGAGTCCCTGCCATGTGCCTTGCTTGTTTCTTCTCTGCTTTAATGGGAAAATGTGTATTCAAAGTTACGTACAAATTCTATTAAGTTAAAAAGATTGGAATGTGACTCCCTTTTATGCCATTTAGAATTGTAGAATGCTTCATTGAGAACCCTGGTTATCAGTATGTAATCCTGATAAGAAATTTTGAAGTACTTAAACGGTTAGTTTCTAAATCAATATCACACTTTCATCTTCATTCGCAGGCATCGCCTATGCAGGCAATCAAAGGATGTTGATGGATAAGTGTTTCAGGCAGAATAATGGCCCTCAAAGATGTTGACACCAGAATCTTCAGAACCTTTGCATATGTTACCTAACATGACAAAAGGGACTTTGCTGATGTGATTAAGGTTAAGAACTTTGAGAAGGGAAGATTATCCTGGATTATACAGGTAGGCGCAATCTAATGACGTAAGTCCTTAAAAGCAATGAATATTTCTCAGCTACAGAGAATCAGAGAGGTGGCAGTGTGGACTCTACTGTCACTGACTTTGAAGACAGAGGAATGGAGTCATAAGCCAAGGAATGAAGGCAGCTTCTAGAAGTTGGAAAAGACAAGGAAATGGATTCTTCTCTAGATCTGACAGAAAGGAATGCAACCCTGATGACACTGGTTTTAGTCTAGTGAGACCTGTGTCCAATTTCTGACCTACAAAACTGTAAGATAATAAATGTGCCTTGCTAAGCTATGAGGTTTGTAGTAATTTATTGTACCAGCAATAGAAAACTAACACAATAAGTAAAAACTGCTAACACCTTAGAGTATGCTTATATTTCTCAATGAGATGAGGCTTAAGCAAGCAGTGTTAACAGTAACATCTAAAGCCCAGTTGTTCATTGTTAAGGATGTTAGAAAAGGAGAGACCCAGATCTGAAGTTTACTGACTGTTACAAGAGGAAAGCAGAAAAACAACCCTTATTGGTAGGATCCTGGGACAAGATAACCAAGAGGAACTGGTACAAACATGAACAAAGAGACCTGGGAAAGCTCAATCTTTGTCCTGAACTTTTACCAAGGGAAAATGACTTGACAGTGGTGAAGTAGAGATTTAATTTAAAGTCCTGAATAGAAGTGTTATTCCAGTTTGCTTTTCGATTCTCACATGTCCTTACGATGGGAACTATAGCTGTGTTATATCATAGGTTTATGTATATATACATGTGAAATAAAGCATTTTTAAAAGTAATACTAGCACAGTTGTTAACTTTATTATTAGAAAGATATAAATTTGATGTATTTTGCAGGCTAATGGTGCTAGTGATTTTTTTTCACGAAAAAAAATTTCATAATTGGATTGCATAGAAACTGTGAATTCATGGCATTGGGACCAGAAAAGAGGAAAGAAAAGTGTGAATAAAAAAGGAGTGGAGATAGAGTGGACAGTGGAGCCACAAAATATTCTATGAAATGTCCTTTAGCTGGAAAAAGATTATATTATATAAACTGCTGAAAACACAAGTGTCCAGGCTTTTGCTGTTGATGACATCTCTTCCAGGTGGAGAGCAAGTAGCTAGCTAAAGAATCAAGAATCACCCCCAAACCCAATGGAAGATGAACTTAACTGTGGTTTGAGAGCATGACTTAGAAATCTTTAGAAAGAGTTTTTAATCATTATAAAAATAATACACTTCCATAGCAATAAAAATTCATATAAGGCTGAAGGTATAAAAAGCCTTCCTGCTGCCCACTACCTACTCCCCATTGACCCTTCCAAGTTCAAGGAGAACTTCTTTTGTTTGTGTGTCTTTATCTTTTGGCAGCTAGCTGACCAATGTCACAAGCAGACATTTACCTTTATTATCTGCCTATTTTGGATTGAGGAATTTAGTTCACTAAGAGAAATCCTACCCCACCCTCAATTTTGTTTTTACTTGTCTTTTTATTTTCAGATATTCTATTGGTAACTTTAATAATTTCAGATGATATAGTTAAACATACATATCTTGATTTATTATATGTAGCCAACACTTTAAAGGAGATTACATGAGAAAATTAGTGTTCTTATAGTGTTGTCTGCCCTCAAACAGTCTCTACCTACTTTTTCCATTTTTTTATTTTGTTTTGCACAAGTACATTCTCACCTTTTAAAGATTATCTGCTTTTTAAAGAAAGATCAATGGGAAGGAATCTTGAATATTATGTCTGAAAGTCTGTATTTTACTTTTATAGTCAATTAGAATTTTTCTGCATACAGAACTCTAGATTCAAAATAATTCTCCTGAACTTTGGAAGCCTTCGTTCTTCTTTTTCTAAAATCCGTGGTTGCTGATAAGAAATAGCATGTCAACCTGATTCTCTCTTTTTTGTAAGTAAGTTGGGTTTTATTTGTCAAAATTTGGGAGATCTTCTCTTCAATCTTCATGTTTTAAAGTTTTTTATGTCCTTTTTCTTTCATTCTGTTCAGTACTATATAACCTTTTAGCCTGAAGACTGGTCTTTTGGAAAATCTTTCTTTTATTGTTTCTCAGATAATTCCCCCCTCCATTTTTATTGTCCTTCTCTTCAGGAACTCCTATTAGAACACAGTTGACTGCCCTGATGGGTTTCCTTCTTTCTTCCTTTAAAATTCTTTTTCTTGATTTCCATCGTTCTTTCATTTCAACTTTGTTCCTTCCCCATTCCCCTGAATTATTTCTGAATCCCTTAGAGTTAATTTTTCTGTTGGCTCCTCTTTTATTTTTCTCTTGTACTCTTAATTTTCCTCACATTTCTGATAATCCTTTCTTGTTTAGTCATATTTTTAAGTGAAGGATTAGGTTGGTTAGTATAGGGAGCTGATGTGCATGTCTTTCATCTTCATATAGATCTTTTTCACTAATAGATCGCCTCCTGAATGTGAAGACCAATTATAAGCTTTGTGTTTTGGATGCAATACGTATTCAATGACAGCCTTCACGTTAGACTGCACGATTAAGGAAGATCAGGCAGGTTGGGGCTCCCAGGGCCCAGGTGAGCAGGGTCCTACTCTGGAATACCATCCCCATAATAGATGCCTGAGCTCCATCCATGTTGACAGCCCAATTTACTTAGAGCTCTGTATTCTGACTTCAAATGGCAACAACTCTGCATGAGCAGGGCTGGGGCTTAGCCAACACCAGTTATCCCTTATTTACTCAGGTCTTTAGACAATTACCCCTGTCTTGGGTCTCCTTCCCTAGGTACTCTTCATAGCTGACTTAGAACTGGGAGCCCTTCAGAAATCCTCTCTGAAGATGGCACTCACATCCACTTCAGCCTTTTCTTCACCCTTGCTGATTTGTGCCTATCTCTGGATTATCCATCATTTGGTTTCCAATTGTCTTTTGTTTTCCAAAAATTTATCTAGATCTTTTCTTACTTCATGCCCATACTTCCTTTTATGGGCTGAATTGTGTCCCCTTAAATTCATATGTTGAAGCCCTAGCCCCCAGTACCTCAGAATGTGGCTGTGTTTAAAGAGAAGATCTTTAAAGAGGTAATTAAGGCTAAATGAGGTCATTAGGGTGTACCCTAAGCTCATATAACCAGTGTCCTATAAGAGGGTGAGATTAGGACATAGACGTGTTTAAAGCAAAGACTGTTTAAAGCAAAGACACAGGGGAGAAGATAGTTATCTATAAACCAAGGAGAGAGGCCTCAGAAGGAAACAACCCTACTGATACCTTGATCTTGAACTTCTAGGCTTTAGAATTATAAGCAAATAAATTTCTGTTATTTAAGCCACCCAGCCTGTGGTATAGTACTTCGTCATAGCAAACTAACATGCTTGCCATACTTGGGACTTTTTATATATGAATTTCTTATACTTTACAATAATTCAGTGTGATTTTGGGAGAGGAAGTTAGTACACATGTTCTGTCTTTGATCTTGAACTGGAAGCCCAGAGTAACTTTTGAGTTACTATCTCTGTCTTAGTCCATTCAGGCTGCTATAACAGAATACCATAGCCTGGGTGGCTTATAAACAACAGAAATTTCTCACAGTTCTTGAGGCTAGCAAGTCCAAAATCAAGGCACCAGTAAATTTGGTGTCAGTTCCTGGTGAAGGCCTGCTTCCCAGTTCACAGATGGCTATATTTTCACTGTCTTCTCACATGGCAGAAGGGCAAGAGAGCTCTCTGGAGTCTTTTTCATGAGGGTACTAATTCCATTCATGAGGGCTCTGCCCTCCTGACCTAATCACTTCCCACAGGCCCCACCTCCAAATACCATCACATTGGAAATTAGGTTTCAACACATGAATTTTAGGGAGCACCAATATGCAGTGCATAGCAATTCCTGTGAATGACTGAGTATAGGAAGGTAGATTAGAAGGCCTGGGCTTTGTTTCATTCTCATGGAAAAACACAACCGTGGGTCTCATTTCTTGAATCTTTCCTATGTGCCAGGCCCTGTGCTGTGCTAAAGTCTTTACAAATATCACCTCATTTAATCATCCAAACACCATAGAGGGAGGGTACTTGATGTGGTTTGGCTGTGCCCCCACCCAAATCTCACCTTGAATCGTAATAATCCCCATGTGTCAAGGGCACGACCAGGTGGAGATAATTGAATCATTGGGGCCATTTCCCCCATTCTGTTCTCATGGTAGTAAATAAGTCTCATGAGATCCGATGGTTTTATATATGGAAGTTACCCTGCACAAGCTCTTTTGCCTGCCACCATGTAAGACGTGACCTTGCTCCTCATTAGCCTTCCACCATAATTGTGAGGCCACCCCAGCCATGTGGAACTGTGAGCCAGTTAAACCTCTTTCCTTTATAAATTGCCCAGTCTTGGGTATGTCTTTATTGGCAGCATGAGAACAGACTAATACAGTACTCTTATTACCTCTACTTTGCATGTGAGATAACTGAGCCACAGAAAGGATGAGTAATGCTGACCAATCGGCTGGGTATTTGGATGATTCAGGAAATTCACCCCACATGCATTTTATCAGATTTTAGTAAAACTTTAAATTTTGAAATCTTTGTATTTCTTAACAGTCATTTAGAGGAAGAATTATTTAACTGATATTTGAGGCAGTCTGTCATTGACATCATCCCTACTGCTAAATTAATTGCTAACCTTCCACTGGCTTTAACATTTGGCTTCCTCACTGGGAGCACGAATTGGACAGATTTTCACAGTGCTGCTTTTGATTGACAGCACTGGCTTAATGGTGGGTATAAGTGGAAGGAACTAAGAAATTCTACCTTATCTTTTATTAACTTTAACAATGTCCCATGTGTGAGTATAGCACAATCCCTACTCGGCAGGGAGATGGAACGTACACAGATAACTCTGGAAAGAGAGAGATCCAGTTTGGTTTCTTTTCAGTCTGTTTTATGGTCCTAAAACTACTACAAAAAATAATTAAAGCTTTACTCTACTTTCACAGTTCCTGGACCTTCAGCTTCATTGACTTTTGTCTCTGTTTGTTTCTAATTTTTCGATCCATTGGACATATTCTATCTTCAGTAATAGTTTCACCTTTGAAATTTTAAGAGTCAATTGAAACTCTTCCACTGAATCTTTTCCCCCCCTTTCGACTCATGAAATCCTCTGGCCTTGTGAGGTATCACAGCTGTGACATATCACAACTCTATCTCAGTTGAGCAATTTTCCTGTGGCTTCTCTTCATTCCCATTGCAGTCTGATTCACTTGTGTCATTCTCATAATTTTCTCATATGCTCCCGTAGTTCTTTTCCACCCAAATTATTGTTCCATTCTATGCATCCACAACTTATGCAATCTTTATGATTTTCTTTTTGCATTTGTATACCCATGAATTTTGTTCCTTTAACAGCTATTTATTATCTACTCTGCACCAATCATCAGATGTAGTGGTGAAAAGATGGACAAAATTTCTACTCTCAGCTTACATTTTGGTGATGGGAGATGGACAATCAACCCAGGTCAATGACAGATGCTGGAGCAGAACACATAGACATACAGGTGGGGGCCACTGCTTATCTAGGGTTTCCAGTTTCACTGAGGCCCTCAGCGATACTCATCTATTTATATTGTCTTTGATCTGCATTTTCTCCTGTTCCTTTCAGCAAATACTCTTTACTACTCATGCCATTATCTTGTCCCATCATGTTTAATAATAGCAGATAATCTTTGCTTATACTTCTCTGGTAAAAAGAGGTTATCAGTCATGGACTCCATTAATTTCACAACTCCTCTCCCTCCAGAGGCAATCATTTATATCACCACTTTTCACTCCCTCTTTCTCCCTTCCTGGTCAAGGTGAACCTCTCCACCTAGCTAATTAATCTCATTTATTCTGGTCACAGGACTTTTCATTATCTTTTTTTTCTAATATATCCATTATTTTCAATCCTCCCCATTAGCTTCTTCCTGCTAGCCTAGAAACATAATTTCTCGTGTTCATCCTTTAGTAATAATGGCTATCATTTATAGAACATTGCTCCATGCCACATACCTAGCTCTCATCTAATTTCACCCTCACAACAACCCAGCAAGGCAAGTATTACTATCTCTATTTAACTGAATTGGAAACAGACACAGAAGGAATAGCTACCTTTCCCAAGTTCACATGGCTTTTTAAGTGGTAGAACTGAGGTTCAAATTGAAGTTTGTTTGACCCTAAGCCTGAATTCTTACTACACCTGAATCCTCTGCATTTTGAAAGAACAGCTCTTTCTAGTTGCTGTCTGAGATCTCTCCTTTTCTTTCAGAGGCAAGTTTCTTAAAATTGTGTCTCCATTCCCAACCCTCTTTAATCAGGTTTTGCCCCACGATTCTGTGGTGCTTAGGTCACCATTGGCCTCCCAATTCCTAAATCCAAGGGACACTTTAAGTCTCAATCTTATGTGAACTCTATGTACCACATGGATTTGCTGTCCCTCAGAATTCTTGCCTTCCCTTTGGCTTCCATAATATTGTTCTATGCTGGTTCTCTTATGTGATAACCATGGCCTCTAAGTCTCCTGTCTCTCATCATTCTTTAAGTATTAACAGTCTCTGAGGTTCTTTTCTCAGTGTTCTCTCCCTTCCTCTTTCTTCATTTTTCTCTTTTTGATTTGATATTCAGAAGTCTTCCTGAATAATCTTCATTCCCATTTTTCACTCTTAAACTATATCTTTAGCTCTGACACCAATTAAAATAAAGACTGAAAAATATTCACTAAAATGAGCACTCTAGAGGTCTTTGTTGACCTCAGCTACTTCTCTATTGGTGCAGTGGTGGGACAGAGCCATGAAGGGCAGGCTGAGGAGTGGGAAGGAAGTGAGGAAAAGGAAACAGTAAGGGTAAACAACTATTGACAAACATGGCTATGAAAGGAGGCTAAAGCGTGTGATCCTTAGGCAGAAGGGCCACCTCCTTCATCAGAAGGAAGGACGATTATGCAGATGCAGGTATATTTGCTGAGAAGGAGGGAGATCCTGCCTATGAGGCAAGGTAGGAGAGTAGGTAAGTGGGGGATATTGCTGCCTTTGGAAAACACATTCTGCCACATGGTGTTGGGGAACAAAAAGCACACCAACCCTAGGTGATTGGTGTATGAGAGAATAAAGCACCTCCATTTGAGATAATTAGGTGGGAGTAGGTATCCTCAGGAAGAGCCAGCTTTTAGTTAATGCAGGGAAATGGAGGAAACCCTTTAATGCAAGGGGAAGTTGAGGTTGAAGGGAGCAATCTGATAGTAGAGTGGTGACTTGAGAGCTTAAGTGAGTGATATGGTTTGGCTCTGTGTCCCCACCTAAATCTCATCTTGAATTATAGTCCCAATAATCCCCATGTGTTGAGGGAGAGACCTGGTAGGAGGTGATTGGATCATACGGGTGGTGTCCCCCATGCTGTTCTCATGATAGTGAGTGAGTTCTCACAAGATCTTATGGTTTTATAAGTATCTGACAGTTCCTTTTTCACACACTTTCTCTATCACCTGCCACCACATAAGATGTGCCTGCTTCCCCTTCTGCCTTGATTATAAGTTTCCTGAGGCCTCCCCAGCCATGAGGAACTGTGAGTTGATTAAACCTCTTTGCTTTATAAATTACCCAGTCTTGGGTATGTCTTTATAGCAGTGTGTGAACAAACTAACACAGTAAATTGGTGCCAGGAGTTGGGCACTGCTATAAAGATACACAAAAATGTGGAAGTGATTTTGCAACTGGTTAACAGGCAGAGGTTGGAACAGTTTGGAAGGCTCATAAGAAGACAGGAAGATGTGGGAAAGTTTGCAACTTCCTAGAGACTTGTTGAATGGCTTTAACCAAAATGCTTATAATGATGTGGACAATGAAGCCCAGGCTGAGGGGGTCTCAGATGGAGATGAGGAACTTCTTGAAAATTAGAGCAAAGGTCCCTCTTACTATGCTTTAGCAAAGAGACTGGCAGCATTTGGCACCTGTCCTAGAGATATGTGGAACTTTGAAATTGAGAGAGATGATCTGAAATTGGAACTTATGTTTAAAAGGGAAGCAGAGGCTGGGCACGGTGGCTCATACCTGTAATCCCAGCACTTTGGGAGGCCAAGGCAGGCAGATCACGAAGTCAGGAGATCGAGACCATCCTGACCAACATGGTGAAACCCTGTCTCTACTAAAATACAAAAAAAAAAGTAGCCGGGCATGGTGGTATGTGGCTGTAGTCCCAGCTACTTGGGAGGTTGAGGCAGGGGAATCGCTTGAACCTGGGAGGCAGATGTTGCAGTGAGCAGAGATCACACCACTGCACTCCAGCCTGGATACAGAGTGAGACTCTGTCTCAAAAAAAAAAAAAAAAAAAGAAAGAAAGAAAAAACAAAAATGGAAGCAGAGCGTAAATGTTTAGAAAATTCGCAGCCTGACGATGAGATAGAAAAAAAACCATTTTCTGGAAAGATATTCAAGCTGGCTGCAGAAATTTGCACAAGTAACGAGGAGCCAAATGTTAATTACCAAGACAATGGGGAAAATTTCTCCAGGTCATGTCAGAGATCTTGGTAGCAGCCCCTCCCATCACAGACCCTAAGGCCTAGGCAGAAAAAAATCGTTTCCTGGGCTGAGCCCTGGGCCCTGGGCCCAGGGCCCAGCTGCTGTGTGCAGCCTCAGGACTTGGTGCCCTATGTCCCAGCCGTTCCAGCTCCAGCCATGGCTAATAGAGGCCAAGCTACAGCTCAGACCACCACTTCAGAGGGTACAGCTCAGACCACTACTTTAGAGAGTGCAAGCCCCAAGCCTTGGCAGCTTCTACATGATGTTGGGCCTGTGGGTGCACAGAAGTCAAGAATTGTGGTTTGGGAACCTCCACCTAGATTTCAGAGGAGGTATGGAAAGGCCTGAATGTCCAGGTAGAAGTCTGCTGCAGGGGTGGAGTCCTCATAGAGAACCTCTGCTAAGGCAGTGTGAAAAGGAAATGTGGGGTTGGAGCCCCCACACAGAGTTCCCACTGGGGTACTGCCTAGTGGAACTGTGAGAAGAGGGTCACTGTCCTCCAGACCCCAGAATGGTAGATCCACTGATAGCTTGCACTGTACACCTAGAATAGCCACAGGCACCCAGCCTGTGAAGGAGCTGCTTAAGGCCATAGGAACCCATCCCTTGCATCAGTGTGCCCTGGATGTGAGACATGGAGTCAAAGGAGATCATTTTAGAGGTTTAATGACTGCCCTGCTGGATTTTGGACTTGCATGGGGCCTGTAGACCCTTTGTTTTTGCCAATTTCTCCCATTTGGAATAGGTGTATTTACCCAATGCCTATACCCCCATTGTATCTTGGAAAGAACTAACTCGTTTTTTATTTTACAGGCTCATAGGCGGAAGAGACTTGCCTTGTCTCAGATGACACTTTAGACTATGGATTTCTGAGCTAATGCTGAAATGAATTAAGACTTTGGGGGACTGTTAGGAAGGCATGATTGGTTTTGAAATGTGAGAAGACATGAGATTTGGGAGGGGTCATTGGTGGAATGATATGGTTTGGCTCTGTCCCCACCCAAATCTCATCTTGAATTGTAATCCCTGTAATCCCCATGCGTCAAGGGAGAGACCTGGTGGAAGGTGATTGGATCATAACGGCGGTGTCCCTCATGCTGTTCTCATGATAGTGAGTGAGTTCTCATGAGATCTTTATGGTTTTATAAGTGTCTGACAGTTCCTTCTTCACACACATTCTCTCTCTCTCACCTGCTGCCATGTAAGACATGCCTGCTTCCTTTTCCACCATGATTATAAGATTCCTGAGGCCCCCCAGCCATGTGGAACTGTGAGTCAAACCTCTTCTCTTTATAAATTACCTAGTCTCAGGTATATCTTTATAGGAGTGTGAAAACAGACTAATACAGGGAGGAAAAGGTTAAGTTATTGAGCTGGTACAAGGAAGAAAAGAGTATTAGGGTGACAGTAATGCTTACAGAATAGATTAAAGGAGCAGGAGGTGGACACTTTGGGATTTGAGAACAGGGATGAAAGGTATGTCTGCATCTAGTCCTGATAGTCTCCTGTTGGAAGGTGGGCACTGAACCCAAAGAGTAGGTATCCTGGCTCCGTGAACTCAGGGTAACTTCAACCTGGCCTCAGAGGTTTAAGGGCACATGGCTTGGAGAATAAAGGAGCCTGCAAGACTAGGTGTCTTGGAACATCAGTCTGGTCTTTCTGTGCTCTGGTGAGTGAAGCCTCCCCCAGTGGAGGGAAGCTTTTGAGGCGAGGACCATGCATTACTTACTTTTTTATCTAGCATCTAGAGTGTTAAGTGTATCCAGTCACTTAAAAATAGTTGAATAATTTAAAGAATTAATGACAACACATCTATTCAAGCCCCAGTTTGCTAAAGCCAAAACTTCCACTGATAGCATGCTACCTTTCAATTCTTTGTTCCTGGGACCTATAACCAGAGAGCTAAAGGGACATTTCCTCTTAGGTGATGTGTAAACAGCACAAAGTGTTGAAAAAAACCTGACAGTTTCTCAGGGAGTTTTATCAAAATAAACATTCAAATCAGATATTTCAGGCCAAATTACATGACTCAATGTAATTACTAGAAATCTACTCCATTCCATGCTGCCTAAGGCATATGGCTTGTCTTCAAAATGTAAAAAGCCACAAACCTTTAGGATGAATGCTGTACTGCAGAATTTGTGACAATGTGCTTGATTAGCAGCTGCTACCAATTAGGCAGATATCTGTGAAAACGATAACTCTCTTAGGGCCAACTCATGCACAAAAGACATACTTAACAATGTAAGGCCATAGGAGCAGATTGGCATGGTCTAAAAATATACTTGTGAGATTTTGTTTAGGAGAAAAAAAAATGTTGCCTTGGTATCTGTTGCAACTCCCATCCCATTGCCTACAGTACACATAGAATCTTTTAATAAATATATTTAACTCTTTATATACCTGTCAAAATTCAATTGCTGCAACATAATATTTTCTCATGAATTCAAATTTTGGGCATATCCTGCTATAAGGAAACACAAATTTCTCAATTCTGAGAATATAAAGCCCCCAAATAAAGGAGTGATTATTCACATTACCAAAAGGATATGCTTTTACAAAAGACACACAAAGATAGTTTTCCTTAAATAGTGAGTTCTTGCTGGATATTTAAAATACAACTTGAATCTCAACAAATGTTTAAAAATTGAAATTATGTCAACTATCTTCTCAGACCAACAATGGAATAAAGCTATAACTTAACACCAAGAAGAACTTTGAAAACTGTACAAATACATGGAAATTAAACAATATGCTCCTGAAAAACCACTGGGTCAATGAAGAAATTAAGACAGAAAATTTAAAATTTTGGAAACAAACAAACAAAAAAGGAAACACAGCATACTACAACCTGTTTGATATAGCAACACCAGTGCTAAGAGGGAAATTTATAGCATTAAGTGCCTACATCAAAAAAGTAGAAAGATGACAAATTAAATTCCAATGATATAATTCAAGGAACTAGAAAAGCAAGAACATAGCAAACCTCAAACTAGACGAAGAAAAAAATGACAAAGATCAGAGCAGACCTAAGTGAAACAGAGAGAAAAAAAACCCAAAACAAAAACAAGGAATCAACAAAACAAAAAGTTGGTTTTTTGAAAAGATAAAATAAAATGGATAAACTGCTAACTAGACTAAGCAAGAAGAGAGATAAGCCAAATTAACAAAATTAGAAATGAAAAAGGAGATATTACAACTGATATTACAGAAATACAAAATATCATCAGAGACCATTAAAACAACTATACACCCACAAACTAGAAAACCTAGAGGAAATGGATAAATTCCTGTAAATATACAACCTCCCAAATTGAACCAGGAAGAAATAGAAAACTTGAACAGACCAATAATGAGTAACAAGATTGAATCAGTAATTAAAAATTTTCCAACAAAGGAAAGCCTAGGACCAGATGGATTCACAGCTGAATTCTACTAAGCATATAAGGAAATAGTAACACTAATTCTCCTGAAACTGTCCCAAAACATTGAAGAGAGAAAATTCTCCCAAACTCATTCTATGAGGACTGTATCACCCTGATACCAAGCCAGACAAAGATGCACAAAAAAAGAAAACCACAGACCAATATCCCTGAAGAATATGGGCCAAATAGACTCAATAAAATACTACCAAACCAAACCCAAGAGTACATCAAAAAGATAATACACCTTGATCAAGTGGGTTTTTACCAGGGATTGCAAGGATGGTTCAACATATACAAATCAATAAACATGATACATCACATCAACAGAATTAAGGATAAAACCATATAATCATCTCAGTAGACACAGAAAAAGCATGTGGTATAATTCAGCACCCCTTCATGATAAAAACTCAACAAATGAGGCATAGAAGGAGCATACCTCAAATTAATAAAGGCCATATACAACAAACCCACAGCCAACATCATACTAATGAGGAAAAGTTGGAAGCATTTCCTTTAACTGGAACAAGACAAGAATGCCTACTTTCACCACTTCTATTCAATATAATATTGGAAGTCCTAGCCAGAGCAGTCAGGCAAGAGAAAGAAATAAAAGGCATTCAAATTGGAGAAGAAATCAAATTATCCCTGTTTGCCGATGACATAATCCTATATCTGGAAAAAAAAACCTAGAGACTCCACCAAAAAATCATCATACAAAAATCAGTAACATTCCTATGTACCAATAAAAATCTAGCTGAGCATGAAATAAAGAAGGCAATCCTATTTATAATAGCTACAAAAATGGCTAGGAATAAATATAACCACGGAGGAGAAATATCTGTACAAGAAAAACTACAAATCACTGATGAAAGAAATTGTAGATGACACAAACAAATAGAAAGACATTCTATACTCATAGATCAGAAGAATTAATATTGTTAAAATAACCACATTGCAAAAAGCATCTATATATTCAGTGCATTGCTTATCAAAATATCAATGTCATTTTTCACAGAATTAGAAAAAATATCCTCAAATTCATATAAAACCAGAAAAGAGCCCAAATAGCCAAAGCAATCCTAAGCCAAAAGAACAATGCTGGCATCACATTATCTGACTTCAAATTATATTACAAGGGTATAGTAACCAAAATAGTGTGGTACTGGTAAAAAAAAATAGACACATAGATCAATGGAACAGAATAAGGAATCCAGAAATAAAGCCACATATTTACAACCAACTGGAAGCTGACAAGAACATACAATGGGGAAAGGACACCCTCTTCACTAAATGGTGCTGGGAAAATTGGATTGCCATATGCAGAAGAATGAAACTGGACCCCTATATCTCACCGTATACAAAAAATAAGATGAATTAAAGACTTAAAAATAAGACTGCAAACTGTAAAAATACTAGAAGAATACCTAAGGAATAATCTTCTAAACACTGGTCTAAACAATGTATTTATGACTAAGACCTCAAAAGCAAAGGCAACAGAAACAAAAATAGACAAACAGGACTTAATTAAAAAGCTTCTGCCAGCAAAAGAAATAATCAAGAGAATGAACAGACGACCTGCAGAATGGGAGAAAATATTTGCAAACTATTCATCTCACAGGGGACTAATATCCAGAATAGACAAGGAATTCAAACCACTCAACAAAAAAACCTCAATAATCTCATTAAAAAGTGGGCAAAGGAATGAATAGACATTTCTCAACAGAAGACATACAAATGGCCAAGAGGTATATGAAAAAAATTCTCAACATCACTAATCATCAGAGAAATGCAAATTGAAACCACAAGGGATATCATCTTACCTGAGACAGAATAGCTATTATTAAAAAGACAGAAAATAACAGGCATTGGTGTGAATGAGGAGAATAGGGAATGCTTATACACTGTTGCTGGAATGTAAATAAGTAAAACCTCTGTGGAAAACAGTATGGAGATTTCTCAAAGAACTAAAAATAGAGCTACCATTAAACCGAGCAGTTCCACTACTGAGTATCTACAGCCAAAGGAAAAATCAATTTATCAAAAAGATACCTGTACTTGAATGTTTATTGCAGCACTAGCAAAGATACAGACTCAACCTAAGTGCCATCAATGGTTGAATGGATACAGAAAATATGATATATTTTCACAATGGAATAACTATTCAGACACAAAAAAGAATGAAATTATGTCTTTTGCAGCAACATGGATGGAACTGAAGGTCATTATCTTAAGTGAAACAAGCCAGACACAGACAGTCAAATATTGCATGATCTTACTCATAAACGGGCACTTAAAAATGTATGTGAATGGATGTAGAGAGTGGAATGATAGATACTGGAGACTTGGAAGGGTGAGGGGATGGAGGAGGGTGGATGATGAGAAATTACCTAACGGGTATCATGTACTTTACTAGGGTGATGGATACCTTAAAGCCCTGATTTGACTACTAGTCAATGTAACAAAATTGCACTTGTATTTCAGAAATTTATACAAACAAAAAAATAGGCTGGCTCACACCTGTAATCCCAGCACTTTGGGAGGCAGAGGTGGGCAGATCGCTTGAGCCCAGGAATTCAAGACCAGCCTGGGCAACAAAGTGAGACCCCATCTCTACAAAAAATACAAAAATTAGCCTAGCGTAGTGGCCTGCACCTGTAATCCCAGCTATTCAGGAGGCTGAGGTGGGATAATGACTTGAGCCTGCGAGGCAGAGGTTGCAGTGAGCCGAGATTGCTCCATTGCACTGCAGCCTGGGTGACAGAGTCAGACCCTGCCTCAAAATAATAAAAATAATAACTTGATTTATAGAATTTAAATAAGTATAACCATAAAATTCTTCAGGAGACACATTAGTATGAAGTGAAATATACATGCATATTTCAGTAACAGCCATATTATTTTGTTGACAAGCCTACACTAGTTAAATTTATTGAATTCACTTAGATTTTTTTCGTGCTTTTTCAGGACCCAAAATAGTTTTGGTTTGTTTAAAATCTTCCAGCTTTGAGATTGATAACTCTTAGAAATCCCTCTATTCAACTGCAGTAGCATCTGATCTTCTAAATGTAGTTCCATGCTGGAGGATGCAATTTAGCCCAGATAAATCCAGTTTGCCAACCTTAACAACTAGATTTGCTCATCTTATTCAATAACTGCTCAGTTATTTTTGACAACACACTCAGCTTTTCTGAATTCAAATTTTTTCTTTTAAAGAAGGAGTAATAACTATTTGCCAGTTACTTGCCTCACAGGGGTGTCAAGCACCTGTGAGATCACAAGTTCTCATGGGCCATTACAGCTAGTAATCAGCAGCTTTGTTCTTTAGGTTTTTGGAGTGAGAAACTGAGACCCAGACAATTTGGGGGAAGAGTTTCATGGCCTTTGGAGGTGTTGACACAGAAGACAGTCTTTAAGATGCCTAAGAAATGGAGGAATGGTCATAACATTGTCAAAGAACATGTCATAATAATCTTTTAAAAGCTCCTGTAAAGTAGCATAACCATATTGGTGTTTCATTTGTGATATTGAGCAACAGTACTTCTTGCTCCAGGATAATATTATATGACCTTTTGGACTGAAAGGGTAAGGTGACATTTGGTTTTTGATAAATATTATGATTTCTGAGTCTGCCTCAATATTCTCCAATGTTTTAGTTCCCTTCCATTGCAGAATTCAAATGCACCTTTAAAAAGTGGCTGAATCTGATTTACTATAAGTCTACAATATGTCCTTGTGTGTAGCTGAATTGCCCTCTGTGAGATGGAAGACCAGTAGCTTAACAACAGTTCCTTTTAATATTTTATTACTTCCCTTAACAAGGCCTTGTAGCCAAGAACCTACATTTTACTTTTAGTTTAAAGGTCTCAGAAAACTTTGGAAAAGTCAGGAATCAAAATATAGAAGATAAAACCCATCAAACAGCAACAAATCATAATGCTATTCTAAGACCTACTTCCAACAAAAGGCTCTTTGTTCTTTACCTAGGTCGACGTTTATTTCTTTCTGAACTTTCCTGGAGGATCATCGGCCATACTCCAGCAGAAGGGTGGATTTGAAAAAATAACGTAAGTTTGACGCTGTGCTCCTTACCTTGGTGAGAAGGGCGGGAGGGTCAAGAGAATGTCTTCCTAGTCAGCCGGTGATTGGTCCCACCTGGCTTATTTGCTTCCTGGTCTTTCCTACTGTCAGAATCCAGGCAGCTGCTGGTGACTGTGATGAGGAGGTGGGCAAGCAAATGGGTTAAGTCTTCCTTCGGCCAAGTAAATGCATACACAGGCCCCCAAAGAATGTTCCCTCAGTTTTTTGCCTGAGGTTCTAGTGACATAATCCAACCAGTACAGATAGACCCTCTCTTGCTGACTTCCCTGTATGTGTTGTCCACAGGTTTTGTCTATGAGACTTTGCTCACAGACTCTCTAGATGTCTCAGGTGCTCCACTTGGCATCAGTCAGCATCCCCCTTTATCCTTTCCCACATTTCTTGTTTGCCTCCTCAGCTT
The DNA here is from genome assembly GCF_000001405.40 of Homo sapiens. Classification (NCBI taxonomy): domain Eukaryota; kingdom Metazoa; phylum Chordata; class Mammalia; order Primates; family Hominidae; genus Homo; species Homo sapiens. The sequence goes on from NC_000014.9 coordinate 58,910,777, forward strand.
AGGCCCTTGGCCTTGTGGTCAATTCTCTTCTTCTGAATTTTCTTGATCCTCATCTGTGGAGCTTCTGGCAGGGGTGGTCATTCTCTCCTGAGGCATGACAATGCTAAAAGAAAGCTCAAGGACTAAGGTTGTGATGGAACAGGAAAGAGTAGACTCTTTCAGGGAAAAACAGATTGCTTGCAAATAAAGGATAGTTCTTTTTTAGCTTATATTCTTACCTTATTATGCCAAAAGAGGGTCTGGCTCTGCTCAGACTCGAGATTCATAACAAAACTTCCCATTCAATTACTTTATGATTGGGTTGCCCAGTATTTAGGAAAAGAAGGAGAGGCGAGAAAACTTTAATTAACCCCCATAACAATATTTTTTATTTATTTTGTTGAGATGGGATCTCACTCTGGAGAGGGAGATTACTCCAGAGGCTGAAGTGCAGTGGTGCAATCTTGGTTCATTGCAACCTCTACCTCCTGGGCTCAAGTGATCTTGCCTCCTCAGGTTTGCACCACCACACTCGGTTAATTTTTTGTATTTTTGGTAGAGATGGGTTTCACCATGTTGCCCGGGCTGGTCTTGAACTCCTGAGCTCAAGTGATCTGCCCACCTCAGCCTCCCAAAGTGCTGGGATTAGAGGCATGAGCCACCACGTCTGGCCTAACCTCATAACGATAACTTATTTTGTACAGCACTTTACAAATTACTAAGTTCCACCCTAAATACAATAGATCTGAAATTGCTTTCATGTGTTTCACTGCATATTGCACTCTGAAAAAACTTGTGACATAGGCAGGAGAGCTTATGAATCTTCTCTGTACAAGCTCAGGTGGTTGTTTCCCCAACGTTGCATAGTTAGAAAATGGCAAAGCTGGAGTTGGAACTCATACCTTTTAACTCTGTCCAGTGTTCTTTCCAATTTTTGAGTAATTATAACCTAGATATTTATTAGTCATAAGCTTCCCTTGTTCGGGGAGGCTGGTATGGAAGTCTTAGGGACCAGAAATCAGATGCACTTTTTTTTCTCCCTTCAACTCTCCCTGCTTCTTCAAATTTCTTTTTCCAGATATCAAGTTGGTATGCTTATTAGTTTCCATCATTTTTTTCCTTCTTTCCACTTTGTGTTTAGGCCTTCACTTTCTCTTACCAGGCCTATCATCATGCATCCAAACTGGTGCCCAATAGTGCCTTAAGCATGATTTTTCCCCAAAGTAACTTCAATTATAAAAGTCCCTGACTTTAAATTCTTCGATGGCTCTCTTTCACCTAGAGCAGTATCTCCAGGCCCCTGAAGTAACATTCTTATGAGAATAATGAGGTGATGCTCAAGTTGTCTAGGTGTTTCCTTGAATTTTGTGTTTCAAATATCAATTTTTAAAAATCTACAAAAATAATATGTGTATTCTGGATCATTTAATTGACTGTCTTATCACTATCATTCAATTTCACTGTGTTATAGATCTTTATGATCCTGTTGGTGCCAAATTATACATCTTTAAATGTCATAAGTTAATGAAAAATGTACACAAGTGGACATAATTTGTAATGATGAGTTTGACCCACGTGAAGGTCAAATGCTGTGACAGCAAACTTTTTAAAGAACGGTTTTCAAACTACCTATTAGTAGCCTAATAGAGACAAGTCTGAGGAGAATTTAGTTACTACATGTCACATCACAGCCCGGGCATGCCTAATTAAATTACAAACACGAGCAACAACCACAAAACCAGAGCCTTTGCATTTTGTAATACAGTCAGGTGCTGCATAATGATGTTTCAGTCAACAATGGACTGCACATATGACAGTGGCTTCATAAAATTATAATGGAGTTGAAAAATTCCTGTCACTTAGTGACGTCGTATACCTTCCATGGGACAAGATGTGCAGGTAGGAGACAGTGATATTGATGATCCAGACCCTATGTAGACCTAGGCTAATGTGTGTGCTTATGTCTTAGTTTTTCACAAAAAAATTAAATAGTAAAAATAACAAATTAAAAAACAACAATGCTTATAGAGTAATGATCTATAGAAAGAAAATCTTTTCATACAGCTGTACAGCGTATTTGTGTTTTAAGCTGTGTTATTACAAGTTGAAAAGTTAAAAAAATAAAAAGTTCCTTATTGAAGAAGGAAAAAAGTCTTTAAATAAATTTAGTGTAGCCTAAGTGTACAGTGTTTATAAAGACTACAGTAGTACAATAACATCCTAGGACTTCACATTCACTCACCATTCACTGACTCACCCAGAGCAACTTTCAGTCCTGCAAGCTCCATTTGCGGTGAGTGCCCTATACAGGTGTACCATTGTTTATCTTTTATACTGTATTTTTACAGTACCTTTTTCTATGTTTAGATATGTTTAGACACAAAAAGACTTACCACTGTGTTATAATTGCCTGTAGTATTCAGTACAGTAACATGTTGTACAGGTTTGTAGCTTAGGAGCAACAGGCTATCCTGTAGAGCCTAGGTGTGTAGGAAGCTACACCATCTAGGTTTGTGTAAGTACTCTCTATGATGTTTGCACAATGACTAAATAGCCTAACAAAACAGTTCTGAGAGCATATCCCTGTCGTAAAGTGATGCATGGCTTTATTTTTCTCTTGGTGAGTGGTGTTTTCATTTCACCAAAACATTTAACACAATAAACAAATATTAATTTGAACTTTATTGGTTTTATACATTTCTTATAAAATTCTTAGACTCATATAACATTGTTTAGATCCACACAAAATCTATAAGCCAGAAGAGTTTAGCCTCGTTTTGAATTTCGCATGTAAGTTCTCCTATTTTTCAAAAGTTTATTGTCCCTCCTTACTGGGTCTTTCTTTTGTGGAAAAATTATACTTCCCACCCTGCTGACTTTAGCTTTTTGGCTGTGCCGCTTGATTTGCCAAATAAAAGTGAGTGGGAGTGATATGTGTTATTTTCAAGTGGAAGCTTTCATAGCCAATGAGTGTTCTGCCCTCTCCCTTTTTCCTTCCTGTCATAAGCCTGGTAATATCCCAGAAAGGGATTTCTCCATCAGCCTAGATCCCAGAATGAAGATTAGGTAGAATCAAAGAGCCAAGAGCCTCAGCCAACGATGAAGGGTACGTAATATGACTGGGAAATGCCTAAATATGCAAATGTAAAATATGTGGGTATATGTAAATGTACCATAGGTGTATATATGTACATATGTGTGTGCGTATATGTGCACATATGTCCCTGTATACATTTGTATGTATCTATAGGTACCTATATTTCATGATTTAACACTAGGGGTCAGGGATAGTTGTTTTCCTTTAGCAGGGGCTTTGTAAATCACTTAAGAAACACTGGCCTACAGAAAACATCTATATTGTTTAGCTTCATACGTGTTTTTGAGATCTGCTGTAGCCTATCTCTCCAATGTCATCTTCTTTACCCTATTTTTCTATCATTCTCCCTGATCTTAATTGTATTCTGTTCATGGAAGCATTTCTACCTTTGTTCATTCTTTTTCTTATCAGAGGAACTTGGGAAAATAAAAATAGTCTGATGAATTTTGTGATGATAACTAAGGTGAGGCGAGCCTGCTTAAGTTCCAGAGGATGGCAGAGCTGGTTTCCGCTGCCGTCTGCACGAATGAGGGTTGCTAACAAGTGGTAACCATGGAGTGTGTGAGTTTCTCCACCTTCCCTAGCCCGAACTGGCCTCACACAGAGCTGCCAGCAAGTAATGAAGTCCCCAGACAAGTGCACCAGCTTCTGAACAATGAAGAGTTTGACCGTATTAAATTAACAAGCCCCTTATAAAATGTCTTTGGGTGAACTCTGTCTTTGAGTTCCCATAAACTGCACAAACAGGAGGTTCTGAGTTGTTGCATCGGAAGCCTGCCGCTCTGTTTCCAAATCATCCTTTTCTTAGATAGCTCAGGGACTGTGGTTAGGCAAATTAATCCTAGGAGAAGTTAAGCAATTGTGATCTTAGAGAAGAGATTCTGTGCCCTCAAGGCCCTGGCAACCACACACATCAAAATCTCGCATTTAATTTATATCAAGCATGGAATTAATAAGAGTCGGTGGTAATAAAGTGTCAGGGCAAGAAATGTAAAATATATATCATAAAATATTTATGTAATAAAAAATAATCCCCTTCACTAATATAACCCACATCTTTTCTCTTGATAGCACCTAGTAATGAAAGCATTTAAATCCCTGTAAGGGATTACTATACTCTATATGATACATGTAAAGATCCAAACATAGTCCACTTATCAAAAGCACAATATCCTGAAGTAAATGATAGAGAGGGCAAAATGTGCAGCTGGATACTTCTCAATTTCTAATGACAAATTCAGCATATATTCAATAAATTGTCTTTTCCAGAACATTTCTGAAATTTTTAAATGAATGCAGTGGGCAGAAAATTGAAATGTAATTGAGTGACATCTTCTAATCATATATGCAGGGTGGAAATGGGAAATATAAATGGGAAATATAAACAGGAAAGTCAGCTCCATGATTTCTTTTTTATCACTCATGTTAAATGGCTCTCTGTATTGTTTTAGCCACCAAACAAAGCCATCAAGGTTTTCTATGAAGGTAAGCTGGTTTTATCTTGGAAGGATGAGTTATAAATGATAGTATTGTATATGCAATTGTGAGTTTCCTATCTTTCTGCTGGCATATTATTTCATTTCAATTAAAAAAAATCTCCTCTAGAGAAGCTGTAATAAAATCAACACTGAATAAAAGGAATGTGATTAGAGAATGCAGGGTTTTAAACCATTTAATTTCGAGAGTTTGGAGACCCTCACTTCGTGTGTGTGTGTTTTGCAGTCTCCCATCATGACCTGGACTAAAGGGGGCTGCTAACAGTATTTGGCATTCCCGAGTGAGCACCTTTGGTGACACCTTCAAATGCTCAGTATATCTGTATGAAAAACACTCTTGCTTTATTTGCATGATTTTTTCCGTTGTAAGTTGTCTTAATAGAGTTTTCTGTGATAGGAATATGGAAATAGACATGTTATGATTCAAAAGCTGTCATCTTTTGTGGTCTAAGTTTTTGTTGACTGCATTTTCTTTCAGGAAATTACACTTAAGCCATCTTTCATAATTCCCTTGGAGTCTGTGCTGCTTGACCACATTATAACAAGATGCTTTTGATCCTTTGATAATTAAATGCTCTACTGAATGGTGAGAGAGACGGATCTGCCTTGTATTAAATTCTCCTCTAAGGAGAAAGGAGGTTAATGACACCTCCAGATAGTAATAGGTAGTATTACTATAAGATAATGAGCAAATTGCCACAGGCTGGGCCTGGTATCTTTATACCATGAATATAAAATAGCATTTTATCTTTTTACCATGAATGAGTAAAGCACATCATGGTTCAAATTTTGCTTTCAGAAGGAATGCAGGCATCTGTAATTCTGTGAGCCAACTGTATTAAGTGGTTAATTTGTAGCTATTAGCTCCATTTGCCATATAGATTTCACTGTAAAAATAGTATTCTATGAAAGCCTAAATTCAAGCCTATAGACATCTACCTGATTGCTGGGACCAGAACTGGCACACCTTCTCAAAAGCTGCAGCCTCTTAGAGGTCCTTGGGAGGAGGACAGTGTGATGGTCAGTTTCATGTATAAACTTGGCAGGTTGTAGTCTCCAGTTATTTAGTCAAACACTAATCTAGGTGCTGCTGTGAATTTGTAAATGTGGTTAACATCTAAACTCAGTTGACTTTAAGTAAAGAAGATTACCCTCAATAATAGCGGTGGGGCCGCATCCAGTCAGTTGAAAGCTTTAAGAGCAAAAACTGGTTTCCCAGAGAAGAAATTCTGCCTCAAGACTGTAACTTCAAGTCCTGCCTGAGTTTTCGGCCTGCCCTACAAATTTGGACTTGTCAGCTCCCACAATCATGTGAGCCAATTCTTTAAAAAAAAAAATGTGTGTGTGTGTGTGTGTGTGTGTATATATACACACATATATATTTAAAATAAAACATTTATATATCTATATATTTAAAATAAAACACACACGTTTTAAGTATATCTGTGTGTGTGTGTGTGTGTGTGTCTGTGTGTGTGTCCTATTGGTTGTATTTCTCTGGAGAACCCTGACTGATACATATGGTAAAAGAAAGATAAAGGCAGGTGACTTGCAAATCCCAGAAGAGCTTATTGGGCCCTTGATGCAAGCAGCTACCATGGACATGGACTTAGCTAAACCCAGCAGCCAGGAGTAAATTTTGATGAGAATTTTTACAGGAAAGTACCCTCCTCACTGCAGCATGTTTAACAAGCCCCTTCCAATTCAAACCATCTCTTTGCACATTTTGTCCATCCCATTATAAACAGCGAGCAATATGTTAAAAATGGAAGCAACATGCTCTCAAATACAATCTTTGTTATCAGTTTGAAGATGCTAGTGTCTAGTGTTCTAATCCATGACAGACATGAACCAGTGGCCATACAATATGGAAAAAGATCATTAAATGTTAAGTGCTTCCAAATTCTTGACATCAGAGGTGCTTCTTAAAATCACAGTGTTCTCTTCAATAGCTAACTTTTTTATCTCTTATCTCTGCACAGCTGAATGTCTTGAGAAACTTGCCTACAACTCATGGCCTTCATTTCCATGGTTGCTGCCCACTTTGTTACCCAGTGCGATATGGTCTTAGTCCTACAGACACTGTTTTTGTTAACCTAACCAATAACCTTCCTGTTGTTAAATCTGAAGTGTACTTAGTCTTTCTTTTACTTAATGTAGTAGTTTGATCAATTCACAAATATTGGCCCCACGCTTATGCTACAAATCTCTTCCTTTGTCTTCTGCAACCAGTTCTCTCTGTTTGCATCCTGTTCATCTGCTGGCATTCCTTCAGGCTCCTTACGCCGACATAGTCTGTCCTGTATTGAACAGTGTCCTCCAAGAGGAATGTTGAAGTCCTCAGCCCTGGTAGCTGTGATGTGATCTCACATGGGAATTGGGTCTTAGTAGATGTAATCGAATTAAGATGAGGTTATTAGGGTGGATCCTAATCTGACCGGTGGTCTTACAAGAAAAGGAAAGCACCATGTAAAGATTCACACAGAGACAAGATAGCCATGTGACAACGGAGAGAGAAGTTGGAGTGATGCATCTTCAAATCCAGGAACGCTAAGGATTGATGGCAAATACCAGAAGCTAGAAGAGGAAGAGGCAAGGAAGGATTCTCCTCTACAGATTTTAGAGAGAACATGGCCCTGACAACTGCTCGATTTCAGACTTCTAGCCTCCAGAACTACGAGATAATAAATTTTTGTTTTATTAAGCCACCTAGTTTGTGGTACTTTGTCACAGCAGCCCTAGGAAATTAAGAACAGGTCCCACAGGACGGCCTGAAAATCAAAGTGCTTTTAGTATGTTCTCTATTGGAAGTTGCTTCCTCCAGCTAATAACATCTAGACTCATGTGTGAGCGTTTCTTGTAGTGGAAACAGGAAAGGTATGCTTATGATGAGCTGACACATGCACAGACTATGACTGACTCATGTCAAACTTGGAAGTGCAGCCATTCAGGCCTGTGGTAGTGGGGGTTTACACTACCTATCTGTCGGGACTGTTCTATTCATGGATTTGCCCCGAATGGCACACATCAGTCTGCCTCTTGTTTGCTTATGGTATCTGGGGATTTGACAATGACAAAAGGCCAATATAGTCTCAGGAAAGATTCTCACTGCTATATTCTACTGTTGAGGCTTTCTAGCTCAGTCGCTTTCTGCAGCTGAATTTCAGTCGGTAATACATTCAGTAAGAAACATGTCCTTGGGCAACTCTATTCTCAATGGAATTGTCTGATGAAGTGGGCTCTGTTAACTACTCAGGAGGCTTCATATGCTTTGATTACTGCTCATGAGATTTCTATTTCTTCAAGGAGCTTAATGAGGTTTTTTCTGGGGGGCAAAAATCATAAATTTCCATTTTTTAGTAGCTCTGCTGGTAGGAGTACAAATCATACATCCCTTTCATGGCCCATGAAACAATGTTTCTCATTTTTTTCTCTTGTGAGGTAGCAATGCAGATGTCATCTGGTCCATCTAAGAAATATTGAGAAAAGCATAATTAAATATAAATATTAATTACCTTTTTAAAGCCATATACTTTAAAACATGTAATTTCTTAAGTTTGCAAAGTATGTGATGTTGAATGTGCCTGAAGTAGGAATCAATTTCAATGGCCAAATGAAGGATTTTATAGCTTTAAAATATCTGCATTCATTTACTTTTAAAATTATAGAGGAAGGACAAAGTCTTTTTAGTAAATTCTTACTTATTAAAATGATTTTTTCTCTACATAAATCTTCCTTGATTTATGTATTATTTTTGCTTCTTTCATTTAAAACTACTTTCATAACTTAAATGATTTGAACTGAATTCACGGTTGACAGCCAAGTGTTTTGATAACTTTCCCCCTTAGTTTGATGGCAAATACATCATTGTGTGCTCGGCTGCTTGTCAGAGCACCAACAGTGGCATCCATTTCTCTGTGGAGGCCAGGAATATAAAAAAATATGCAATCGGAAGCATTCTAAATGTAATGGCAAATTTAGCTGATAGAACGTGCAGAATACTAATGAGCAGTCTGCTGGGCCTGCTGTGCACTCGCGCATCACAGACTGAGAATAATGACCTTGCTCAAGACTTAAGCAGAGAGTCATTGCAGTTAGCAACAAACAGATGTCTCTGATTACACTCCAGCCACCTAACCTCTCCTGGGACCTTGACATTAGCTGTACACATGAAAACTACTACCTCAGTTCAGGTCACGTATTTGCTCACTGCTGGGGGTGGGTCACAGACTAGGGGAAAGGTGGGGGAACAACCTTTAAATTCCACAACAGTCAAGCCTTAAAATGTCTTACCATGTTTACAGACAGATTCTTGAAGTTAATTTGAAAAGTTAAGTAAAACATCTATTCACTACTTTCCCTTGCTGTTTACAACCTTTAAAAATTAAAAAAAAAAATAAAGCATCTCTTAAGAAACATCTGCCTTCTATAAAAATCAAAAAGGACTTCTTTAAACAAAAAGAAGGGAAAGTATGAATAGAATTGGTAAATAACTTCCTCAAGATCTTTTTCCCCCTGTGGGTATGACGCAGAAACAGAAAAGCTTTATTATTGATGGTAATCAAACTTTGCTAAGCACTTTCCTGATTCTCATTCAACAAAGCTCAGAAGTTGCTATCATTTATGTACTATTTTAGAGATGAGGAAAGTGATGTGGTAAAGCTCAGTTTGTTTAAATAGCTAGTGAGGAGCAGAACTAGGATTTGCACAGAAGACAACACAACTTCAGCACCTGAGTCTTAACTGCTTTATTTCATTGCTTTTCTAGTTTTTCAAATGGCTTTCACTATTAAAATAAAGTTACAATTTCCTGTTGGAAATCCAATTAAATGTACAAAAAATTCTCATGATTCAGCATGACAGATCCACTATCTTATGGCCGGTGAGACTATAAACAAAGGATCAAAAGTTGATTTAAATTAAAAAAAAATTTTAAGTCAGACAGTTATTTTGGAAGGTTGTACTTTAAACAGATTTTCTTGGATATATCATCCCGCTGCTGGATAGGATGTAGAAGAACGTGAAAGACTCTACTGCCACCGAGATAAGAAGAAATCACTGGAAAAACAAACAAACAAACCACTTTCTAGAACCATAAACCTTCTACATGAAACATAGGACAATATTTTTATGGCCCTTCAAAGGCAAAGATTTTGACAGGACAAAAAGCACCAACCATAAAAGAAAAAAAAATGATAAAACAACTTAATCAAAAAGTAAAGGTTCTGAATTTCAAAAGAAATCATTAATAAAATGAAAAGATAAGCCACAGATTGGGAGAAAATGTTCATAATATATGTATTTGACAAAGGACTTCTATCTAGGATATGTAGGAAACTCCTACAGCTCAATAATAAAAAGACAAACAACCCCAGCCCAATGTCAAAAGACTTAGACACTTAACAAAAGAAGATATATGTTAGACAATAAGCACAGAAAAAGGTGCTTAGCATCACTGTTAGTGTATATAAAGATATGAAAAAATTAAAACCACAATAAGATACCATTTTACCTACTCTAATGGGTAAAATGAAAAAGACTGAAATACCATATATTCAAGAGTGCAAAGGAACTGGCACTGTCATACATTGCTGGCAGAAATGTAAACTGATAAACCATTTTGTAAAACTGGTCTTTCCTTACAAAGTTAAATTTACACCTACTTTATGACATATCAGTTTCACTCCTAGTTTTTTTATCCAAGGAAAATTACATATGTCCAAAAAATGCTTGTGCAAGAATGTTTGTAGCAGCTTTATTCATAATTCAAACCAGAAACAACCCATTAACTCAGAATGGATAAACAAACTGTGGTATAGGCATACCATTGAATACTTTAGAAAACTGTACATCAATAAAAAGGAATCAGCTATTACTACGTGGAAGGACATTAATAAATCTTTCAAAACGTTATGTTGATTCTGTTGGTAGAAATCCAATCCGTGGCTGTGTGGAGTGGGTGAGGACTGGCTTCAAGGGAGCAAGAAGAAATTTTCTGGGGTTATGGAAATGATCTATATCTTGAATATTGTGGTGATTACAGAGGTGCTACTTATACACTTTTAAAAATATATTAGACTATACAATTCTGGAAGTCCTAGACAGAGCAATCAGGCAAGAGAAAGAAATAAAAGGCATCCAAATAGGAAACAAAGAAGTCAAGCTACCTCTCTTCACTGACAACATGATTCTACACCTAGAAAACCCTAACGACTCCACCAAAAGGCTCCTGGAACTGATAAAGAACTTCAGTAAAGTTTCAGGATACAAAATTCAATATACAGAAATCAATAGCAAACAAACTCCAATAGCATTTAAGCTGAGAGCAAAATCAAGAATGCAAAACCATTTACAATAGCCTCCCTGCCGCCCTCCCCTGCCACACACACACACACACACACACACACACACACACACACACACCTCCTAGGAATACATCTAACCAAGGGGGTGAAAATATCTCTACACGGAGAACTACAAAACACTGTTGAAAGAAATCACAGACGATACAAACAAATGGAAAAACATCCCATGCTTATGGATTGGAAGAATCAATATCATTAAAATGCCCAAAAGCAATCTACAGATTCAACACTATTCCTATCAAACTACCAACATCATTTTTCACAGAATTAGAAAACACCATTCTAAAATGAATATGGAACCAAAAAAGAACCTGAATGGCCAAAGCAATCCTAAGCCAAAAAAACATAACAAAGCCAGAGGCATCACATTACCTGACTTCAAGATATTCTATAAGCCTACTAAAATAGCATGGTACTGGCACGAACACAGACGAATGGAACAGAACAGAGACCCAGAAAATAAAGCCACACACCTACAGCCATATGATCTTCAACAAAGTCAACAAAAATAAGCAATGGGGAAAGGACCATCAATAAATGGTGCTGGGGTAGCTGTCTATCCGTATGCAGAAGAATGAAACTGAATCTCTATCTCTCACCATATACAAACATTAAAACTCAAGATGAATTAAAGACTTAAATGTAAGACCTCAAACCATAGGAATTCTAGAAGGAAACTTAGGAAACACCATTCTGGACATTAGTCTTGGGAAAGAATTTATGACTAAGTTCTCAAAAGCAATTGCAACAAAAACAAAAGCAAAAGAAACTATCAACAGAGTAAACAGACAACCTACAGAATAGGAGAAAATATTTGCAAACTATGGATTCAACAAAGGTCTAGTATCCAAAAACTATAAGAAGCTTAAATAATTGAACAAGCAAAAAACAAATAATCCCATTAAAAAGTGGGGAAAAAAACATGAACAGAGACTTCTCAAAAGAAGACATACAAGCAGCCAATAAACATGTGAAAAAATTTTCCTCATCACGAATCATCAGAGACATGCAAATCAAAACCACAATGAGATACCATCTCACACCACTCAGAATGGCTATTATTAAAAAGTCAAAAAACAACAGATGCTGGCAAGGCTACAGAGAAAAAGGAATGCTTATTGCTGTTGATGGGAATGTAAAGTAGTTCAGCCACTGTAGAAAGCAGTTTGGAGATTTCTCAACGAACTTAAAACAGAACTACCATTCAACCTGGTAATCCCATTACTGGGTATATATTCAAAAGAAAATAAATCATTCTACCAAAAAGATGCATGCATTCATATGTTCATTGCAGCACTATTTACAATAGCAAAGATGTGGAATCAACCTAGGTGCCCATCAATGGTGGACTGAATAAAGAAAATGTGGTACACATAAACCATGGAATACTACACAGCCATAATAAAAGAACAAAATCATGTTGTTTGCAGCAATGTGGATGCAGCTAGAGGCCATTATCTTAAGCAAATTAATGCAGGAACAGAAAACAAAATACCACATATTCTCACTTAAGTGGAAGCTAAACATTGGGTACTCATGGACATAAGGATGGCAACAATGGACCCTGGGAACTACAAGAGGGGAGGAAGAGAGAAGGGAAACGGTTGAAAAATTAATTATTGGATACTGTGTTCACCAGCTAGGTGACAGGATCGTTTGTATCCCAAACCTCAGCATCACACAGTATATCCATGTGACAAACCTGCACATGTATTCCCTGAATCTAAAATTAAAGTTGAAATTATATAAATAAATAGATTATCATGTAATTGACAATAATAAAATAATACATTTGTTTGATATTTTGCCATAAAAATAAACTGTACACTTCTATGCATTTTATTATATTATAACTCAATAAAGTTGATTAAAATATATTACTTTGAGGGAGGGGCCAAGATGGCTGATTAGAAGCAGCTCCAATCTGCAGCTCCCACCAAGAAGAATGAAATCAGCAGGTGAGTCCTGCAACTTCAGCTGAGGTATCCAGGTTCTTTCATTGTGACCCATGGAGAGCAAACAAAAGCAGGGTGGAGCAACAATCCGCCTGACAGATGCATGGGGTATGGGAAACTCTCACCCCCCCAGCCAAGGGAGGCAGTGAGTGATCGTGCTACCTTGCCAGAGAAACCATGCTTTTGCCACAGATCTGTGCAACCCACAGATCAGGAGATCCCCTTGTGAGCCCATGCCACCAGGGCCTTGGGTCCCAAGCACAGGGCTGTGCAGATGCTTGGTGGCTGCTTAGGTTGTGGCCAGTGGCAGCAGGCTGAGCTGCAGACTGCCTAAGATGACTGAATTTCCAGGGAGAAGGGCAGCCAGAATCACTGCAGCTCCATTCGGCTGTTTTCCCATGCTGGTGCTGGGGAGACTTGGTGGTTTGGACCAGGAGGAATCCCCCACAGCGCAGCACAGCGGCTGTGGCAGATTGTGGTCAGGCTGCTTCTTTAGGTGGGACCTAGATCCCTCCCCCCTCATTGGGCAGGGCCTCCCTGTGGGAATTTCAGGAATTCCAGCTAGGGGTTTACTGACAGAACTCTAATCTCCCTGGGATGGAGCCCCTGGGGTTAGGGGTGGCCATGGTCTCTGGTTCAACAGACTTAATCTTTACCCCTACTGGCTCTGAGGAGGCCATGAGTCTGGATGAGTGGGAGTCCTCCCAGCGCAGCGCACCCACTTTGCCAAAGGATAACCAGACTGCTTCTTCAAGTGGGTCCCTGGCCCTATGCCTCCTGACTGGGTGAGACCGCCCAACAGGAGCCACCAGACACCTAATACAGGAGGGTTCTGGCCAACATCAGATTGGTACCCCTCTGGGATGGAGCTCCCAGAGGAAGGAGTGGGCAGCTATCTTTGCTGTTCTGCAGGCTCCACTGGTGATACCTCTAGGTGTGGGAGGGACCCAGGTGAATAGGGTCTGGAGTGGACCCCCAGCAAACTGCAGCATTCCTGTGGAAGAGGGGCTGGACTGTTAAAAGAAAAACAGAAAGCAACAACATCAACAAAAGAGACCCCACAAAAACCCCATACAAAAGTAAGCAGGCTCAAACATTGAAGGTATGTAAACCCACAAAAAAGAAAAAAATCAACATGAAAACGCTGAAAATTCCAAAAGCCAGAGTGCCTCTTCTCCTCCAGATGATTGCAGCACCTGTCCAGCAAGGAAACAGAACTAGGCTGAGACTGAGACAGATGAATTGGCAGAAGTAGGCTTCAGAAGGTGGGTAATAACAAACTTCACTGAGCTAAAGGAGAATGTTCTAACCCAATGCAAAGAAGCTAAGAATCATGAAAACATTACAGGAACCATTAACCAGAATAACCAGTTTAGAGAGGAACATAAACAACCTGATGGAGCTGAAAACCCAACACAAGAACATCACAATGCAATCACAGGTGTCAATAGCTGAATAGACCAAGCAGAGAAGAGAATCTGAGACTATCTTGCTGAAAAAAGACAGGCAGACAAGATTGGAGAAAAAAGAATGAAAAGGAACAAACAAAACTTCCAAGAACTCTGAGATTATGTAAAAAGACCAAACCTATGACTGATTGGGGTACCTGAAAGAAACGGAAAATAGAACCAAGTTGGAACACATACTTCAGGATATCATCCAGGAGAATTTCTTCAACCTACCAAGACAGGCCAACATTCAAATTCAGGAAATCCAGAGAACCCCAATAAGATACTCCATGAGAAGACCAACCTGAAAACACATTATCATGAGATTCTCCAAGGTTGAAATGAAGGAAAAAATGTTAAAGGCACCTAGAGAGAAAGGCCAGGTCACCTACAAAGGGAAGCCCATCAGACTAACAGTGGACATCTCAGCAGAAACCCTACCAGCCAGAAGAGATTGGAGGCCAATATTCAACATTCTTAAAATAATTTTCAACCCAGAATTTTATATCTGCCAAACTAAGCTTCGTAAGTGAAGGAGAAATAAACTCCTTTTCAGACAAGCAAATGCTAAGGAAATTTGTCACCAACAGCCCTGCCTTGACAGAGCTCCTAAAGAAAGCACTGAAAATGGAAAGGAAAAACCATTACCAGCCACTACAAAAACACACTGACATACACAGACCAATGACACTCTGAAGCAACTACATTAACAAGTCTGCAAAATAACCAACCAGCATCACGATGACAGGATCAAATTCACACATAACCTTAAATGTAAGTGGGCTAAATGCCCCAATTAAAAGAATAGGATGGCAAGCTGGATAAAAAGTCAAGACTCATCGGTGTGCTATGTTCAGGAGACCCATCTCACATGGAAAGACAAACATAGGCTCAAAATAAAGAAATGGAGGAAAATTACCAAGCAAATGGAAAGCAGAAAAAAGCAGGCGTTGCAATCCTAGTTTCTGATAAAATGGACTTTAAACCAACAAAGGTCAAAAAAGACAAGGAAGGACATTACATGGTGGTAAAGGGTTCAATTCAACAAGAAGAGCTAAGTAGTCTAAATATACGTGCACCCAATACAGGAGCACCCAGATTCATAAAACAAGTTCCTAGAGACCTACAAACAGACTTAGATTCCCACACAATAATAGTGAGAGACTTTAACACTTCAGTGTCAATATTAGGCAGATCATTGAGAGAGAAAAGTAACAAAGAAATTCAGGACATGAACTCAGCTCTGATCAAGTGGACTAGATAGGTATCTATAGAACTCTCCACCCAAAAACAACAGAATATACATTCTTCTTGGTGCCACATGGCACTTACTCTAAAATTGATCTCATAACCAGAAGTAAAACACTCCTCAGCAAGTGCAAAAGAACTGAAACCATAGCAAACAGTCTCTCAGACCACAGCGCAATTAAATCAGAATTCAAGACTAAGAAATTCACTCAAAACCACAACTACATGGAAATTGAACAACCTGTTCCTGAATGACTCCTGGGTAAATAATGAAATTAAGGCAGAAATCAACAAGTTCTTTGAAACTAATGAGAACAAAGAGATAACATACCAGAATATCTGGGATGCAGCAAAAGCAGTGTTAAGAAGGAAACTTATAAGCGCTAAATGCCCACATCAAAAAGCTAGAAAGATCTCAAATTGACATCCCAACATCACAACTAAAAGAACTAGAGAATCAAGAACACACAAACCTCAAAGCTAGCAGAAGACAAGAAATAACCAAGCTCAGAGCAGAATTGAAGGAGATAGAGACATGAAAAACCCTTCAAAAAATCAATGAAACCAGGAGCTGCTTTTTTGAAAATATTAATAAAATAGCCTGCTAACTAGATTAATAAAGAAGAGAGAAGAATCACATAGACACAACAAAAAAAATGATTAAGGGGATATCACCACTGACCCCACAGAAATACAAACAATCATCAGAGAATACTATAAAAACCTCTATGCAAATAAACTAGAAAATCTAGTAGAAGAAATGGATAAATTCCTGGACACATACACCCTCTCAAGACTGAACCAAAAGAAAATGGAATACCTGAAATAGACCAAAGACAAGTTCTGAAAAAAGACCAGGCCCAAATAGATTTACAGCTGAATTCTTCTAGAGGTACAAAGAGGAGCTGATGCCATTCCTTCTGAAACTATTCCAAACAATTGAAAAGGAGGGACTCCCCCCTAACTCATTTTATGAGGCCAGCGTCATCCTGATACCAAAACCTGACAGACATACAACAAAAAAAGAAAACTTCAGGTCAATATCCCTGATGAACATCGATACAAAAATCCTCAATAAAATACTGGCAAACCAAATCCAGCAGCACATCAAAAAGCTTATCCACCACGATCAAGTTGGCTTCATTCCTGGGATGCAAGGCTGGTTCAACATACGCAAATCAATAAATGTAATTCGTCACATAAACAGAACTAAAGACAAAAACCATGTGATTATCTCAACAGGCACAGAAAAAGTCTTGATAAATTCAACATCCTTTCATGTTAAAAGCTCTCAATAAACTAGGTACTGAAGGAACATGCCTCAAAATAATAAGAGCCATTTATGCAAACCCACAGTCACTATCATACTGAATGGGCAAAAGCTGGAAGCATTCCCCTTGAAAACTGGCACAAGACAAGCATGCCGTCTCTGAGTACTCCTATTCAACATAGTATTGGAAGTTCTGGCCAGGGCAATCAGGCAAGAGAAAGAAATAAAGTGTATTCAAATAGGAAGAGAGGAAATCAAATTGTCTCTGCAGATGACGTGATCCTATTTCTAGAAAACCACATTGTCTCAGCCCAAGAGCTTCTTAAGCTGATAAGTAACAGCAAAGTATCAGGATACAAAATCAATGTGCGAAAATCACAAGCATTCCTATACACTAACAATAGACAAGCAGAGAGCCAAATCGTGAATGAACTCTCATTCACAATTGCTACAAAGAGAATAAAATAACTAGGAATGCAGTTAACAAGGGAAGTGAAGGACCTCTTCAAGGAGAGCTACAAATCACTGCTCAAGGAAACCAGAGAGGACACAAATGGGAAAACATTCCGTGCTCATGGATAGGAAGAATCAATATCATGAAAATGGCCATACTGCCCAAAGTAATTTATAGATTTAATGCTATTCCCATCAAACTACCATTGATGTTCTTCACAGAATTCGAAAAACTAGTTTAAAATTCATATGGAACCAAAAAATAGCTCATATAGACAAGACAATCCTAAGCAAAGAGAAGAAAGTTGGAGGCATCACGTTACCCAACTTCAAACTGTACTACAAGGCTACTCTAACCAAAACAGCATGGTACTTGTACAAAAACAGACAGATAGAACAATGGAACAGCATAGAGAACTCAGAAATAAGACTGCACACATACAACCATCTGATCTTCGACAAACCTGACAAAAACAAGCAATGGAGAATGGATTCCCTATTAATAAATGGTGCTGGGAAAATTGGCTGGCTATAAGCAGAAAATTGAAACTGGACCCCTTCCTTATAGCTTATACAAAAATTAACTCAAGATGGATTAAAGCCTTAAATGTAAAACCCAAAACTATAAAACCCCTAGAATAAAATCTAGGCAATACCATTCAGGACATAGGCATGGGCAAAGATTTCATGATGAAAATGTCAAAAGCAATTGCAACAAAAAGCAAAAATTGACAAATGAGATCTAATTAAACTAAAGAGCTGCACAGCAAAAGAAACTATCTTCAGTGTGAATAGATAACCTACAGAATGGGAGAAAATTCTTGCAATCTATCCATCTGACAAAGGTCTAATATCAAGAATCTACAAGGAACTTAAATTTACAAGAAAAAAACAACCCCATTAAAAAGTGGACAAAGGACATGAACAAACACTTCTCAAAAGAAGACATTTGGCTGGGCACGGTGGCTCATGCCAACACTAATCCCAACACTGTGGGAGGCCGAGGCGGGCGGATCATGAGGTCAGGAGATTGAGACCATCCTGGCTAACATGGTGAAACCCCGTCTCTACTAAAAGCACAAAAAAATTAGCTGGGCGTGGTGGTGGGCGCCTGTAGTCCCAGCTATTCGGGACGCTGAGGCAGGAGAATGGCGTGAACCCGGGAGGCAGAGCTTGCTGTGAGCGGAGATCACACCACTGCACTCCAGCCTGGGTGACAGAGTGAGACTCCATCTGAAAAAAAAAAAAGAAGACATTTATGCAGCCAAATAATGTATGAAAAAAGCTTAACATCACTGATCATTAGAGAAATGGAAATCAAAACCACAATGAAATACCACTTCATGCCAGTCAGAAGGGTGATTATTAAAAAGTCAAGAGGTTGGGCACAGTGGCTCACACCTGTAATCCCAGCACTTTGGGAGGAACTGTTGGGAAAGCATAACTCACTTCAGCATTAGCCCAAAAGCCCACAGCCCAAAGTCTCATCTGAGAGAAGGCAAGTCCCTTCCACCTATGAGCCTGTAAAATCAAAAGCAAGCTACTGATTTCCTAGATACCATGGGGGTACAGGTATTTGGTAAATACAGTCATTCCAAATGGGAGAAATTGGTCAAAACAAAGTGGTTACAGGGCCCATGCAAGTCCGAAAACCAGCAGGGCAGTCAAAATTTAAAGCTCCAAAATGATCTCCTTTGACTCCAGGTGTCACATCCAGGTCACACTGATGCAAGAGGTGGCATCCCATGGTCTTGGGCAGCTCTGCCCCTGTGGCTTTGCAGGATACAGCTTCCCTCCAAGCTGCTTTCATGGGCTGGGATTGAGTGTCTGCAGCTTTTCCAGGTGAATGGTGAACGGTGCAAGCTGTTGGAGGCTCTAGCATTCTGGAGTCTGGAGGACAGTGGCCCTTTTCTTATAGTTCCACTAGGCCATGGCCCAGTAGGGACTCTGTGTGGGGGTTCTGACTTCACATTTCCCTTCTGCACTGCCCTAGCAGAGGTTCTCCATGAGCACCCTGCCCCTGCAGCAAACTTCTCCCTGGGTATCCAGGCATTTCCATACATCTTCTGAAATCTAGGCAGAGGTTCCCAAACCTTGATTCTTGACTTCTGTGCACTCACAGGCTCAACACCCCGTGGAAATTGCCAGGGCTTGGGGCTTACACCCTTTGAAGTCCTGCCCCGAACTCTACATTGGCTCCTTTCAGCCATGGCTGGAGCAGCTGGGATGCAGGGCACTGAGTCCCTAGGCTGCATGCAGTATGGGGACGGGACCCTGGGCCCAGCCCATGAGACCATTTTCTCCTAGACCTCAGGGCCTGTGATGGGAAGGGCTGCCGTGAAGACCTCTGACATGCCCCGAAGACATTTTCCCCATTGTCTTGGGGATTAACATTCAGCTCCTTGTTACTTATACAAATTTCGGCAGCCGACTTGAATTTCTCCTGAGAAAATGAGTTTTTCTTTTCTATCACGTTGTCAGGCTGCAAATTTTCCAAACTTTTATGCTCTGCTTCCCTTATAGAACTGAATGCCTTTAGCAGCACCCAAGTTACCTCTTGAATGCTTTGTTGCTTAGAAATTTCTTTCATTAGATACCCTAAATCATCTCAAGATCAAAGTTCCACAAATCTCTAGGGTGGGGCAAAATGCCACCAGTCTCTTTGCTAAAACATAGCAAGTGTTACCTTTGCTCCAGTTCCCAACAAGTTCCTCATCTCCATCTGAGGCCGCCTCAGCCTGGACCTTATTGTCCATATTGTTATCAGGCTTTTGGTCAAAGCCATTCAACAAGTCTCTAGGGAGTTCCAAACTGTCTCACATTCTTCTGTCTTCTTCTGAGCCCTCCAAACATTTCCAACCTCTGCTTGTTACCCAGTTCAAAAGTCACTTCCATATTTTTGGGTATCTTTTCAGCAATGCCCCCACTCTACTGGTACCAATTTTCTGTATTAGTTTGTTTTCACACTGCTGATAAAAACATACCAAAGACCAGGAAGAAAAGAGGTTTAATTAGATTTACAGTTCCGCATGGCTGGGGAGGCCACCTATGGTGGGAGGGGAAAGGCACTTCTTACATGGGGGCAGCAAGAGAAGATGAGGAAGATGCAAAAGTGGAAACCCCTGATAAAACCATCAGATCTCATGAGACTTATTCACTATCATAAGAACAGTATGGGGGAAACCACCCCCGTGATTCAAATTATCTCTTACAGGGTCCCTCGCACATCACACAGGAATTATGGAAGTACAATTCAAGATATGATTTGGGTGGGGACACACAGCCAAACCATATCAGTGAGGAAGAATGAGAGGCTGACTACACAAGTAATTCTTATATCTGCCAAGGGCTTCTTTTCTTGGTTTCTTTTTAAGTTAGTCATCATTTGTGTATAAAAGTACTACTAATTTGGATATGATGATTCTGTATCCTGCAACTTTGCTGAATTCATTTAGTTCTAACAGTTTTTTTGTGGAATCTTAGGTGTTTTTCACATATAGGATCATGTCATCTACAGATGAAGATCACTTTATGTCTTCCTTTCTGATTTGGATGCCTTTTATTTATTTTTCTTGTCTGACTGTTTCTGCTAGTATTTTCAGTACTATGTTGAATAAAAATAACAAGAGTACACATGCCTGCCTTGTACCAGATCACAGTGGAAAAGCTTTCAGTTTTCCCCCATTGATTATGTTAGCTGTGAGTTTTCCATAAATGGCCTTTATTATATTAAAGATCAATCCTTCTATACCTAAACTCTTCAGAGTTTTTATAAAGAAAGGATGTTGGGCTTTGTGGAATGATTTTTCCACATCAATTGAGATGACTGTGTGGTTTTTATCTTTCATTCTGTTGATGTGATGCATCATATTAATTAATTTACATATGTTAGACTAGCTTTGCATGGCAGGGATAAATCACACTTGTTATAATGTATAATATTTCTGTGTGTTGTTGGATTTGGCTTGCTAATATTTTATTGAAAATTTTTGCATCAATATTTATCAGATAAATTGGCCTGTAGTTTTCTTTTCTTGTGATGTCTTTATCCTATGTATTAAGGTGATACTGGCCTTATAAAATAGATTTGAAAGTATTTCCTCTAGCTCTATTTTTTATGGAAGACTTTAAGAAGTATTGGTATTAACTACTTTGAATGTTTGGTAGAATTTAGCTATGATGCCATCTGGTCCTGGGCTTTTTTGTTGCTGTTGTTGGGAGATATTTGATTATTTCTTCAATCTCTTTTTTTGATGTTGTTATTAGTTTGTTAAGGCTTTCTATTTCTTCCTGACTCAATTTTGGTAGGTTGTATTTGTACTTTCCTAAAGAGGTGTCAATTTTCTTTAGAATATCCAATTTGTTGGCATATAATTGTTCATGGCAATCTTTTATGATCCTTTTTATTTCTGAAGTATCTGTTGTAGTTTCTTCATTTTCATTTTTCAAATTGTATTTACTTGATTCTTCCTTTTTTTCTTAGTTTAGCTAAGATTTTATCATCTTTGTTTTAAAAAAAACTCTTAGTTTTATTGAACTATGGTTTTTCTGTTCTCTATTTGATTTATTTCTGTTCTGATTTTAATTATTTCCTTCTACCTGCTAATTTTGGGTTTAGTTTGTTCTTTTACTAGTATCTTGAGGTATAATGTTGGACTATTTATTTGGTATTTTCTTTTATTATATACATTTATTGCTATAAATTTTTCTCTTAGACCTGCTTCTGCTACATCACCTAGGTTTGGGTATGTTGTGTTTTCAATGTCATTTGTCTCAAAACATTTTAAATTTTTCCTTTTGACTTCTTTGAGCCATTGGTTGCTAGGAGCGTGTTACTTAATTTCCACACATTTGTGAATTTTCCAAAATTTCTCCTGTTACTGCTTTCTACTTCCATACCATTGTGGTCTGAAATAGATACTAGATAACATTTTAATCTTCTTAAACTTGTTCATACTAGTTTTGTGGCTTAACATATGGTCTATCCTGAATAATGCTCCATGTATACTGGAGAAAATGTGTGTTCTCCTGTTGTTGGACAGAAAGTTCCATATAAATCTGTTGGAGACATTTGGTCAAAAGTGCAATCTATCCATTGTTTGAAGTGGGCTATTGAAGTCTCCTACCATTACTGTATTGTTGTCTATTTCTCCTTTTATTTCCATTATTATTTGCTTTATATATTTAGGTGCTCCAATGTTGGGTGCATATATATTTACAACTATTATGTCCTCTGCATGAATTGGCTCCTGTAATATTAAATAATGGCACTTTTTGTTTCTTATGACAGTTTTTGACTTGAAGTCTTATTTTATCAGATAGAAATATAGCCACCCCTATTCTCTTGGGGTTACCATTTCTATGGAATATCTTATTTCATCCATTACTTTCAGCCTTTGTGTATCCTTAATGCTTACTTGGGTCTCTTAGCAAATAGTTAGAACTCGTTTTTTTTTTAATCCATTCAGACACTTTTTGTTTTTTGATTAGAGAATTTTTTAAAAATACAGAGACATTGTCTCACCCTGTTACCCAGGCTGGGGTGCAGTAGTTTGATCATAACTCACTGTAACCTCAAACTCCTTGGCTCAAGCGAACTGTCTGCCTCAGCTTCCTGAGCATCTGGGACTACAAGAACATCCAGCTAATTTCTTAATTTTTAGTAGAGACAGGGTTTTGCTATGTTGCCCAGGTTTAGAGAATTTAATCCATGTACATTCAAAGTGCCTATTGATAGGTAAGAACTTATTACTGCTATATTGTTATTTGTTTTCTGGTTGTTTTATAGCTCTTTTGTTCCTTTCTTCCTCTCTTTTTAACTGCCTTTGGGTTTCAGTAGTTTTCTGTAGTGCTAAACTTTGATTCTTTTTTTAATTGTTTGTATATATGCTGCAGTGTTTTGTTTTGTGTTTACCATGATGCTTACATAAAACATCTTGCATTATAGCTATCATCTACTGTTTTAAGCTAATAATTCTGTTGAATACAAAAACTTTAGACTTTTACCCTACCATCCCACAATTTATATCTTTGATGTCATATTTTACATCTTTTTACACTGTGTATTTCTTAACAACTTATTGTAGCTTTAGTTATTTTTTACCATTTTAACTTTTAGCCTTCATACAAGAAATATGTATGATTACAGTATTGGAGCATTCTGGATTTGCCTATGTATTTACCTCAACCAGTGAGTTTTATATTTTCATATGTATTCATTATAGTAATTATCACCCTTTTGTTTATGCTTGAAGAACTCCCATAAGCATTTCTTTTTAATAAACCAGGCCTAGTGGTAATGAATTCTCTTAGCTTTTGCCTGTTCGGGTAAGACTATTTCTCCATTTGCGAAGGACAAATTTGGTGAGCATAGTATTCTTGGCTGACATTTAAAAAAAACTTTTATTTTAGGTTCAGGAGTACAGGTCAAGATTTGTTACATAGGTGAACTTGTGTCACAGAGGTTTGGTGTGCAGATTATTTCATCACCTGATACCCAACAGTTATTAATATATTTTCTGCTCCTCTCCCTCCACCCACCCTCCATCCTCAAGTAGATTCATGTCAGTTATTTCCTTCTTTGTGTTCATGAGTTCTCATTTACCCCCCATTTATAAGTAAGAACATGTGGTATTTCATTTTCTGTTCCTGTGTTAGTTTGCTAAGGATAATGCCCTCCAGCTCCAACCCCCATGTTCCTGCAAAAGGCATGACCTTATTCTTTTTTATGGCTGCGTAGTATTCCATGGTATATATATACCACATTTTCTTTATCCAGTCTGTCACTGATGGGCATTTAGATTGCTTCCATGAGCTGACAGGTTTTTTTTTTTTTTTTGGTTTGTTTTTGGTTTTGTTTTTTTTCACCAGTTAAATATATCATCCATATTAGTGTGTTCTCATGCTGCTAATAAAGACATAGCCAAGACTGGGTAATTTATAAAGGAAAGAGGTTTAATTGACTCACAGTTCCACATGGCTGGAGAGGCCTCACAATCATGGCAGAGGTGAATGAGGAGCAAAGTCATGTCTTACATGGCAATAGGCAAGAGAGAGCTTGTGCAGGGAAACTACCATTTATAAAACCATCAGATCTTGTGAGACTTATTCACTACCATGAGAACATCATGGGAAAGACCCACCCCCATGATTCAACTATGTCCCACCAGGTCCCTCCCAAAACACATAGGACTTACAGGAGCTACAATTCAAGATGGATTTGGGGGAGGTCATAGACAAATGATATCATTCCACCCCTGGCCCCTTCCGAATCTCATGTCCTCACATTTCAAAACCAATCTTGCCTTCTCAACAGTCTCATGTCCTCACATTTCAAAACCAATCTTGCCTTCTCAACAGTCCCTCAAATCTTAACTCATTTCAGCATTAACTCAAAAGTCCATAGTCCCACATCTCATCTAAGACAAGGCAAGTCCCTTCTGCCTAGGAGCCTGTAAAATCAAAAGCAAGGTAATAACTTCCTAGATACAATGGGGCCACAGACATTGGGAAAATACACCCATTCCAAATGGGAGAAATTGACCAAAACAAAGGAGCTACAGGCCCTATGCAAGTCCCAAATCCAGCAGGGTAGTCAAATCTTAAATCTCCAAAATGATCTCCTTTGACTCCATGTCTCACATTCAGGTCACACTGATGCAAGAGGTGGCGTCCCATGGTTGTGGGTAGTGCTGTCCCTTTGACTTTGCAGGATACAGCCTCCCTCCTGGCTGTCTTCACAGGCTGCCATTGAGTGTCTGTGGCTTTTCCAGGTGCAAGCTGTCGGTGGATCCACCATTCTGGAATTTGAAGGATGGTGGCCCTCTTCTCACAGCTCCACTAGTTAGTGCCCCAGAGGGGACTCTGTTTGGGCGCTTGTACCCCACAGTTCCCTTCTGCACTGCCCTAGCAGAGGTTCTCCATAAGGGCTGTGTCCCTGCAGCACACCACTGCCTGGACATCCAGGCATTTCCATACATCCTCTGAAATCTAAGCAGAGGTTCCCAAACCTCACTTCTTGACTTCTGTGTACCTGCAGACCCAACACCTCTTGTAAGCTGCTAAGGCTTAGGGCTTGCACCCTCTGAAGCAATGATCTGAGCTCTACCTTGGCCCCTTTTAGCTGTGGCTGGGACACAGCATCAAGTCCTGAGACTTCACAGGGCAGCAAGGCCCTGGGCCCAGCATACAAAACCATTTTTTCTTCCTGGGCCTCCAGGCCTGTGATGTGAGGGGCTGCTGTGGAGACCTCTGACATGCCCTGGAGACATTTTCCCCATTGTCTTGGTGATTAACATTTAGCTTCTTGTTACCTATGCAAATTTCTGCAGCTGGCTTGAATTTCTCCTCAGAAAATGGGTTTTTCTTTTCTATTGCATTATCCCGCTGCAAATTTTCCAAACTTTTATGCTCTACTTCCCTTTTAAACATAAATTCCAATTCCAAACAATATCTTTGTGAATTCATAAAGCTGAATGCTTTTAACGGTTGTGGTGACCCAAGTCACTTCTTGAATTCTTTGTTGCTTAGAAATTTCTTCCACCAGATGCCCTAGATCAACTTTCTCAAGTTCAAACTTCCACAGATCTCTAGGACAGAAGCAAAATGCCACCAATATCTTTGCTAAACAAAGAAAGAGTCACCTTTGCTCCAGTTCCCAACAAGTTTCTCATCTCCATCTGACACCATCTCATTGTGAACTTTATCATCCATATGACTATCAGCATTTTGGTCAAAGCCATTCAACAAGTCTCTAGGAAGTTCCAAATTTTCCCACATCTTCCTGTCTTCTTCTGAGCCCTCCAAACTGTTCCAATATCTGCTGTTATCTATTTCCAAAGTTGCTTCCACATTTTCAAGTATCTTTACAGTTGCGCCTCACTACTTGGTACCAATTTACTGTATTAGTCTGTTCTCATGTTGCTAATAAAGACATACCCAAGACTGGGTAATTATAAAGGAAAGAGGTTTAATTGACTCACAGTTCCACATGGCTGAAGAGGCCTCACAATCATGGCAGAAGGTGAATGAGGAGCAAAGTCACATCTTACATGGTGACAGGCAAGAGAGAGCTTGTGCAGGGAAACTCCCATTTATAAAACCATCAGATCTCATGAGACTTATTCACTATCATGAGAACATCATGGGAAAGACCGAGCCCCATGATTCAATTACCTCCCCCCAGCTCACTCCCACAACATGTGGGAATTATAGGAGCTATAATTCAAGATGAGATTTGGGTGGGGTCACAGCCAAACCATATCATCATCCCATTCTCTCCTGGCCTACAAAATTTCTACTGAGAAGTCCAATGATAGTCTAATGGGGATTTCCTTATATATGACTTGATGCTTTTTTCTTGCTCTTGAAAAATTATTTTTGTCTTTGTTGACATTTTGACTATAATGTGCTTCAGAAAGGATCTTTTTGGGTTTAATCTATTTGGGAATTTTTCAGCTTCATAGAGTTGGATGTTCATATTTCTCCCAAGACCTGGGAAGTTTTCAGCAATTATTTTATTAAATACATTTTCTACCCTTTGTCTCTTCTCCCTCTAAAAACTCCATAGTACAGAATTTGTTCGCTAATGGTATCCCATAAGTTCTGTAAACTGTCTTTATATTGTCATTCTTTCTGTCTTTCATTCTTTAAAAAAAATTTTTTTTGAGGCAGGGTCTTGCTCTGTTGTTCAGGCTAGAGTGCAGTGGCATGATCATGGCTCACTGCAGCCTTGACCTCCCCAGGCTCATGTGATCGTCCCACCTCAGCTTCCTGAGCAGCTGAGACTACAGGCATGTGCCACCATGCCCTGCTAACTTTTGTATTTATTTGTAGAGATGGGGTCTTGCATGTTGCCCAGGCTGGTCTTGAACTTCTGGGCTTAAGCAACTTGCCCACCTTGGCCTCCCAAAGTGCCAGGATTACAGGCATGAGCCACTCTGCCCAGCCCTCTTTTTCATTCTCTTTTTCCTTCTGATTGAGTCATTTCAATAGAACAGTCTTCAGGTTCAGATTATTTCTTCTTTCCGTTCTAGTCTGCTGTTGAAGTTCTCAATTACATATTTTTATTTCATTGATTGAATTCCTTAAACTCAAGAGTTACATATTTTTTAATATCTCTCTTTTTGTTGAGTTTCTTATTCAGATTATAAATTGTGTTCCTGATTTCCTTGAATTGTCTATTTGTATTTCTTATATCTCACTGAGTTTTGTTAAGATTACTATTTTGAATTCCTTTTTAGGCAATTCATTAATTTCCACTGGGTTTGGGGTTAGTTACTGGAGAATTACTGTGTTCCTTTGGTGGTGTCATGTTTCCTTCATTTTTCATGTTCCTTATGTCCTTGTATTGTTGTCTATACATCTTGTGGCACAGTCTCCTCTCCCAAACTTTACAGAGTGGCTTTCATAGGGGATGACTTTCACTTGCAGATGGGCCTGAGGGTGCTGATTGAGCAGGACATGGTGGCTCTGGTTCCATGTGGTATTGTCTCTATACAGCTTCTTCAGTTTATAATCTACATCAGTGATGACTGCAGTTGCTTCAGTATTATAGGCTGAGTCTGTGGCAGTGACAGTGGCTATGTATATTATTAGGACAAGGGCTTTATGAATCCTCCTATTCTCATCTTTCTCACAGAGGGGAGACTTGGGATTGCTCTTGGTTTTGGGTATGACCTTGCTCACAGGAAGCCACAGTGGCAATGGAATTCAGGGTGCTGGTGATTGGAGCAGTTGTGGAGTTGGGTTCCTGGGCCCTGGGTCTTATGAAACTACTCCACCACCTGGGACTTGAGGTACAGGTTTACACTCCAAGGCACAAGTGAATGCAGTTACCCGACTAAGCTGGGGTGTATAGCTCAGGCCTCAGGGGCTGGAATGTAGCTGTTGTTCTGACTCTGGGGGTCGGGGCAAGGCACAGATCTGGTTGGGCTCTAAGAATGAAGGAGTGCTCTCAAAGCCCATCCTGCTCCTGTGGAGCAGGGCACAGCTGCAATTTGGGACCTGGAACCAACAAGGCATGAGGTACCACACAATGATAACTCCGGCCTGTGAGACACAGCAGTAGCCCAGGCTCTATGAGGCTAGGTACAGCACAGCAAGGACCTAGAGATGCCAAGATACCACTGTGGTTTAGGCCTCGGGGAACAGGGAAAATTACATCAATGACTACACTCCCACAAAGTCAGAGTGCCTCAGCAGCTTGGGTTGGTGGCGGCTAGTCCAGTTTCAGGTAGACAGGACCTTGTGGCTGCTTGGCTTGGAGTGTGGGGTGGCACAGTTGAGTCAAGGTTCTGGATTCCATAGGACCCAAAGTGAAACATCTGCTCAGCCCCAGAATGTGGTGCTACATGTGTCAGTGGAGCCTCTGGATCCCTTAAGTTAGGATGCCATGTCAGCTGTGGTGCAAGGAGGTGCAACTGCTCTGATGTACTTGAGCTTAGAGTCCCCAAGGAGCATTGTGCCACCTCAGTGTGGCATGGGGGTGTGTCTACTCTGGTAGTTCAAGGCTCCGGGTCTCTGGGGGTTGGGGGACCATTTCTGCTTAGCTCTATGGGGAGGGTGCAGTAGTGACTGAGATGGGAGGGATGGAGTGGCTCTGTGGTAGCTTGTTTAGAGGGTAGGACATAGCAGCATCTCTGTTGGTGGATGGTGTGCTATAAGGTGAGCATGATTTAGTGGCAGCTAAGCCTCAGGGACAGAGGGATGCAATGGCTACTCATCTCTGGAGCAGGACACGCTCTAGCAGGGGCTGTGGTTCCAAGAGAGCACAGAGCAGTAACAGCATGGGCCATGTTGGGGGTGGGGGATACTGAGCTCAGTGTTGGCTTCTTCTCTGGGGGTAGCTCAGTGTGTGGACTCTGGGAAGCTTCCTCAGCTGGGCTCTGAGCCTGTGGACTGCAGTCATTTCCAGTAGGGAAGATCGTATGTGTCCACAGTGGTGATAGGAGCTGCTGGGGTTGTCTTGTTTACCTTTTCCCCAGAGGGGAAACCAGTCCCTTCCGGTTTTGAGCTAATCTCGAGTTAGGGGATGGGGTGGTGAAGGCAAGGTGTTTTCTTACCATCTCTATGCGGCAATCTTGTGTTTCTTTGCTCAACAGGATTTCTGCTGCTTTTTTTGATGTTCTCCGGTGCTTTCCTTTAGTTATTTTGGTTGAAATGTGGTTGTTTATTTATTGTTTTGGGTTTTTTGTTGGTGAAGAGTGCTAGGAGCTTCTAGTTGGCCATCTTGCTGATGTCACTTCTTAGAGAAGGACTTCTTGATGAATATGAATAAAAATTAATATGAATATTAATAAAATACTCTCTAGAAATTTACATTCTCATTAGCATATATTTCCTGCTTCTTTTGATAACATTGAATATTATCATTTAAAGATGTTTACTTTTTGGATAGATACAATGCTTATTGGGTTCATTTTAATTCATATAAGTCACTAATAAGATTAAACTTGTTAGTGTATTTATTGGCAATAAGTATATTTTCATATATAAATCACTGATTGAGTTACTTGCTAGTATTGCTCTTGGATTTTTATGTGATTGAGCCCAGCAGTATGGTGGAATAATTCTTAGGAAAAGAAATAATCTCTTTGAGAGGCCAAGGAAGGCAGATCACCTGAGGTCAGGAGTTCAAGACCAGCCTGGTCAACATGGTGAAACTCCGTCTCTACTAAAAAAAAAATACAAAAATTTGCCGGGCACAGTGGCTCACACTTGTAATCCCAGCTACTTGGGAGGCTGAGGCAGGAGAATCGCTTCAACCTGGGAGGCGGAGATTGTGGTGAGCCGAGATCGCGCCACTGCACTCTATCCAGCCTGGTTGACAGAAAAAAAAAAAAAAAGAAATAATCTAAAACTAGAAGGGGATAGGTTTCTTTAACTGCACTAGTTTCCTCAGATTTGGGTATTTGCATATAGTTTACTCAAATTTGAGTAGCTGCATAGAGTTTTTTTGCACCTTAGGGCTCTCACACAGGTAGCTGATGGAGCTTTGCGGATGGTTTCCTAATGCCTGAGATGGATCAGTAATCATTTAATGAATGAAGGAATGCTCAGGAAGAAAAAGGTCGGGCTGCATCTCCAAAGTTTATTGTCTATGACAATAGCTAATATTTGTTGACTGTTTACAGCGCTTATTGAGTTATTTATAAAAATTGTCTTATTTAATTTTTCCCAAATGCAAAGAGGTAGGTGTGTCATTATCCTCAGTTGATAGATGGGGAACTGAGGCTAAGGAAAGCTAAATAACTTTCATAAGGTCTTAAAGGTGGTGAGTGGTGGAGCCAGTTCATTCTACCTTCAGCTCAAACTCTTAATCACATAGTGAGGCAGCAGTAGGCTAAACCAGAAGTGAGTGCATGCCATCTCCCACGTGGAGGCACTGCTGACATTTTGCCATCCTGTCTCCTTGGTCAGAAGCTTGATGATCCGGGTGGAAGGGCAGACAATGTACAGAGTCTGCTAGGTGGAGGCTGTCAGTTTTTGAAAATGGTGCTTTGAAGGGGACTGGGATAATGCAGATTGTGAAGGGAAATGCTTCACTTGTTAGGGTTCTGCCAGGATAATTAATGGTCTCAGTGCTTTAAAGCATTCTTTCTTGTCTTTCAGAGACTCTTGGGACTCTTCCAATCTTGACGACTGTAGTGCACACAGAATCGTGTATTTTAAGGGTTTAGTGCAGCCAGGTTGGGGCAACCTCATAAAGCATGTTGGAATGAGGGAAAGGATAATTCCCCTGGAGTCATGTACAAGAACTTCCACAGAAGCAATAGTCTCTTTGATTATTTTTTTTCCATAGCTGGTGAAAAGAATTCTGTGTTAGAGTTAAGCATGTGGTTGAACTGCTATTGAAAATATGCTAAGCCACAGTAAATAACTTGGGTTAGATATGTAGAAACAGTCTGTCTGGTTTCTAAGCTCTTTGTAACAGCTAGTTTATCATTATACTGCATGGGGCATATATGTGTTTATGGCAGATCTGAAATATCTTTGTGTGGCAAATGAAGGGTAGCGTATTAAAAAGGAAAGGAGTGTGAACCAGGGATGTAATAAAGAGATCATTCTTGCTTGAAGCAACATACTGAAAGCAGCAAAGAATAAATCTTTCTTTGTAAATACATTTGGAATACTTTAAGCATGTTACTTGTGTCTTTTGAATTCCTCTATACAGCATCTACTTTTTCATCATCTAAAAATGTGTTAGCTCTGCTCAAGTTCTGGATGTGGCTTAGATTTACTGCTAGTGTTTTGAATTGTTTAGTCTCCTAATTCACCTCATCATGTAAAAGCAACTCTCTAAGTTTGTTAAGGGATAATTGACTTGCCACTCTAATGAGCTTGGGAGAAGACTAGTTTTCAATACAAACCTTTCATTTAATTTAAGTATATTTTCCCAAGTCTGTCTATTTTTATGAATGTACTTAATATATCTGTGTCCCTTCTTAGATTTGCTCTAACAAGCTTAAACTCTGCTCATTTAACTGTTCTGTACCCACTATCATCCATTCTGTCCAGAGAAACTCTTAATACATTCTTCTGGCAACTAGTTAATTGGCTCCTACTGACTCACTACTTTCACAGCCTCCCCTTTCCAGTTTAGCTTTTCCCTGCCCTGCTCTGTGTTTGCACTCTGTAAGTATGACACAAGAGGCCCCTATGAGTGTGACACAAGAGGCCTGTCTGTTGGGCAGAGGCCCGTTGAGACAGATTTCTAGGATGTTGTTTTTAAATAGCTAGCAATTATTGAGTGCTGACTATATTCCAGGCACTGGACTAAAATTTACGTGCATTATCTCATTTAATTCTCATAATACCTATGAGGTTGGTGTTGTTAATATAGTTTATTAGATAAGAACACTGAAGATCAGAGAGGAGAAGTGACCTTGCCTAAGGTCACTCTTTGGAAGTGTCATTGGTCAGCGTAATGTTTACCACGAGCCAGAATCTGAAGCTCTTTACTTTGACTCCAAAACCCTGCTCTCTGGGATGGAATCGGGTGGGGAATCCAATGGGGCATGTTGCCCTGTGGCAAACAGGCAATGAAAATCACAGGTGTTGTACTCAGGAGAGAAGTAAAGAGGTTTCCTCAGTCCTAGGCCAATATTCTATGCTGCAAAGATCCTGAGGTAGGATATAGTGATGTGAGTGGGTGTTGCCACTCCTGGATCTGAGAATTCAGAGCAGAGATCAACATTCCGTAATATGCCAAGTCCAGAATAAGTATTTTGGGTACCCAAAGTTTGGGATTCAGAAAGCACCTGACACTAACATGTCATTGGCTTTTGAATTTTGGAGTCCCTTTGAAATGATTGGTTATTTCTTTGGACAAACAGCAAGGACATAAAATTACATTCTGGCATTTCTACATTCACTGGCTAAAGTGATCTTTTTTGGTTGTAGCTTTTCATATGGGGTAATGAGGTAAAATTAATCTCATGATCTTTAAGACAATGGCATCAGCACTTTGACAAGGTTTAATGTGTCTTCAACCTCCATTTCACAAAGGTATGCTTTTGTCCATGCCCGGGATGTGGTCATGGTTTTCTCTCCCTGAGACAGTTGAAGCCAAAGGTAGAATCTCCAGGAGAGGTGAAAAGTGGGCTGACATTTTTGCTCATTTTCTTCTGTGCACATCTTCCTGAGTTTTCCTTTCACTATTTGAGGTGTCTCTTATTAATCTTTGCCACATTTATTATTATATTTTTATTTCCCCAAGTCACACATATGCTTCATGACAGTAGACTAAACATCTGTTATTCCAAAGCTGAGTGGTTGTTTCTTTTCCTTGAAGGAAAATTTGTATGAAATATTTTAACTTTAGTTAAACATATCTACTTGCTTTCCTATTTCCCAGTCTTTGTATTCACCTGCCTTTTTCTTTAAGTTTGCCTAATTTTCTTCCTCAGTAGCATTTCCCACCATTTGTGCCATTTTACAATTAACACAGATAAAATGAGGATGATATTTAATCAAAACTGTATTGAGTTGATTTTCTCTGGAGCTTCAGGCACAGAGAGACAGGAAAGCAGAGAAATATGTTGAAAACACAGATTTTAGAGACATGATTCCTGAATCCCACCCTAATGCCAGCATTGCCTCATCCTGCGTGTGGAAGATGGCCATTTCACCATTCTGTGCCTTAGTTTCCCAAATTGCAAAATAAAACCTTTCTTATTTCTTAGGGTTGCTGTGAGGATAATGTGACAGCGTATTTGAAAGAGCTCCGAGCACTTAGCAGGAAAGACATTGTAATCTGTTGCCTATTATAATGGGTTATAAAGGGGACTAGCATAAGGAATAATTTGAGACCACAGTGCCGTAAAAATAATTGCGTATACTTATCCAACCTGTCTCCTACTCTTCCTTATACATGCCTATTCTATTAGCTCTGTCCCGGAGCGGGTAGAGAGGGTGGAAACACTCCTAGATTGGTTGGCATGGAAACTAGCCCCAGAGCATGCTGGGAGCATGCAGGCAGTCCTTGGACCCAGCTGTGTGGCAGGTGTAGCAATACCCCTCCCCCACAAAAATCACTGTGGGACTAAGGAATGTCTAATTTGACTAGAACTAGAATAATAGAAATACAATTGAGTTGTAAATATGCTGTTATCCCTTCTCTTAAAAAAAAACAGCACAGCACTAGAGTAACTTATGGCAAGAGAGACTTTAAATTAGCCTTTCTTGGCACATCACACTCTGCCTTATGAAATTATTCAGTTAAAGAAAGACTGACTGGTGCCTATGTATCGACTGTGATAGATGCTTTTAGGAATGTCTGTGCATCCTATACCCATACCTTTTATCTGGAAACTTTCTCTCCCCACATAATAATGAATCTCAAACAGCCATGTTAGAGCCACCCGGACTAGATTAGAACTGAACCCAGATTCAAGATAGACCATCAGATTCTCTCTCCCTAGAATTCGAAATTGGAAATGATGGATTTTTTTCAGCCTAGACGATTTGCTTAAACTATACTATACCCAGGAAGTATGCCAAAGATTAGTCTGGTGAGTTTTACTGTTGTGTGTGCACAAGTTTATAGCCTGCACTAACTTTTGAACTTGTCAGTAGCAAGAATTTAGTTTTATCCATCTGAACCTGCCAGATTGTTATCTTTGACCTTTCAAACAAGAATTGTGAGAGCTGTGAACCATCTTGGGGGTTTAATCATTCCTTCTGGAAAACTGGTGGCTCCAGTTTATACATAAAAGTTGTAAGAGTTGTGAAGAAATGAGGTTTAAGTGAGAGTGGTATTTAGTGTTATATTAGTTAGAATCCTGGCAGAAAACAGTTGGCATGCTGATCGCATAATTTTAGAATGTAATAAAGAGGTTATTTTCAAAGAGCCTAGTGTAGGGAAACCACAAGGGATAGTGTAATACCCTGTAGCTCATGGGTTTCTGTTACCACTTCTATGCTTGAATGGGGAGGGTTCTGGGAACCAGAACACAAGAAAGCAAGAGCACAGAAGAGAGAGAAAAAGCACAAGAGCTCTGTGGGGACAGGACCTCCCAACAGGAGCATGAAGCCAGTCCATGTAACTCCACAGGCCAGGAACTGAGGGGATAAATACCTCCCCTGACCTCACTTCTTCACATCCTCCTCCCCAATTAATCTTCTATTGTTCCTCACTGGTTGAACCCAACTGGAAGCTAGAAGACAAGAGAACCTATTGATGCAATCCATGCAACTCAGCCTCCTGGTCAATAAAGCAGAGTGGTGAAGGGTATGGGGTGGATCAGAAGGATGAAGTGGAGATCTGTGGTGTGGTGACCCCCCTTTTCATCCACTCTAAATCAGGCTCTCATCTTTTCCTACATTGGCCAGCACCTCTTGCCGGGTCTGATCATGTGACTCCCCAACTGCCTCTGTCTTCATCTGGGACTAATTTCCACCCCTGACACTTGCACTCATTGAACTACCTGCAGTTTGTCTTCATGACTCTTTATATTTGTAGGTACCATATGATCTGCCAGGAATGCCTTTTGCAGCCTTTGACCACCTGTCAAACTTCTAATCAGCTTTCACAAACCAAAGTTTGTTTTTCTTTGAAGTTTTCTGGTTTCATCCCAGCAGAGTAGGGCACTTTCTTTACTGTCATCCCAGATCATTTTCCCCCTTCCTATTTTCACACATGTTGCAGAACAATGTTAACACTGGTTTATGTCTCTCCCTCTTCTGCATGTCCTTGGTGTTTTCTGTGTCTGTTGCACTTCATTTGGTGTCTGTAGCACTTAGTAGAGTGCCTGGCAAAGAGTTGATGTTCAGTCAGTGCTCAATAAATAAACAGTATTTTTCTGTTTTCAATCATGCCTGTCTCCTGGCTTCTTCCACATTTCCACATCTTCCAGATTAATCTTTCAAAATTCAATCTCGCTGTGATCCTCTCATTCCTAGATCTCTCTAGTGGCTTCCTTCTGAGTGCAGAATGATGTGTAAGCTCTCCAATCTGTCCACAAAACCCTTCACCATGGGGCCTCTGCCTGTGTTTCAGCCTCATCTTCTACCACTCCTCCCCACTGGCTCTCTTCCTGCATCTCTCATCCCCATTCCAAGTCCTGTGGAACTCCTGAGCATTTCCTAGCAAGCTATACTTTCTCATATTTTGTCACATTTGCATCTGTTCATCCTGCTGTCTGGAATGGCTTCTCCATTTTCTAATACTCTCCAGCAACTCTTGCCTCTCCTCCACCCTCTCCCCCTAGCTCTTCTTCATTGGCTAAGTCCTATTTTTTAAAGACTTAGTTTACATGGCATTTCCTCTGTGAAATTTTCTTAAAAGCTCTTTCTTGCAACACAACAAAGTTAGCTACTTTTTTTTAACCTATATGAAATTTATTTCACATTGTGTTGAAATGATTTGCTTATTGATGTGTTGCTATTGTCTTTTTTATTTCCAGAATCGAACACAGAGCCTGACACATACTATATGACTAATAATTGTGTCTTGAATGAATATATGAACAAATGAATCAAACCTGAGTCCTATGGTTCCCTAAACTATACAGAGAACAACTGTCTCCCTCTTTCTCTGGTTATTTCTATTCAACATGTGAAGTCCTGCTTGTCTGGGGCACACAGGTAGATCAAGCCCACGTGGTACATGGCCAATAGGATGTAAATAGAAGTGTAGGAAACTTCAGGGCAGTGTCCTTAAAGGGAAAGCTAGTGGCCTTCTCCATTCTTTTCTCCTTTCTGCTGGCTTTGCTGTGGATATGTGGGATGCAGCTCGAATAGCCATTTTGGAGCATGAGTCAGAAACTGCATGCTGAGAGTGGTCAAACAACAAGCTCGGGGAGCTTAGATCTCTGATGATCGTGAAGCTGCCATATCAGCTATAGATGACCTATGCAGACTTTTAAGTGAGAGAGAAGTAAAATTCTATGTTGTTTAAGCTATGGTTACTTTGAGATTCCTGTCATCTGCAACTAAATCCAATCCTAATTAATATATCTACTAAATCATTTTTATTGGCTAACCCAAAGTCCAAAGTCATGAAAATGGGCACATCATGTCTTTTTCTCTACTTACTATTCTTGCTTTAGTTTTCTTTGTAACTTTTCAAATCAGCTTTTAGGGAGACTTATGAACGGGCCTTTTTAGATAAGCAAGGACATTACTTTTACTTTGTAAACAGACTTATACTGTATTCAGTTTCAGAATTCCATCTTACTGTGACAACTCACTTTCCATTGACAGTGTCTGTACCTCAGCATCACCGAAATGCTCAACAGAGTTAGGTCTGTGCTACCAAACAGTGTTTCATTTTGCTCCCAGTGGAGGATGCTGCCTTTGTTACCATGGGTGGGACCACTTTACATTTGCATATTTATCTCAGTGATATTTACCATTTGTTCAAGTCAGTACCCACAGCGCCCCCTCCAGTGCCGCTTGACCTGGCTCTTAAGACATATGCATCCAATGCCTTGTAGTTTCTTGTTCTTGCTTTTCAGCATTATTTTAATTTCATTGTCTTGGTTCCCTCCTCAACAGTCAGTGGATGAGCAACAGTTCAGGAAAAGGGAATCATTATCCACCCTCTCTGACAGAGCTCAGCTTACTCTGTGAATTGGGATTTTTGTATTAAAAAAGGGGAAGAGATTTTTGATTAGATGGATTTTTCTGGGAATTTTCCATGAGGAGTTGGCAGCCTGTGGTTACGTTCTGCACCTATTAAAAGATGGAGTTGTAAAACTGATGTGTATGTAATCTCTTTTCAGGTTTCCACGGCAACAGTGGCAGCAATTCAGTGAGTAGCTTTTCCATTCTCCCTTCAAGACTTTCAGCCTGTAGAATTGTTTCAGAAAAAGAAAAGCTACTCTTCCTTTAAAAAATAACATATGCATTTAGATTCATTCTGATGAGACAGTTATGATTCTAGGAATATTCCCAGGATAGGAGTCCAATAAGTAAGCGGTTTTACTATTAACAAGCTGTGTGACTTTGGGCAAGTGAGTTATTCTCTATAAACCTCAATTTCCTCATCTATAAACTACGAACAAAAACAGCATCTACACAACAGGGTTTTGGGAAGACTAAATAAAAAAGATGTAGATGAACTGGTTAGCACAATTCATGGGTTATGGTTGTTATTATCCTGAATCAACATTTAGCCAGTTGTAATATCATGTTAGGTTGTACACCTTCGATATGAACGTAATAGATATGATACTTTAAATATCAGCAGCTGTACACATGCCTTATCAAGTGTGATATTGGCAATTTGTGTTTTCTCTTTCTTTCTAACTGGGAGTTTCTATCTTATATTTAAAGGGAATAATTTGTAAACAACATGTATTGGGCTTTTATGTTTTTTCATCCAGTAAGAAAAGCTTTGTCTTTAATTGGAGTGTTCGCTCTATTTACATTTAATGTAATTATTGATACGATTGGGCATAAGTCCACTTATTTGCTGTTTGTTCCCTTTGTTCTTTCTTTTGTCCTTCTTTCCTGTCTTATATTAGCTTAATAAACTACTAGTTAGTAGATGATTCTTGGAAGATGGTGGAATAGGAATCACTAGGAATCCTCATCTACACAGTTGCATTAGAATCTGTATCTATTTAGAAACTCTGCATTCTGTGGAAGGCTTGCAACTTTTAGGTGAATGCTTGGAAGATAATGTACACAGTTACATAGCCATCATCACAATGAGGACATAGAACATTTCTATTACCCTGAAATGTTCTCTCTTGCACATTTGCAGTCAATTCCCTCCTGCCACTCCCAGGTCGTGGTAAGTACTGGCCTGTTTCTGTCACTACAGTCTTTGCCTATTTAATAATATCATATAGAGTAGGCCATTCATATCCACAGATTCTTCATCTGCAGAGTTGACCAACTGTCCATTGAAAATATTAGAGAAAAAACAATAAAATTGACAATAAAAATAATATAAATGAAAATAATACAGTATAATAGCTATTTACATAGCACTTACATTCTATTAGGTATTATAAGTAATCTAGAGATGATTTAAAGTATATGGGAGGATGTCCATAGGTTATATGAAAATACTAGGCCATTTTATATAAGGGAGTCAAGCATCTATTGATTTTGGTATTTTGGGGGGTCCTGGAAACAATCCTCTATGGATACTGAGGGACAACTATACATGGAATTGAACAGAAAAGAGTCTTTTCTGTTTGGCTTCTTTCATTTGCTTAGCATTATGCCTCTGAGATGCATCTATATTCTGGCATGTGTCAGTAGTTAGTTTTATTATATTGCTGAGTAATATGCTGGTATATGTGTGTGCATATACACATACATGTGTATAAACATAGCTCAATTTATCCATTCACCAGTTGATGGATATTTGGTTCCAGTTTGAGGCTATTAGGAATAAAGCTATTGTGAACAATCATGTACAAGTCTTAATGTGGAATATATGTTTTAATTTGGGGGGATAAATACCTAGGAGTGAGATTGTTAGGTTTTATGGCAAGTTTGTTTAAATTGTATAGAAAACCACAAATTGTTTTCCAAAGTTCTTATACTTTTATATTTCCAGTGTAAGTTCTAGTCGCTCTACATCTTCATACACATTTGATGTTGTCAGTCTTTCTATTTCCACTATTGGTATTGGCTTTATTGCTTTTGTATGTTTGTTTCAGTTTTTAAGTAATTGCTTTTATGCTTACAATATGCATCATTAACTTATCACTGTCTACTTTAAAGTAATATACAACTTCACATGTAAAATCTATAAAACATGATGCTTTCCCCCTTCCCATTCTTTGCTTCATTATTGTCATACTTGTTACTTCTGTTACAAATTCCACAATATATTGTTACTATTTTTGCTTTAAACAGTCAATTATGTTTTAAGGAGGTTAAAAATGAAGAAAATGGCTTTTAAATTTGCCCACTCACATTTTTAGCAATTATAGTGGTTTTCAATCTTTTGTGTAAATCCTGATTTCCATCTCCTATAATTTTTCTTCTCTTTGAAGAACTATCTTTAATATTTTTTATAGCATGAATCTGTTGGTGATAATTCTTTCAGCTATTGTTTGTCTGAAAAAGTCTTTATTTCACCTTTCAGCTCGAAGGTATTTTTACTGAATAAATAATTCTAATTTGGCAGCTCTCTTTCTTTTCCCTCCTCCCCTTCCTAAATGCCATTACTTTAAAGACCTGTCTCTATTCTATTCTGGCTTGCAATGTTTCTGAAGAGAAGTCAGCTGTCATTCTTGTCTCTGTTCCTTGGAATATATGCCTTTTTTTCTCTGGGTTTTTTAAAGATTTTAGTTTTATAACTGATTTTCAGAGATTTTATTATAATGTCACTTGAAATAGTACCCTTTACATTTATTTCACTTGGGTCCTGTTGATCTTCTTGGAACTATGGATTTACAGTTCTTATCAAATATAAAACATTTTGGCAATACTTTGTTCGAACATTTTTCTTTTCTGACCCCTCTTCTCCTTCTGGGAATACAGTTACAAGCAGTTATATCATGTAATATTGTCCTACAGGTCACAGAGGCTTTGTTTTTTTCAGTCATTTTCCCTCTCTGTGCTTCATTTTGGATGCTTTCTATTGCTATGCCTTCAGGTTCACTGATCTTTTCCTTTGTAATTAATCTGTTCTTAATCCCAACAGGTTTTTCTCTATCATCTACTTGAACATATGGAACATATTTAAAATAACTGTTTGAATGTCCTTATTTAATGGTTCCATCATGTATGTCATTTCTGGAGCTGGTTTTATTGGCTGATTTTTCTTTTGGTCATGCGTCATCTTTTCCAACTTGTTTACATGCCTGACAGTTTTGGATTGGATCCTGTGCCTTGTGAGTTTTAGATTTTTGGTTGCTAAATTTTGTTACTTTTCTTTAAATAGTGTTGGATTTTCTTCTGCTGTATATTTAAATTACATGAAATCAGCTGGATGCTTTCAAGCCGTGCTTTTGAAATTTTTAGCATAGGTTTAGAGTACCTTAATTTAGCGGATGTTAGCCCCACTATTGAGGCTTCTGAAAGTTTTGTCTGATATCCATCCATCAGGAAGTCTTTCCACTCTGGTTTGTGGAAACAGCAACAATTTCCAGCCTTGTATGAGCTCTGGAAATTGTTCTGCCCACTTCTATGCAGTGGTTTGTTTCCTAACCTCAGATAGTTTCCTATCAGTACTCATCAAAAGTCTTAAGTGGATCTTTCTGCAGATTTCTGAATTTTTTTTCTCTATGTAGATTACTCCTCTCTAATATTCCAACCCACAAATTCTAGCCATGTTGGTCTCCTGAAACTGCAATTTCTGCCTCCTAAACTTGGTGAAATTTTAGGCTCTATCTGGGTTCTCTCTCCCTGCACTGCATCCTGGAAACTGCTTCCAGGTTATAAGCTGATGCAATTGAAGGGCTCATCTTGATTTGCTCTTTTCTGGGATTGTATCCCTGTGATATCCGTTGTTTAATTTCTGAAAATTATTATTTCATATATTTTGCTCAGTTTTCTAATAGTTCCTGGCAGGAAGGTAAATCTGGTCCCCATTATTTCCTCATGACTGGAGAGTAAATGTCATTATCAGTTTTCTTTCTTTCTTTTAAATTTGAGCCATTCTATTAGGTGTGTATTAGTATTTTATTGTGGTTGTAATATGCATTTCTCTGAAAACTAATTATGTTGAGCATCTTCTTATATGCTCATGTGTCATTATTATATCTCTTTTGATAAAGTATGTCTTCAAAGCTTTCACTCAGTTTTAAAATTCTGAAATTGTAAAATTTCTTTATATATTCTGACTAGCAGGCTTTTATCAGGCGTTTGTCTTGCAAGTTTTTTCTCCCAGTCTTTGGTATGACTTTTCACTTTTTTAGCAGTGATTGTCAAAGGGCAAAATATTTAAAATTTGGTGAAGTTTAATATATCAATTTTTTCTTTTATAAGATTCATGCTTTTGTAGCTTATCTAAGAACTCTTTGCTTAACACACTAGGTCAAAAAGTTTTGCTCCTATGTTTTCTTCAAGAGATTTTATAGATTAGTTTCTACACTTACATCTATGATTCATTTCAAGTTAATTTTTGTGTATAATCTGAAGTAAGCATCAAGGTTTATTTTTCCCATAGAGATGTTAGTTGTGCCAGTCAATTGTTATAAAGGTTATCTTTACATTGTTGAGTTATTTTGACAATTTGTCAAGTCAGAGTATCTCATTTTCCCATTCACTCTCATGCCTGCCTACCTTTCTCTTTTTCTCCTTAGCCCTCACTTCTCTCCATTCATCTGTCCCTCCAACCATCCATCCATTTATCTATTCATTCATCTATTCACCACTCACCCATCCATTCACCCACCTGCCTATCTTCCCTCTTGGTCTAGAAAAAGTTGAAATCTTCACATCAGAATGCTCAGCTTTTAAAGACAGAAAACCCTTAACCCTGATATTTCCATAAGCGGTAGAGGGAATAGATCATGTGACTTCTAACATCTATCGTGTGTTTAAAAAAACAGCCAGATAATTTTACTGGGTGGTTGCTTAAGCCCCTAAACAATAGTTTCCTTTTATCGAGAAACTTTAAAAATATTAAAATGTCATACTATAGCCTAAAAGGCAAAAAGATGGAAGTCAAGACTATTTTTATTCAATGCAAAATAATGCCAAATGAATTTAGACTTATGGAGTGATCTGGAGAGGGAAAGTCCATATGAAATCCATATAGTTTTATAATTACCTTTTGGAAAAGCATTTCCTCTGAGACAGTTTGAAATTTTGTATAAAAACCTTTTTGACAGTTTGAAGGATCATTATTTTAAGAAAATTGTTATACTTCACTAGCATTCATTTTTCTCTGAAGCTTTACTGCCTTTAATTGCACATTAAACTGTATCAACTTTAAGTATCAAAAGGGGAAGGGGGAAAACACCCATCTGGAGTTTGTTTCTGTTGGAGGCAAGATTTCTAATTGCACTTGGTTGTACTCTTGCTAACTCTATTGTTCATTCAAAGGTTTTCTGTTTGTTAAATAAACATAATATTAGAATATTGTGTCTAGCCTTTTATTTGAAGGAGTTTATAGTTTGAAAGAAAAACCACTTTCTTGCCCATTATCTTATTGGACCTCATAACATTCATCCATTCATTAGAAAAATATTTATTGAGTGTCAATATTCTACTGGGCACTGAAAATACAATGGTGAAAAAGATGATTTTAAATTTTATTTATTTGATGATGTTTGCTAAATGTGTATCTCTAGCCTGTATATCTTCTCTTGAACTTCTGAGTTCTGAACATATTCACCATTTACTGTTGGATTTCTAATATGTATTTCAAAATTAGTTTATAGGTCTAAAACCAAACTCTTCATCCTTGCCTTCACCCTTATTCTCTCCTAATCTTTCCATCTGTTCATTTGTTCAGGCTACAGCCTGGGAGACGTTGCTAATTCTCTCTCCTCCCCACTCCACATTCAATCTGTCAGGAGATCTTGGAATCAAAGTTTGTGTACACGCTGCCACTGTTATCACACCACCCAAATCACCTTCATTTCTTGGCTGGATCACTGCTCTAACCTCACACTGCTTCCAGCAAAGCTCATCTTCAATCTTGTCAGCTCATAGCAGCCACAGTAGAACCAGCCAGCCTTTTCATCTCAGTCAGAATAAAACCAAAAGTCTATACTATGAACTATTCATTCTGTCCTCTTCATTTCCTCCACCTGTGCACCAGCCACACTGCCCTTGGAACAACCAAACTGGGCCTTTTCCCTTGGGGGCTCCCACTTTCTGGGATACCCCAGCTCCAGGTCTTGCTTCTTCACTTTCTTCAAGTCCCGTTAAAATGTTGCATACTCAGTGGCCTTCCCTGGCCATCCTGTATAAATTTCACCACCTACCCTGTATGATCCCATTTAATTCCCATATCTATTTCTTCAAAACACCTATTGCCACTGGACATGTTACAAAGTGATTTGCTTATTTGCTTATTTCAAGGCATATTTGCTTATTTCCAGGCCTGACTTCTCTATCTAAAAACAAGGACTGCATCTCCTTACTTTACTTACTGACATATCCCCAGGGCATGGGACAATATCTAGTACCGAGAAGTCACTAAACAATATTTGTTAAATGAA
Organism: Homo sapiens; assembly: GCF_000001405.40. Classification (NCBI taxonomy): domain Eukaryota; kingdom Metazoa; phylum Chordata; class Mammalia; order Primates; family Hominidae; genus Homo; species Homo sapiens. Next base: position 58,954,673 of record NC_000014.9, read on the forward strand.
TTCATAAAGAAATAAAATTTCTTACCCTCATAATTTTTATACCCTAACTGGGGGAGACAGGCAACAAACAAAAAAGCAGAGTTTAGGGAAGAAATTAGAACTCGGTGATGTGACAGAGGCAGCTAGGTGTTGAAAGGAGACCCTTTGGATAGGATACTTCTATGAGAGGAGACACTTAAAGCAGGATCTGAATAACAGGAAAAAGCCAGCCTTGCAGCATTTTCATTTTATGGATCAGAAAACTGAAGCTACAAGAAACCATGTGCTTTTTGCATCTGTTGAATAGTAGAAGTGAATTTATAAACCTAAACTCTGACCACTCTTTGTTCTTCTTTCATGTTAAACTTCAAAGCCTTTCACAACTAAAATGACTAAAATACAATACTTATTTTTTAAAAAAAAAAGCCAGAAAAACAATCCAGCCTATCTCTCTGCTAACTTTAAGGCAAGAATCACCACCCAGTCTAGGCTGATTGGCAGCTGGCCACAAGGAGACAGTTGGAAAATATATTTAGTTTTTCCTGTTTCATTTTATGTTTAACTTTTGCGTTTTAAGACTAGTGAGCATGGAGCTCAGTCCTAGAAAAAAAGAAAGTCTGCAATTGTTCTCATTCAGACAGCTACTTCTTAAAAGTCATTTCTCTTAATTCCATGAAATACTCCCAGAGGAGTGACCTCCTTCGGTTGCACAGTGCTGAGCTTGTCTTCGTGTTTCTGGAATGCTGCTCCAGGATTTCTTTTTCAAATGGTCAAGTCATGCTGGTTGTTTTTAAGTCCTCAGAGCACTCTCAGCCTTTTTTTTTTTTTCCCTTTCAAACACAGAGAGCAATGCAAGACTGAATCCTTCCTGGTTTCATTCCTAATTCCTGCTGCAAATGGTAATCCTGCCTTGGGACACTGAGGCTCCCCTTTGCTTTGCAAATAGTCTGTGAACCTTTAGGAAAGCATGATTGATAACACAGTCTGAAAAAAAAGGAAAAGGAAAAAAATACCTACTGAGATGACTAGGCTTGAAGCCTAGTTTGGAATGCACCCAACAGCACAAAACCTTGAAAAGCAGAAGCAAAAATTCAAACATTTGCCGACCCCAGTGCTTAGTAATTTACCACCTTACTACCTCATGTTTTCTTTCTCTAGTTTTCATTTTTATATGCATGACTTAAGTAATTCCTAGGCTTATTTCCAATGATACAATGCAGAAAACAAGTTGGGAGAGAATCAGGCAAGGAACACACAATTCCTAGTGTAAATGAGTTTCAGAATGAACACAGAGAAAAGGACATTCTTCTTTTCTCTTTCTTTCTTTTATTCTGTTTTTGTTGTTGTTATTCAAAAATAAGAAAAGTTGATGATTGGTTGGTGCAATGTTTTAGTCAGGGGTTCTCCAGAGAGACAGAAATAATAGAATATATAAAGAGAGAGAGATGTATGAAAAGGGATTTATTAGTGGAATTAGCTACTCAATTATGGAGGCTGAGAAGTCCCACAATAGGCTGTTCATAAGCTGGAGAACAAGGGAAGATGGTAGCATGGATTGGTCTAAGTCCAAAGGCCTGAGAACCTGGAATTCTGACACCTAAGGGCAGGAAAAGGAGGATGTTCCAGCTCCAGAGGAGAGAGACTCATTAAGAGAGTCTTATGAAGACTAGGTTTAAGGTGTTATTAAGAAAAGAGATTAATAAGGGCTCTCCCTGTGAGAAACAGAGATGGATGTATTTTAGAATTAGAGGAACAGGAAATGGTTAGTTAGGAAGCCCAGCTGAGAATGTTCTAAGCCACAATAGATAAAAGGAGAGTGTTGAGTAATCACTTGACATCTCAGGGCCTAAGATGCTGGTGGGAAGGGAAAGAACAGGGGAGCTGAACATACAGAGATTCAGAGTGTGAAAGTGTGTGTGTGTGTGTGTGTGTGTGTGTGTGTGGTGTGGTGTGTGTGGGGTGTGTGTGGTGTGTGGTGTGTGTGTGGTGTCTGGTGTGTGTGTATGTGTGGTGTCTGGTGTGTCTGTATGCTTGTGTGGTGTCTATGTGCGCGCGTGTGTGTTTATGGGGGAGGGCCACTATATGAAATTGCAGGGCAAGTGTATGAGACTCGAATTGGCTTTGCTGATGGGGGTGGGGACTGCAGGTGGGCCTTTTGGCATTCCTGAAATAATGGCACTATTTCTGCTTGATGGAAATAATTTAGTGAAAGCACATGATTGCTACATGCAATTAGGAGTTGGAATAAAACATGATTGCTGTTTTCTTGTTTGCATGTGTGGGATTATATTATAATTAAATGGAATAGTAACAAGAGGTGTGTGTAAATTATATTCCTGGCTTGCATGAAGGATAGAAACCAGCAGAAATAGGCCAGGAGCAGTGGAGGCTATTGGGCGATTTGTTCCAGGAAATTCTGACAACTCACTGGGAAGCTGAAACTGCTGGGGACTTGGCTGTTCAGGTAAGAAAACAACCACGATCTTGGCTTTGACTCCTCAGGGGATGACGCTCTTCCAGTTGATGGAGAAGCATGAGCTCCTATGATTAGATTGAGAGAATTTTTGGAAGAGGATTATCTTGTCGATATCAGATTATGCTTTGCCTAACACGGTTTCCAGTGAGAGCTCTGTTCCTTTGGCATATAGATTTGATCAAGGTGACAGTGTTCACTCACATCCCTATCAGCTAATGATATTCTCACATTAGTCTTTTTTTTTTTTCTTGCTGTCTTTCTTTACTGTAAAGCCAAGGAATAACTAGTTAATTGCGCCTTGTTAGATGTTAACTGTTATTAGCCTAAGTAACTTGGGTCTCAGGGTGTGAGCATGAGAATCCAACATCCACAATAGGTAGATTTATGGTTAACATTTGGTGCATCATGATGTTATTAAACCAGAGAATTGACCCAGTAAGAATATGATTTGGGGAACAGACATGTCGAATTTGAAGTACCAACAGAACATCCAAATTCCAGTGTCCAGGAGATGTGGTATGTCCATATGTAGAGCTAAAGAAATAAAAATGGATGGGGGATCAAGATTTCGGAATCATCAGCATATTTGAGTGATGAATCCAAGCCATAGCAGTGAAAGAAAAAACCAGGATGAATGGAGAAACTGAGAAGCTGGTTAAAGATAAATCATTGGGTAACGCCAATTTTAAGGGTGAGTGGAGCCAGAGGATCTCAAAAAAAGAAAGTGTTGTGAACTAAATACTTGTGCCCCACCTCCCCTAAAATTCTTGTTGAAACTGAATCCCTGGTGTTATAGTATGTGGGGCGGGGACCTTTGGGATGTAATTAGGTCATGAGGGTGGAGCCCCATGGATGGGATTAGTGCCCTTAGAAGAACAGGCCAGAGAGCTATCTCACTTTCTTTCTGTCACGTGAGGACACAAGACATTGATAGTCTGCAACCTAGAAGAGAGCCCTCATGAGAAACAACCATGCTGGCACTCTGATCTCAGACTTCCAGTCTCCAGAACTATGGAAAATAGACTCTGCGGTACTTCATCATATCAGCCAGAACTAAGACAGAAGAAGAAATCAGGGACAGTTGGAAAAGTAGGAGAAGCTGGTGTCAGGAAAGTTAGGAGAGAAGTTTTACGATATAGGGAGAGAGTGATAGTATCGATGCTGCAAAGAAGTCCCAACACAATAAGACATAGAAAAAAGACGGAAATTCAAATGGATGGAATTTCAAAGTGGTAAATAGAATAAAAGTGCCAGACCCAACAGGTATACATCTAATTTTTAAAGATGACTCAAGCTGTTATGATTCTACCCAAGATGAAGTTGAGCCAGTCTGTGATTTTACTCCTCACCAGTATCTTCTGTGGTGGTGTCCATTTTGCTAGCTCCTGATTTTTGGCTCTGATTATAGCTCCTGCTCTTTTTCTATTTGGACACCTGGACATGGATGTCCGCTTCCCTGGGAGTACCAGTTACACCCTTTCCAAGTTGTCTGGTAAGAACCTCCTTGGACCATCTGGTTTCAGCCTCCTTGGGCAGGGGAGAAAATGGGTCCATTACCTACAAGGTAGTTGGACAACATGTTTAGTGGGGTTGGAGGAGGCAGTCAGGACTGAATAATGGTGTGGCAAGAGCAGACATCTAGAGAGTACAGTCTCATAACCCTTGTGCCCCGAAAGGCAGAGGGGCAGATGTGGGAGATAAAGGGACAAATGGGCCTTGTGTGCCACTACTGGGCAATGTTGGCCTGATCAAGGAGGCTCTCTAACTTCCTAGTCCTCCTGCCATGGTGGGTTTTGAAGGAAGGAGTGGATTTTGAGGAGCAGAGTCAAAGCCAACTGATCGAATATGGCTATAAAATAATAAGAATCTTAAGACTCACCTTGGGATTTATACATCTGCCTGAACATTTTCCCACCTCCAGGAGTCTCCTTCCATTGTAAAGAGGTTCCTTGTTCCAGGGAGGCACTTATTATTCTGAATGCCTTTGGGCTCTTCATACCCTTCAAGGGTTCCTTCATCCCATCTTATATTAGTTTGTTATTGGTGCATAACAAATTACCACAAACTTAACTTAAAAGTAACACCTAATATTAGCTCATAGTTCTGCAGATCAGAAGTCCTTGTGGGCTTGGCTGGGTTCTCTGCTCAGCTCAAATCAAGATGTCAGCTGTGCTAGGCTCTAATCTGGAGGCCCTGGGGGAAGGATCTGCTCCCAAGCTCAGTCAGGTGGTTGGCAGATTCAGTCCACTGGCTGTGAACTGAGGGCCACAATATTCTAGGGGCTGCTCAGATTTCTAATCATGTGGCCCCCTCCATTTTCAAACCAGCAATAAGTGTCAAGGCATTCTTCTTTTTGTTGTATATAATTGACACATAGTAATCGTACATGTTTGCAGGATACATTGTGATGTTTCAATACATGTATACACTGAATAATGATAAACTCAGGGTAATTAGCATTATCATTTCTTTTTGGTAATAACTTTCAAGATCCTCTTTTCTAGCTCTCTTGAAATATACAGTATGTTGTTATCAGCTATAGTCACTCCACTAGGTAGAACATCATTCTTATGCTTGGAATCTCTCTTACTTCTTCTCCCAGCTAGAGAATATTCTCTACTTTTTTTTTTTTTTTTTTTTTTTTTTTTGAGACAGGGTCTCACTGTCACCCAGTCTGGAGCGCAGTGGTGTGATCTCGGCTCACCACAACCTCCACCTGCCAGGCTCAAGCTATTCTCCTGCCTCAGCCTCCCAAGTAGCTGGGATTACAGGCACTCACCACCACACCAGGCTAATTTTTGTATTTTTAGTAGATATGGGGTTTCACCATTTTGGCCAGGCTGGTCTGAAACTCCTGACCTCAAATGATCCACCCGCCTCGGCCTCCCAAAGTGCTGGGATTATAGGCGTGAGCCACCAGGCCCGGCCCATTCTCTACTTTTAAAGGAATCATGTAATTAAACCTGACTTACCTAAATGATCTCTCTCTATTGTAAAAAGGAATGATTAGTACTTATATATGCAAAGTCCCTTTTGCCATGTGCTATAGACTAAATGTTTATGTCACCCGCCTCCCCCAAATTTACAGGTTGAAATTCTAAGCCTCAATGGGATGGTATTTGGAGGTGGGGCCTTACGGAGGTGATTGGGTCATATGAGCAGAGCCCTCATAAATGGGATCAGCGGCCTTACAAAAAGGCTCCAGAGAGTTTCCTTGCCCCCTCCCACCATGTGAGGAGACGGTGAGAAGGGAGCTGACTATGAACCAGGAAGTGGGCCCTCATCAGACACCAAATCAGCCAACACTTTGATCTTAGACGGTCCACCTCCAGAGCTGCGAGAAATCAGTTTCTGTTGTTTATAAGCCACCTTGTCTATGCTGTTTTGTTACAGCAGCCTGAACAGACTAAGAAACCATGTGACTTGATATAATCACAGGAGTGATGTCCCATCATATTCACAGGGGAGGGGATTACACAAGATGAGTGCTTTTGGGGTCATTCTGAGACTTCTGCTACCACACTTTCACAGCCTTCATTCTTTTCAATGCCACCAGTAGCACCAAATTTTTCAAAGTAGATCTCCTCTTTTGGACACAACCAAAAGTCGTTTAGTGAATAAGATGGGTGAACAATTTTTTATTTTAAAAATGGCTTTGAATATAAAGGCATATGAGTGTTTTCCTTGCATGACCCATAAGCAAGATCTGAAAGTAATTTCAACATGAAAGTTTTCCTATTTCACATTTCATTATGCTACTGCAATATTTTCTCAGTGTATTGGGGCAAAAAAATATTCGAATGGAGGCATTAGTATATTAAGCCCAAAATTCCCTTCCCAGTTTTAGACTGGTCTCCTGAGTTCAACATTTATTCATTTTAACCATGGAATTTGTGTCTTAATTTTCCTTTCCCTTCCATCTGCAAGTAACACTGGGCCAGAGGAGTAATATTCTTGTCTAGCTCAGCAATTCCACGGAGGAGCAAAGCCTCCTGGGCGCCATTTGGAGAGATAGTGAGAGGCAGGCATTTGCGTTTCTGTGGGGTTTGGACAGGCTGTGCAGCTACCACAGGTGGGTGGTCCAAATGATCTGCAGACAGTTGAACTCCTCGGGGTTTTGGGTCCTGGGATATGCCTAATATTTCAAAAGCAGCTCCATTCTGGATGGTTTTCTGGAGACAAAACCTCAGAATCAAAAATGATCTCATTAAAACAAGGAGAGGTAGCTGAAGCCAAGGTCCCAGAGGGAGTTGTTTTTCCTTGGACTCCATTTATTTTACTTCCTTCAGCCAAAAAATAAGATAAATAAATAAATTTAGAAGCCTACATGTTTTCCTTAGAACTTAAGAAACTGCCTTCCTGCAGCTCTCCCCTCTCTGCTTTGGAGCTTTGTACACATGCGTCATATAGGGAGAGGGAGGGACGGCAATGGGGAGAAAGAAGGATGGCCTCCACTCACCAAACCTGCAGGATCCAGTTATAGAGACCAAAGCAGGAAAACCCTGGGTGAAGGCTCAGTGTTACATAAATGTGTCAAATTCCATGACAAAAAGGGAGAAGCACCATACATCTGACAACCATCTTAAAGAACAAGGTGATACAACCCACATATTAGCAGCAAAATTTCTTAAATTTGCAAGGTTAGGAAGACATGCATTAAGTAGATGAAAGGAAGACGTAATACCTGGTTAACAGGATGAATGCTCCTTCAAGAGACTAGCTTAGTACAATAATGGGAATATTCTTATATCTATATCTAGCTGGATATATAGATATATAGATGTATAGATATCTATCTATATAGATATATCTATATATCTAGATATCTATATATAGATATATCTAGATATCTATATATCTATATATATAGATATAGATATATCTATATATAGATATATCTAGATATATAGATATCTATGTAGATATCTATATATCTAGATATAACTATATAGATATATAGATATCTACATAGATATATATCTAGATATATCATAAATCTATCTATATCTATATATAGATATATATATCTGTATATACATATATATCTAGATATATATAGATATATATCTGTGTATACATATATCTATATATAGATGTATGTATCTGTATATAGATATGTCTATAGATATATCTATAATATCTGTATATAGATATATCTATAGATATATCTGTATATAGATATATATATACACACATATATAGATATATATCTCTATATGCACATATATATATCTCTATACGCACATATATAGATATATATCTCTATACGCACATATATATATATCTCTATACGCACATATATAGATATATATCTCTATACGCACATATATAGATATATATCTCTATACGCACATATATAGATATATATCTCTATACGCACATATATAGATATATATCTCTATACGCACATATATAGATATATATCTCTATACGCACATATATAGATATATATCTCTATACGCACATATATAGATATATATCTCTATACGCACATATATAGATATATATCTCTATACGCACATATATAGATATATATCTCTATACGCACATATATAGATATATATCTCTATACGCACATATATAGATATATATCTCTATACGCACATATATAGATATATATCTCTATACGCACATATATAGATATATATCTCTATACGCACATATATAGATATATATCTCTATACGCACATATATAGATATATATCTCTATACGCACATATATAGATATATATCTCTATACGCACATATATAGATATATATCTCTATATGCACATATATAGATATATACACATATATATCTATATATATACACATATATATCTATATATATACACATATATATCTATATATATATACACATATATATCTATATATATATATATGTATTGGATTTTTCTTTGTATGTGATTAAGATTTCCTCTCTACTATCCCACATCTTATGTAAACTGGCATTTTTGATTTCATTTTATCAATGTGCTGGCCCTAAGATACTTTGCCTAAACTGTCACTGAAACAAATTAATTAAATTAAATATTTAAATAAATTAATTAAATATTAAATATAACAAACTCTTCCTTTTGCCATTTTTCCTTTTCCTTTCTTTTTCTGACCCAGGATAAATATTTTCATATTTAAGTAGGACACAGTCCTCTCAGTAACAACTTCAAGCAACTCAGTGGATAGAGAATTTAATCTTGAGTGTCTCTGAAAATGAGAGCTAAAACTTAGTTTACCATCTATTTAAAAAGTACTTTCAAAATCCTTTGTGACCCGGAGATTTAGCTGTCAAGAAGTAAAGAGAGCAAACAACTTAGAAACAGTATAATGTAATGATTGAGAGTATAACTTCCAGGTCAGACAGACCTGCTAACAAATCCTGGCCCTGCCTCTTATATCTGTGTGTCATTGGGTAGATTACTTCGCCATTTTGAGCTGACTTCCTCCCCTATAACTGGGGTATAATGATAAAGAATACTAAATAAGGGAATGTGTAAAACTAGAACTCAGGAAACACTCAAATATTAGCTGCTAATATTATTTTCCCAACTCTAAAAACTTCAGGCACAACTATTTCAAAGTTGGGTTTTTCAAACTTGGTGATTTACCAAAAAAAAAAAAAAAAAGAAAGAAAAAAATTCTCCCAAAATAAAAACCAACTTACCTTAAGAACTGGCTCATCAGACTGGTGGAAGAAGCATCTTCTCGCTGAACTGCGTTAACTTGAACCCTGAACTTGAACCTTTGCCTCAAGGGTCTAAAAAGAATTTCATCCTCTGTTGCTCATCCAAATATTTTCCTCACTGACTTCCTTTTCTTTCCGTAAACCACCCACCAGTTTGTCAATATAGCATTGACAGCCATCTCTGTTTGTCTTGGCTGATTGATTTTCCTGAGTACCATTAGAAGCATTAGCCTTCACCTGTCTTAGCTGGTTAATTTGGTTTGTAATGGCCTGGAATGCTCTTATGTTTACCCTGGTGGAAGAGGTTAAGTTAGAGCCCAGGTCTTGTCCTGTTAGTGATAATGTCTTGCCTTGATATACAACCCTAGCAAATAAGAAATGACAAAATGGCACTAAACATCTTTCTCTCTGGGCTTAAAATTCATTACCTCAATTCAGAAAGCTGAAAGAAGAGAGACAATATTTTCTGTATGTTTTTACAGGTATAAAACCTGTAGGTAATTATGTGGAATGCCAGGAAAGCAGAATATGGATTTTTTGTAGCATGTTTGTTTTTATGTAAAAGAGTATTCGTGGATATCCTGGAGCGGAGGTTGGCAAATTCTGACCCATTAGCCAAAATCAATCTCCCGCTTGGTTTGTAAAAAAAAAAAAGTGTTACTGAACACAATCAGGCTAGTCTGTTTACACACTGTCTGTGCCTTCTTTTGTGCTACTGATATAGGAGTTAATAAGAAATTATTTAGTGGGGGTAAAAGAGTTCTCGGTAGAATTTCTTTCATAAAAAGCAGCCCCCAGACCGTTTCTTTTCTAACAGAAAGCAGCCTAAAAAAATCAAGCCGCAAACATAAATAAACAAGCTGGAAGCTTGCATAGGTAAATGCTGGCAGCCGAACCTGGAAGTCAGGTATATCGAACATGGCGATTCCCTCCTCCCTCTGCTTGTCGCCACTTGTGCAGGTGTCATGGCTCCGGTCAGGTGGAGGCCACCTTTGCATAATAAAATATTAGGGTGAGACAGCCAGTCTCTTCGTGGGCTATGTAAATGGAACGCCTGGTCAAACCAATCCCCTGGGCCCTATGTAAATCAATCACCACCTCCTCAAGCCCCTCTATAAAATCAACCACACCCCACCCTAAACCCAGAAACCCGCTTGAGCGCTTCCTCTGCATGAGGAAGCTCTCTCTCTTTTCTTTCGTTTTTCTATTAAAACTTTTCCCCTCTTAAACCCACTCTATACGCGTGTGTCCATATCCTTAATCTTCTTGGTGCCAGACGACAAACCTTGGGTATTTCCGCAGACAACGATGCCACTTCACTACAATAGCTGAATAGAGTAGTTGCAACAGAGACCTTGTGGCCTCCAAAGCCTAAAATATTTATTCTCTAGCCTCTTATGGTAGAAGTTTGCCGGCCCCTGTGCCTTTAAAGTGAGATGAAGCTTCCTCAAAGTCACTATTGGTTTTCCTGGAGTGCTTGTCCATCTGGTATGGATACAGTAGCTATATGACAATTTCCTGGGTTAGTCCTATCAAATATTATTTCCCTATTGACCTCATAAGTATACACGAGGAAATTTATACCAATTTGAGAGTAGGTTTTGTTCTTTGGGTTAAAAAGCAGGGCCACCATGGACATAAATGGTAGATTTCCCATGGAGGATGAGAAAATAAAAATTGTTTGCCAACGGTCACAGGCTACAGTGATCACTGTGTTGAATCAATGTGATCGTTATTAGTCCTGAGGCTTTCTGAGTATCTTGAAAATGTCTGCTTCCTGCAGTTTAGCTCTTCATGTTAGAACATAGGTGGGAATTTTTATTTTCTTCAGCCACAGAGAAAGTAAGGAAAATTTAAATGAGTGAATGTTCCCCAGCCTCCCTTCTCACCTATGCCTAAGGCTATGAAAGCATGTTTACAAGAAGTATGCTTCAAGAAAACAGGATTCTTGACATGAACAGGGCCTAAAAATGTTATTATCTTATACAAGATAGGTCGATAACAGGGCACTTTGAGAGAGTACTCTACATCTGTTCAGGAGCATTTTTTAGTGACTGTGGGATTTATGGTGACAGGTAAAAGAAAGTCTATTAAAGTAAACCAGTTAGCCTAAGAAGAGAACAGAGATAATTGAAAGAGGAGCATTGTTGTGGAAGGAAAGATAAACTCTCTAGAAAATTTTTATTGTTCCGTTGCTTTCAATACATAAAAAACACACAAAAGATTCAAATATAGCATTAAAAAATGCACAGAAACAAATCTTGAGCATGCAAAAGTCACCAGCAAGTGTATGAACGTGATGTGTTGCCTGAAAAATATTCTTTGATTGCACAGCTAAACACGTGATTATTTCAGGCTGCCCCAAACTTAAGATGCCTGACTTAATAACAAATTAATTTTCTTATATAAGTGCCCCACCTACACCATAGAATTCCCTTTGCTGCCATCAGGAGAACCAATTGGAGCTATTTTGAGATCTTACAGCCTACAAGAGCAGAAAGCTCTAAAAGTTTGAAAAAACAAGAGCAGTTTAGTTAAGGAAGTTGGTTTGGGTGTGTAATTTTAAATTATGTCTATTATCCCCACCCCAGGAAAACATGGAATGCTAGGCCCAATCTTAGGGAAGTGGTGCAGCCCAGTTCTAAGGCAAGGATATGAGAAGTTGTATTTAATGGAGGAAATGGAACCAAAACCCAGGTATGTCACTCAGTTGCAGTATGAAAGCAAAATAGCTAGGTAAAGAGGTAGGAAGAATCTGGACACAGCACCATTGTAGGGCTGAAAAAATGGAGACTAGTAATGAGTAGAGGTGTGAAGTGGCAGGTGGAATTTGGTAGAGATGTGTTTGAGGAGAGACAAAGGTTGGGAAATTTGCTACTAGCCCTTCTGTTAAAGTATCTGTAGCCGTAGTTGAGAGAGCTCCAGAGCTATTAGTATTGTATCAGGCAGGGTCCAGGCAGGAGTCAAAATCCACAAACACTTATTTTAACAGGAAAAAAAAAAATAATTAACTGGACATTGAAGAACTAAAAAGGCAAAAATAGAACATAATTTATCAAAAAGCTGGCAAGTGATGAAACTAGATACTGCTTCTGCATCTTTGGGAACAAAAGGAGATAGGCTAGAAGGACTGAAAATTTCAGACCTCTCAGGAGGGGATTCTTAGTCTGCTTGAGCTGCCGAAACAAAATATCACAGACTGGGGGCTTAAACAGCAGAAACTTATTTCCTCAAAGTTCTGGATGCTGGAAGTCCAAGGTCAGAGTGCCAGACAGTTTGGTTTCCGGTAACAGCCCTCTTCCAGTCATGCACATGGCCAGTTTCTCACTGCGTGCTCACGTGGTGACCTTTCCTTGGTGCGTGTGCACAGAGAGTGACCTCTCTCTTCCTCTTCTTATAATACTGTTAGGGAAGCATGACCTAGCAGAGCCAGAGTGACACCATTTTAAAATCAACTCCATCTTAAAACTAGCAAGACACATTCATTGCCAGTTCCAACTCATGGCCCTAAGATGTTTGCAGCTAAGCAAGCAGCTTGATAAGGCCTGCTAGGACAAAATCCTACAGCAACAGAAAGTCCAGATGTCCCAGTTACCCATAACAATATATGCTTTCAAGATAATTATAGTTGTGTTTTGATGACTTACACACTAAAATGTCAAGGATAGATTTCTTTAAAGCAATAATATAATAAATTTTGTCATGCTGTCAGCACCCCCGCATGTAGGCAGAGCTTAGTCTTTACATAGATCAGACCCCAACATAAGAAAAACTTGAAGACAATGCATTCTCCACTTGCTTTCTGAGGATGCCCTACTCTGTAATATAAGTAAATTGTATGTTTTGCTCTCAATAAGCTCTCTCTCCTCACTGTACTCTGCAACTCACTTTGAATTCCTTCCTGCATGAGATCCAAGAACCCTCTCTTGGGGTCTAGATCAAGACCCTTTTTTTTCTGATAACAAAGCCACCGATCTTATTGAATTAAGGAACTACCCTTATGATTTCATTTAACCTTAATTACCTCCTAAAAGCTCTATCTCTAAATATAGTCACATTAGGTTAGGGCTTCAGCATATGAATTTTGGGAGAACACAATTGTGTCCACCGCAGGGGTGCTGGCTGGCCTGGTGCTGATGTAACTGAATCAAGGAAAGATGAGGCTGGTCTGTGGGTGCTGAACAAGCTGCAAACTGAGATCAACTGTCTCTCCTGGAAAGAAGTGCTGCTGCCAGGGTGAAGAAGCAAAGCTTGGTGATGTGGATAAGGCAGCATCCTTCCTTCTCAGGTCTTCTAGTCTCCCTCCAGAACTCCCAGCAAAGCAGAAATGTGGTGGGCAGCATCCCACCTCCAACATCACAAAGCGGAGTATGAAAGGGAGAAAGTGAAAGAGGTAAGGGCTAACTTACTAGTTCCATCATGCTGTGGCAAAGGCTGCTGGTTGCTTAAATTAACATCTGTTCTTCTCTTCATTCTTAATAATAGAATCCTAAAACTCAGCCAAAGAATATTTCTCAACCTTCCTTGCAGCTAGATATGGTCATGTGACCACATTTTGGCCAATAAATGCAAATGAAATTATTATGTGGGATTTCCAGGAAGTTTTTAGAGAGTTTCTTTGACCCTTCTTCCATCATGCTGCCCAGAACATGGATGTGATGTGATGGCTGGTGCTCTATCAACCACATTGGGCTGTGAGAACAAGAAACACTGAAGGATGGCAAGGAGCTATGGACCTTGACAATTTTGTCAAGTAACCATGCTAGTCTTAAATTGCTAACTTTCAGGTTTCTTTTATGTGTGTGGGGAAGATTAAGTTCTACTTTGTTTAAGCCTTTTAGGGTTTTTCTAGTATATGCACTCCAAACATTCTAACAGACAGGATACTGAGCTAGCTTGCATAGGTGGGTCCACCTTGCTTAAATGGTGGTTATCCCATTTCAAAGTATTTTCCCTCCTGCCACTTTCAATTTTAGTTGACTTTGTGTTTAAAGAAATTACTGAAAAATCCTTTTATTTGCATATTTAATTGGACTAAAATTTTTTCTTTTTTCTTTGTAAATTATTTTCCCTTCCTTCCTTCCTTTCTTCCTTCCTTCCTTCCTTCCTTCCTTCCTTCCTTTCTTTCTCTCTCTCTCTCTCTCTCTTTCTTTCTTTCTTTTTTTCTTTCTTTCTTTCTTTCTTTCTTTTTCTTTCTTTCTTTCACAGGGTCTCCCTCTATCATCCAGGCTGGAGTGCAGTGGCACAATCTCAGCTCACTTCAGCCTCAACCTCCTGGGCCCGAATGATCCTCCCACCTCAGCCTCCCAAGCACCTGAAACTGCAGGGGCACACCACTGCACCCAGTTAATTTTTTTTGTGTGTGTTTTTTGCAGAGATGAGGCTTCTCCATATTTCCCAGACTAGTCTCAAACTCCTAGGCTCAAGTGATCTGCCCTCCTGGTTCTCCCAAATTGCTAGGATTATAGACATGAGCCACTGTGCCTGGCCTAAAAATCTTTCTCTTAAAAGTGCAAATCCTTCTATGAGGATTAAGGGAACATGAATTATTCACAGTTTAATTTGTTTCATCAGATAGTTTTTTTTAATCCCTAGCCAAGATCAGTTGCACTGAAGAATGGGTGCCTTATGAAAATTGTTACTAATCCTTACAACAATCCTACAAGAAAAGATAGTTATCCCCATTTTACACATAAAGAAACTGAGGCTCAGAAAAGCTAAGTAAAGAACTTAGGACTCACTGTTAATAGGTGGTGGTGCTGGGGATTTGGAACACTCTTTTTTCACTGTACTACTGTGGCACCTACTGGACTCATACTATTGACATTATAATTATAACTTAATTGTGGATGTAATTAAATTATATTTTAATTTATGTAAACATTTATGTATATTTCTATGTAATCTATATTACATAGACTCAGCAAGCTCATCTGAGAAACTAACAACTATTACGAATACTATTTATATGGAGGAATACATTTTAAACCACCAATTGGAGACTGCCTATATTATTAGTGACAAAATGTGACCAAAATATTTTCAATAGAATTAAAAGTCTGGTTAGTTGCTTAATAAGCAAAGCAGAATGCACAACTAGAATGATGACATCTAGATGAAGTACGGATCTTTTTATTGAAAGTGTAACCACTTTTAAATGTATCACCATAGCTCAGATATAACTGAATTTCCTCCAGCTCAGGGCTATTCTCCCACATGGTCAGTGCGTGCAGGACTCCTGCTGAGGCTCATAGTCACTGCTGTTCCGTGGGAACTGATCAGAGGCCTCCACCTGGCTGGGGCTTTGGAGCTCTCCACTCCAAGATCTGGTTTAGGGACCCTTGCCTCTGGCCTTGGTGACTCCTCGGCAGACCTGTAGGCACTCAACCATAAGCCACTTTCTACATCCCCTACTGGGACATGAGGATAGTTCTGCACCTCATCTGTGCTGTGTGCTGGTTTGGCAGAACCCAGAGGGGCCTGCGGCTGTCTCAGGCGCTGTCTCCCTAAATACAAAGGTGGCCACGTCCACTCCACTGTAGCTCTTCCGACCTGGTGTGAGAAACATTGTGAGTCAGTCCCTTTCAGCATTCCAGATGCAAATGGGGGCAAAGCTATTTAGCTGAGGGACTTTCCAGCCTGACTGGGGGTTTTTATCTGCCCTTCTCCAGCAGGGCTTTCAACCCTGGGAGGGGCGCGGAAGCAGCCAGACAGGGCTGAAAACTTTCACAGGAGCAACTAAATGTTCCTGATTTATCTCCCCTCACACTCCAGCCTCCTCCCTGCCCTGGAAGGCATTCTATCTCCCTTCTGTGGGGAAGGAGCTGCCGTGAATCCTGGGCCTGCATGTTTCCTGTATGTTGGCTGTGTGTACACTCCATGTTCTGCCCTGGGCTCTGGCCCAGTCTTCCACTAAGCTCTTTTAGAAATCAAAATAAAGCCACCTCTCTTTCATGCTTTTAGCTGTCACAAAACAAAAATGCTTTGGTTTTAGGTTATTATGCCTGCCATGACTTAATAAAAAATCATTCAGCAAGTCAGTGGAAGTCTTTGGTTGTGCCCTCCCCATGAAGCTGTGTATGCCCTTGATCCCCAGGTGGAGAACTACAGGGTAACTGGGTTAACAATCAGAAAGAAAGACTTTTGTTTAAAACCTCCGTGTATTATTCCATTACATAAGTAACAGAAGACAGCTTTTAAACTAGTGTATTTGTCTGCTTGGGCTACCTTAACAAAATACCACAGATTGGGCGGCTTAAACAATAGCAATTTATTTTCTGACAGTTCTGGAGGCTGGAAATCCAAGATCGGGGTGCCAGCAAGTTTGGTTTCTGATGAGGCCTCCCCTCCTGCTTGTAGACGGCACCTCTCCCTGGTGAATGCATAAGGAGCCACAGAGAGAGTGAGAGAGCTTTGATCCCTCTTTCTCTTCTTATAAGGACACCAATCCTATCAGATTAGTTCCCTCCCCTACTTTGACCTTATTTAACTTAATTACCTCCTAAACGCCTTATTTCCAATACAGTCACATTGGGGGATAGTGCTTTTAACATATGAATTTGGGGGAGTGGAGTGGACACAATACAGTCCCTAGCAGTGAAGTTAAGCAGAATAGGAAAGAATTTATTAGCAGAAACTGCTTCCAGTTCTCCTTAAACTTTTCTGGTCTCTCTTCTCAACACTTTTCTCATTCTTCCTGTCCCCTAATAATCACTGGGAGGCCCCAGGGATTGGTCACTGGCTTCTCTTTTCTCACTATGCTCCCTGGAGTATTTCTCCTGGACTCAGGATGTCAATTCCATCTATACACAAATGATTCCCAAATGTATGTCTTCAGTTCAGTGCTCTGTCCGCAATTCCGCACTCAGATAGACAGCTATTTACTTAATGTTATCCTTTTGGCTATCTGAAAACACTCTCAAAGTTGGCATTTCCAAAACCAAAGTCCTAATTTCCCCAAGTCCTCCTCTCTCCCCCCGTGTCTCTGTCTCTTCAGTTATCTAAAACCAAAGCCTTGTTGCCATCCATGCCTCTCTCATTTACTCACACCCCATACTCACACTTTTAGCAAACCCCATGGTCTCTACTGCAGAAATGCATCCAGAATCTGTTTGCTCAGTGTTACCACACAGGAGCAAGTCACCTTCATCTCCACCTGACTATTGCAGCAGCCTCCCAGTGGGTCTCCTCCTTGTCCATCTAGAGTTGATCCATATGATAGTCACAATGAGCACCCTAAAATGTGATTCCATTCACATAAGAACTCTGATCAAACCTCTTCAGTTGCTTCCTGTTGAAGCGACGTCATTGTCTGGGGTAATATCTGAGGTTCGTCGTCTCATGGCCATGGAAAACTAGGACGCAGACACACCAGAGTGAGGTTAAGAGTGGAAGTTTAATAAGTGAAAGAAAGAAGAGCTCTCTGTGCAGAAAGGGGTCCTGGAGAAAAAATGGGTTGCCAGTTCCATGGTGAAATGCATGGGATTTTATAGGCTAGCTTGAGGAGGTGTCTGATTTACATAGGGCACAAAAGATTGGTTGGACCAGGTGTGCCATTTGCATAGGGTGCGAAGAAGCTTGCGGTCCCACCTTAATCTTTTATTATGCAGATGGGTTCTCTACCTGGCCAGCCATGTTGCCTGCTTCTTTTACTATACACGTGGTGACAAAGAAAAGGGTAGATGGAGCCTCCATGTTGAACATACCTGGCTTCCAGGTAGCCCTTTTCTATTGGCACAGCTGCCAGCATTCTCCCGTGCAAGCTTCCAGCTTGCTTATCTATGTCTGCAGCTCGATTTTTCAGGCTGCTCTTTGTTAGAAAATAAATGATATTTGGGGTTGCTGTCTATTAAAAGGGAAGTTCTGCCGAGGACTCTCTTACCCTCACTATCTGCCTAAATAATTTCTTTTTAGCTCCTGTATCACTGTCTTGCTCAGAGTAAAATCCAAAGTACTTATCATTACTCTCAAGCTTCCTGTGGCAGGTCCTTGGCCACTGCTCTGATCTCTTTCCTGGCTGCTCTCTGCCTCACTTCTCTACCTCAGACATAATACTTCCTTTTTCTCAATCATGCCAAGCTCACTTCTCACTCAGGGCCTCTGCACTTTCTATGCCTTCTATCTGGAATGCTTTATCTTCAGATATTCGCATGGCTCACTCACTTACTACCCTCAGGTCTCCCCTGATACCACACTCCCTATTCTCCAAACCCTATTTTATTATCTTCCTTCTGTTAGACTATATATTTACTCTTTTATTTGTTTGTTGCCTGTCTCCCCACCTCCCCCACAACTCTTACTAGAATTTCAGTTTTATGAGAATGGGGGCTTTGTTTTATGGTAATTTCACAGTAATCCCATATTCTTAGCATAGGAACTTAACAAACAGTTTTTGCGATTAAATGAAAGAAGAAGCAAACAAATTAAGATATATTAGTTAGATATGGCTTTATGATAGATCACCCAAAACTCTGACTTAAAGCAATGAATATATGATTGCTTATGCATATATGAGTCAGATGGATGGGTCTACTGATCTGGGCCAGGCTTAACTGGTCTTGGCTGGATTTGCTCACAAATTTTTGATCAACTGGTAGGTCAAATTGGGGCTAGTAGGTCTAGGAAAGCCTCAATGCCTCATTCACATGATTGGCTCTTGGCTAGGACTGAAAGATTGACTTACATCTCTAATCATCCAACCAGCCAGCCTGAGCCTGAGCTTACTATCATTAGATATGGGATATGGGGGTGGGAGGGGGGTGGGAGGGGGTGTGGGTGAGTTTGGGGGTGGGAGAGAGAGAGAGAGAGAGGTGAGGAGGGAGGTATTGAAGAAGTATGGAAGGCTGCGGAAGGCTTCCTAAGGCCTAGGCTTAGAGCTTGTATGTCATTTCCACCGTATTTACTGTTAAATGTAAGTCAGGAGACCATCTCAGATTCAAGGGGTGGGTAAATATATTCCACCACTTGATGGGAGGAGCTACAGATCATACTGGGAAGAGTGTAGATACAGAGAGGGGTGAGAATTGCTGCTGTCTACACACATGATTCTGCCACATGAAATATCTTATGGAATCTAAGACGGAGTTCAACAATTAGGGCTAGGAGGATGTAAAATTCAGCTGTGGAATTTATGAACTTTCTAGATTTCTGATATTAAAGTAACTCTGCTTCCAGTTCCCAGACCCTGGATCTTGCAGTTCAAATTCTAGATTCCCGAGAGAAATAATTAGTCTAGCTTGGGTCAGGAGTTCCTCTTGGCCCTTCCTTGTTCCAATTCACACTGGCTAGAAGGAAGGATTCAATTTAGGTCCTGTGGATCAAGTAGCAATTATTAAAGACGTGGGAATTATTAAGGAAATTAGAAGATAATTCCCAAAAGAATCTATCATAACATCTAAATATGTTTTTAAAATAATAAAAATTTAAATTTATTGCACTTAAAATATTCAGATCCCATGAAATAAGTGGAAGAGATTTCTCTGAAGAGAGCCTTGCAAGGGGGCTGTGGTGAATTTAACATGACTCTGCCAGAGACACTAAAATGTTTAAATAAATTGAATTGCCGGTTAACTAAAGAGGGCTCAAGGCTAATATGGCATCAAGCTTATAGTATTATCCTTATTTCTCTTGCCTTCATTTGGATCTATGTGACATCTTTCTCGTGTTTGTTCAGTAGTCTTTGTTGAATTTTCCTTCAGCATTCAACTTAACTCTGGCGTTCTCTACACTTACGAGACAAAGCAATGAAGAAAACAACACTGGATGGTTTTAGGTGTCTTCGTTTTATATTGCTGCTATAATAAACTACCAGAGATTTTGTGTCTTAAAACAGTATGCATTTATTTTCTTAAGGTTATGGAGGTCAGAAGTCCAAAGTGACTTTCTCATGGGCTAAAATCACGATGTTGGCATGATTGCATTTCTTCTCAAAGCTCCAGGGGGAATATGCATTTCCCTGCTTTTTTTCCAACTTCTAGAAACCATCTGCACTCCTTGGCTCATGGCCTCTTCCTCACATCACTTCAACCTCTGCTTCTGTCATTATCACATTTCCTTCTCTGAGTCTGACTGGTTTACCTCACCCTTTCACTTATAAAGACACTTGTGATTTCATCAGGCACACCCTGATAATCCAGGATAATCTCCCATGGTCAGGTCTTTAACTTAATCACATCTGCAAAGTCTTTTTCGTTAAGGAAAGTAACATATTCAGAAGACCTGGGATTAAGACCTGGGACGTCTTTGGGGGAGGCATTATTCTGCCCAACATGCTAGGTAAATATAAACACCAAAGCAGTCCATCCCTGGCCACAAAGCTTCTACATTTTCCTCAGTATAGGAGGTTCTTACTAATAAATGTTTATAGAGCACTGGAGTATTCAACAAGTAGGGTTGTGCCCATAATTATTTGACTGATCCATCTCCTCAGCCTCCCAGATATAGGAATAAACTAAAATTAGCTAATTTTATATCATTATATTGTTGCAGAAATAGGGAGGTTTCCAGGGATGCATTCATCATCCAGCAATTGTTAAGCCACTCTGAATCACTGTGTGGTTCGTAAATTATTCTACAGCACTGGTAGACAGAATTGCCACTGTTGTCAAGTCTTAAGATGCTCTTTCATTTTTGGCGGGATGGCTTTGCCCTAGCTTTCTTCATTCATCACTAGAAATCATAATTCTTCATAAAGCCTTTAACCCTGCATCTGAATCTTCCCAAGAGAAAATCTCTACACAAGCTCCTCACCAGCACCTCTGGGCCTCTGGTTCTGGGTCATTATGGCACTCTGTAGGCCCTCAGCAATCTTGCAGACAATCTGTCTGGTTTGAGAATATTCATTGCAACTTAATTCACGTTGAACTGGCTTCCAGGGACTAATGTAGTGCTTAGAGGAATATTGCTAGACTAGTTGACTTTTTACAGAATACTTGCCTTATATACAGTCATGCCTTGCAAAGTATCTGAAGAAGTCATTCAGTCCTCCCCTGAGGACATTGTCCTGCCTTATAAAATCTACCCTGTCCTTTAAAGGCCACCTAAAATCTCATTCTGGGAAGTATTTCTGTAAAATTTCCATTCTCCTCATTGGAAGCATTTGATGAAGTTCAAGTACCAAAGGACGGTGCTTTTCAATCACATTTCAGGGTTGTAGAGCCAAAGGGCAGATGTTGACAGGTGGGCCCTAGGGAAAATGTGGCCGTCACTGCCAGGACAGCAAGTCCAAAGGAAGCTAGCTCATTCATCAAGGGGACTCAGGCAACGCTGGGAAGGTAAGATGGCCAAAAACCAGGGGATTCAGGATACAGAAAAGTAGGAGTGAGGAGAAGCTGGAGGGAATGGACAGTAGGAGATGATGAATGAACTCTGGAGACAAAGTACAAATATCTGTAGCATATTGTAATTTTCACTCCTAATCAGTCTGTGAGGTTAAGCTAGATTCATTTAAAATGGCTCAAATGTGCACTGCAGCATTGCTTAGGGTAGCAAAACCAAACAAAAAAATGTAAAGGGACTGATTAGATTATAATATATGTGATAGACTATTTGCTCTTAGTAAACTAATAAGGGAGATCTGTATGCTCTGTGATGGAAAGACTGCCATGGTATACCATTAAGTGAAAAAAAAAAGCAAGAGCAGAATATATACAGGCAGATAAATTCATGTATTTTTCCTGAAACGATGCACAAGAAAATGCTGACAGTGGTTACTTCAGGGAGTGATACTGGGGGAGATGAAGGAGGCTTTTTTTTTCCTGATTTTATACCTCTCCGTACTGTTTGAACTTTCTAATCATGAACCTTTATTTCTCTTGTTTTTGTTTTTAAATGTCAGCAGTGGTAATCTGGGTGCTGGGATTGTGGATCTTTTTTGTTTTCTTTGTACTTATTTGTGATTTTTAACCCAATAAATATTATTTTAAAAAAGAGAATAAATAAAGGAGCACAATAAGATAGACATCTCTAAACAAAATTATTCTCTTTCTTTTCTCTACTTTTAAAGCGTAATTATCTCCCTCTGGCACTTGTTTTTTATTTTGCATTATTTTCACACAGCTAGTGAATGCACTTATAGGACTGGAACCCAGGACTTCCTGACTCTAGAACCTGGACTATATTTTATATCAAGTCCAAATTAAACTCAATGGAATATTTAAATTTGGGCCTAACCTGCCTTGCATATGGTTAGGTGGTCTTCTCATCCACCCAGGGAAACCCATTTATGGATAAAAATATTTGCAGTCATGAAATGCAATTGAGTTGTCTTTTCTTCACAACTAGATTCTAATCTGTTTGTGAGCAGAAACCGTATCTTCCTTTTCATTAAAAATAGATTACTTCTTATCTGGAAGCTCATAGAGTAAATACTTAAATTCATAATGGAAGAAAAAGGAAGAATTTGCGTCTATATAAACAGCAAGTGCCCTATGGTGCCAATTATGTGATTCCACATAATGTTCATTTGTGAGGGGCTGCCTGTAGCACTGTTGAAAGGAACAGGATCAATCAGCAATGTCTGCTCTGGGACTGCCCTGGTTTACACCTGTTGTCATCATGCAATTTATCTCTCCTTTTTATTCTGTCCTGGTTTAGACAATAAATTAAACCATTCTAGCTCTGTGGGTGCAGGAAAGGGAAGTGGTAGTATATGTGCAATGTATGGGTCATTGTGTGTTAATTGTTTACATCTATAAATATTGTAAGCATTCAGGAGACTGGGTCAACTTCCAGGGAGAAGAGTCTTCACTGTGCAGATGAGTCATCTGGACTCCAGCAATGCAGCAGAAATGAGAGCAAAGGGACGGTGCATGAGCTGGAGAAGAGTAGAACTGGTCGGCACCTAGGTGACAAGCTCTCATCATAGGCACAATGGATTCTGGGCACAAAGGAGTAAGGGACCTTCCCTGAAGATGGAGTTGGGATTTGCTCTAGACCTGACCAGAATCTGAGCCTACAGATTCCAAGATTTGGTGATTTCAGCTGGGAAGGTCTGGGAAAAAAAGTTGCAGAAATGGAGCATCATTCTCTAGGGGTTGGGTAGCTGGAGAGATTTAGAACATAGAAGCTTCAAGAATATTAGCAGATATCACATGATTCAATAGCCTAAATAGATAGCAAGAGTTTACTTATTGTTTGCATTCAAATATTGCACAAATTGGCCAAGCAAGTAATCATTCCGTGTTTTACGATCTCTTCCAGAAATTACCCGTGAGGTCAGTGGCTGTTTTCAATGCTGGTTACCACTGAATGTACATATTTTCCATTGAGTTTCCCTAAGAGCTGGTGTACAGAATAGCACAGTGATGAAGAGCTTTGGGTCTGAGGGAGAGACAGACCTAGACTTGAGTCTTAAATCTGCCACTGAATAGCTGTGTGACTGGACAAATAACCCAACCTCAAAGCCTTGGGATCCTCATCTGTGGTAGTAAAGATGGTTGAGAAGTTTCAAGACGATAACAGAGAGCCTGGCACATAGCAAGGGCTGAATAGATGCAAGTTATGCCACTAATAGTAAAGACAATCATTTCCTATCTATATTCACATTGACCAGTGTAGTGTCTTATCTCTGCTGGACGTGCCCAGAATACCATCACCCTCTCTTGCATGTGATGTGGAGGGCCACTTAGACATGGCAGTTTCCATTGTGGTCTGAGGCTTGGGTCAATTGAGTAGAACTCAGCACCGCCAAACAGCTGGGAAGTGTCCTGGACGTGCATGCAGAACTGGAAACTGGCCTGAGGGAGAATAGTTGTGGCGATAAAGAGGTTGCTATTTTGGCTTTCTCACAGCAACAATTCACTGATGGCCCAGAGAGAGCATTTATGTCCACTCCCATTGCAGATACATTCCAGCTGTTTTCTGCTGAACTGCCCTTATTCCCCACCCTTGGATAGCACAAATATTTCTCCAAGGTATATCTTTTCTCCTTGAAAAGGAGAAGAAAAGAAGAAGGAAAGGAAAGGTGCTTTTATTCTAGTTACCTCCCAAAAAGCACATGAGAAATAATTCACCAGTCATTCACATTTCCATTTTCTCTCTTTTTCTCTCCCTATACCTCAAAGCTCTGGAAGACATGTGGCAAATGTACCCTGATAGCCATAGACTTGTCCCATAGCCATTTTTCCTTGTGACACTTCACAAAAATGCTGCACAATAGTTCCTGTGTGAATATGAGACAATGTCAAGAAAACCAAGAAAAAGGCAGCTGGCTCCACGGGTGGGTCTGCAATGGATCCCACTGGACAGAGCTTTTGCTCTATCAACTATAGAGATTGATGATACCATAGGTGAGTGGTATTGGGCTTGCAGATGGAGATAAGGGGCAGCTTCTTTGGCTGCTGTAGTCTTTAGGACCCAGTCTTCCCCAATATCCAGTAGGCTGAAGATTTCTTATCCAAAATTTTTTTCTTCAGCATTGAGAAGTCAGAGAATGGCCAAGATACATGTGATGTCAATAAATCTTTATTTCCTATCCCCTGCTCTGCTCTCTATGGCAATGGGCCTGACCCCTGAAGGCTGTAAGTCCTAGACTCTCACATCACCTGGCTTCTGCTTTTGAGCAACGAGAAGTGCTTATGAGAGGTGGCATGTGGGGCTGCAGGAGGAAGGGAGCACACAGGATAGCTTTCTGCTTTGTGTGACTTCTCCAGCAGTGGCTGCATCTCCCCTGTGGCTCGGCTTCTGGTGGATGGGCATGCCGCCCTGCCAGCTACTGTCGGGTGACCCTGGCTCTGGGCTCTGGCAACACCACTACTTTCTTTTTTCTCTCTCTGCTGTTGTTAATCTCTGGGTTGCCTCCTTATCTCCTGTTCCGCTTCCAACTCTTCCATCACCTATGTAACTAATTCCCTGCATTGATTCCTGTCTCCGCCTCCCCACTTTTTAAAAAATAGACTGGTTTCTTTGTTATTCCCTGACTGTTAATGAGTAGACAGATGGGAGAAAAATCAAGCACATTTAAATACTTTTCAAATAATAAAAGCAGTGAACATTTGTTGCTAGATTACCTTGGAAATAAGTCAGCTCATTTAATGTAAACATTTGGAGGCCATTTATAATTAGACCTTTTCTGTTTGAACAATTCACAATAGTTTTAAAAATTGAAAGGCAAGAAAAATGTAGTAGATGTATGATGTGGGAATAAAAGGCCTTCCAGCATTCCTCTTGACGCTGTTTGACAGAATTCCTGCCAGCTCAGCTCCTTCCTCCTCTTGCTAACCATGGAGAACAGGAGCAGGAACATGGGTTCACATAGCCAAAGGGTTCTGGAACTGCTAGAGTTCTTTTGTTCCTATACCCCAAGGCCTGCATGAGTGAAACAGGTTCATCTGCGCCAGGAAAATGATATGTTGTAGTAACCAGTTCCCTCTTCTTATTTCTTGATTCCATCAAGCCCTCAGTATGTTGGAGTCTGAGGTTTTGGTAAAAATGCAGAAAACATACTTTCTAATATTATCTGTAATTTTTCAGAGAAGAACCCTCATAAATGTTCAATACAACCTTTATATACAGGGTGCATAAAGTGCAGTCATTATACACATAGCATTTGTGATTTGCTGCTCTGAAAAGCATGCTTTAAAAACTAGAATTTCAAAGCAGCCTCCTGGAGGACATTTAATTCAACCTGAGACTTGGGTGCCTCAAGCTTGAGCAGAGCTCAGGCCCTGTATTGACTTTGCACACCTTCAGCCACAAGGGAGGAATTCACAGCAAACCAGTTTCTCACTATAGTTCCAATAAAATCAGAAGCAACCAGTCCAGGTCTAAAACAAGGCCTTCATTTATAGGAGAAGCGCACTATATAGAGTGATATTCAACTGCGGAAGAAGCCATCCTGATTCATTTGATAGAAACAGCCTTTTGGAATTTTCTGAGCACTCTTACATGTCCTCAGACCGTCTAAATGAACAAAACTGACCTATGGTTGTGTTACTTACCCATATTTATTAACAAAATGATCTTATACCTTCATGTTATCCCCAGAATAAGAGGTAAAAAGGTATATTTCAAAGAATCATTTCTGGATTTAAAAAAATTGTTTCTCATGCCATATCATAAGAGACACAAATTACTATGCAATTTAAGCAAGAGTGTTTCCAGTCATGCTGCTTAGAATTCTGCAGCTAGTGGGATGCTTATGTGACAGGATGATTTGTTGAGACTTTTTTTTTCTATTTTTTCCATTTTCTCTAGTTTCAAGCAGAAAGGCAGTTTTCTGCTTTCTCTCAACTCAGGGGATGTCCCCATCTCCTGCCTACAGCCTCACCTCATTGAGATGATTATGTTTTGGGGGGTGGGGTGCAAGGTAAGTGTGCACCCCATCTAACTGGCATATCTACTCATGCACATCCCTTTTAGAGTAAGGTCAGGGAGACAGTGGTAATTCCAAAAGAAGCCCAGTAACTTGCTCAGGGTCACATAGTAAGTAGCACAGTTGGGATTTGAAACTCTAAAATCAGTAATAAATAAATGTAAAGTAATAGTAAGTGTTAGCTGTGATTGTTATTAATATCATTATCTATATTACTAACCCTGTGACTGTGGGTTCCCTCCCTACAGCTCCATTTCCTCATGTATTCTATGAAATTATTAATGCTTCTTAGGATGTGTAGAGCTGATATGTGCAGACCAGAAAATCATGCATCTGAAATCATCATCATCACTTTGAGTACACTATCAATCCTATTCCATTTACTTATTCTTATTTCTCATCATTAAATAATACAAGCTACCATAATGTGTTCCTAAGCCACCATCGAAATCTATCAGTTTCTTCTTGTTCCATCTCCTGTTTTACCTTCCCCCTGCCCCCTTGATTCTTCTGCTCCTTGCCCCCCACCACCACTCCAACACACACATAATGCCTGGTAGGATGGTAGAAGGTAGAAAAAGTCCCCTATACACTGCTTCTGCCATCCACAATCGTGAATTCTTATTGTCACTATTGTTTGTTTGCTTATGTATAACAGCTTAATTTAGATGTATAATTCACATACTGTATATATTCATCCTTTTAAAGTGTACAATTCAAGATTCTTAATATACTAGAGTTGTACAGCCATCACCACTATTTACTTTTAGAATACTTTTATCAATCCCCAAAGAAACTCTATATAATTCTATATTTCATAAAATATTATCGGAAATATATGAGAAAATGTTGATTGAAAATATACATAGCTATCAGGTAATCTATAGAAAAAATACTTTTAAAATATTTATTTATTTATTTATTTATTTATTTATTTATTTGTTATTTCAGTAAGTTTTTGGGGAACAGACAGTGTTTGGTTACCTGAGTAAGTTCTTTAGCAGTGATTTCTGAGATTTTGGTGCATCCATTACCCAAGCAGTGTACACTGTACCCAATGTGTAGACTTTTTTTTGAGATGGAGTCTTGCACTGTCACCCAGAATGGAGTGCAGTGGCATGATCTCTGCTCACTGCAACCTCTGCCTCCAGGGTTCAAGTGATTCTCCTGCCTCAGCCTCCCAAGTAGCTGGGATTACAGACGCCCACCACCAGGCCTGGCTAATTTTTTGTATTTTTAGTAGAGATGTGGTTTCACTATGTTGGCCAGGCTGCTCTTGAACTCCTGACCTCGTGATCCGCCACCTCAGCCTCCCAGCATGTTGGGATTACAGGCATGAGCCACCGCGCCTGGCCCCAATGTGTAGACTTTTATCCCTCACCGCTTCCCAACCTTTACCCTGAGACGCCAAAGTCCATTGTATCATTCTTATGCCTTTGTATACTCATAGCTAAGCTCCCACTTATGAGTGAGAACATATAATGTTTGGTTTCCCATTCCTGAGTTACTTCACTTGAATAATGGTCTCCAATTCCATCCAGGCTGCTGTGAATGCCATTATTTCGTTCCTTTTTATGGCTGAGTAGTATTCCTTGGTATATACATATACCACAATTTCTTTATCCACTCATTGATTGATAGGCATTTGGGCTGCGTCTGTATTTTTGCAATTGCAAATTGTGCTGCCATAAACATACATATGCAAGTATCTTTTTCCTATAATGACTTCTTTTCTTCTAGGTAGATACCCAGTAGTGGGATTGCTGGATCAAATGGTAGATCTTTTAGTTCTTTAAGGACTCTCCACACCATTTTTCACAGTGCTTATGTTAGTTTACATTCCAACCAGCAGTGTCAAAGTTTTCCCTTTTTACCACATCCCCACTAATATCTATTATTTTTTGATTTTTTGATTCGGTCATTCTTGCAGGAGTAAGGTGATATTACATTGTGGTTTTGATTTGCATTTCCCTGATCATTAGTGATGTTGAGCATTTTTTCATATGTAGAACAAATACTTTTTAAAAACTAAGTAGTGTAGTTTGTGTCTTTTTAGTAAAACAACACAAAATGGAAAGCTCAGGTACATATCCTATGTTCCAGCAATTCTTTGTTCGATTATATGTGCACTAGCAATGCAAGACTGTGAACCAGGAGATATGTATAAGAGAGTTCACAGCAGCATTATTCATGATAACCTCAGACTGAAAACAACCAAATTGTCCATAAACAGTAAAGTATATAAACAAACTGTGGTATATTCAGAATTGATGCAACCTAACAATAAATCTTAAAGGAAAAAACTATAGCCATATGCAATAGTATGTACATATTTCAGAAAATGATACTGAATCAAAGAATAGAAAACATATACTTTTTTTTTTTTTTTTTTTTTTTTTTTTTTAGACAGAGTCTCGCTCTGTTGCCCAGGCTGGAGTGCAGTGGCATGGTCTCAGCTCACCACAATCTCTGCCTCCTGGCTTCAAGTGATTCTCCTGCTTCAGCCTCCCGAGTAGCTAGGATTACAGGCATGCACCACGACACATGCAGCTAATTTTTTTTTTTTTTTTGTATTTTTAGTACAGACGGGGTTTTGCCATGTTGGTCAGGCTGGTCTCAAACTCCTGACCTCAAGTGATCTGCCCACCTGAGCCTCAAAGTGCTGGGATTACAGGTGTGAGCCACCATGTCCAGCCATTTTATTATTCTTTTGATATGAAGTCCCAAACAGGTAAAAAGAAACTAGAGTGTATTTACTTATATATATGTATATAGAAGAGTAAAAGTATAAAGAAAAACACAGGAATGATTAGTATCAACTTCTGGCGATTATCCTTGGGGAGGAATGGGGTGGTTGTGTTGGGGTTGCTTCTGGGCTGCTGACAGGGTTCTATTTCTTTATCTGAGTAGTGGTTATATAGGTATGTGCATTATGCGCTTGCGTTAAGCTATATTTTTATATTTTATGTCCTTTTCAGTACATGTATTTTTAAAAGTTTTTAAAAGCAAATTAAAAATAATAATAAAGATGGCATGGAGATTTTAATAGCTGGTTAATATACACAACTGATAAATGGACTGGACCCGTAACCTGACAATAACTACCTGGATGTTAGGTAAATTGAGTAGAAGGTATTGAGAAGTCTCATAGGGTGAGCCTCACAAAGCCAAAGCTACAAAGAAGGGTAAATTGTATTTCAAGCCAGCAGTTTTCAAACTATGCTTCTTGAAGTCTGAGAGAGGCTGGGGAGATGCCCAAGAGTTGGCTTAGCCAAAAAGTGAATGGGTAGGGCTTCTACATTTTCATTCTTTCAAAAGCTACTTCATTTGTATCTGTTTGGTAGTCTTTGGTATACAATTTTCATTGAGGAAAGCATTCTAGTCTTGAAATACGCTGTGATCGTGTCTATCAAAATTTATAATGTACATACTCTTTTGAGAAATATATTACACAGGAATATTGTAAAATGTACAAAGATGTTCTCCATATTCTTTGTAATAGTAAAAACAAAAGAGAGAAGCAACCAAAGTGTTAATTAATTGTCAATATCGTTGTATGTCTATCTATTAAGGACTGGTAAGCCATTACAATGGAATGCAAAACATCTAGATTAGTGGTTCTTAGCCCTCTAATAGCCAGTGACTCCTCTTTATACCACATATTGTGCAATGCTTCATTTACTCTTGTAAAGTAAAAATCATATATAATATAACCTTCTTTTATAATTTTAAAAAACAAATGTAATGTTGTAACTAAAATATGAAATAGAAAATAAAAGTAATGTCTATGGTGGTTCATTTTATGTATCAATGTGACTGGGCCACAGCATGCTGAGATACTGGTCAAACATTATTCTGGGTGTGTCTTTGAGGGTGTTTCTGGATGAGATTAACATTTGAATTGGTAGACTGAGTAAAGCAGGTTCCTGGTCCATAATGTGGGGGAGATTCATCCAATCAGTTGAAGTCCTGGATAGAAGTAAAAGAATGATGCTCCTCCAAGTAGGAAGGAATCCACTTTGCCTGACTTTCTTCAAACTAGGACATGGGGTTTTTTTCCTGCCTTTGGACTTGATGTGAAAGATGGGTACTTCCTGGGTCTTGAGACTGCCGGTCTCCAGAGTGGGAACTAAACCATCAGCTCTGCTTTTTGAACCTTCAGACTAGAACTACACTATTGGCTCTCCGGGATCTCCAGCTTGCCAACTCACCCTGAAGATCTTGGGACTTGTCAGCCTCCATAATCATGTGATACAATTTTTCATAATAAATATCTTTATATATGTATGTATGTGTGTGCATATATACAGTTGACGCCTGAATAATGTAGGGGTTAGGGGCACTGACCCTCTGACTGTCAAAAATATGTGTATAACTTTTGATTCTCCAAAAACTTACTTACTAATAGCCTACTGTTGACTGAAAATCTTACTGATAACATAAACAGTTGATTAACACATATTTTGTATGTTATACTGTATTCTTGCAATAAAGTAAGCTAGAGAAGAGAAAAATGTTATTTAGAAAATCATAAGGAAGAGAACATATGTTTTCTATTCATTAATTGGGAGGAGATCATCATAAAGGTCTTCATCCTTCATTTTTTTCACATGGAATAGGATGAAGAGGAAGAGGAAGAAAAAGGGTTGGTCTTGATGTCTCGGGGTGGCAGAGGTAGAAGAAAATCCATGTATAAATGGACCTATATACTTCACAGTCATGCTGTTCGAGGGTCAACTTAATATATATACATGTACATGTACGTGTATGTATAAGTAACATACATACATACACATA
This sequence comes from Homo sapiens, assembly GCF_000001405.40. Lineage (NCBI taxonomy): Eukaryota > Metazoa > Chordata > Mammalia > Primates > Hominidae > Homo > Homo sapiens. Next base: position 58,985,918 of record NC_000014.9, read on the forward strand.
CATACATATATACACACACATATATATATAATTGGTTCTATATCTCTGAAGAATGCTGACTAATACAATATCTGTTTCATTATGTAAATACTCAGGCACAATGAAATTAGTAGGTAAAACAATACTTTCTGATGTTTTGGGTCAACGTCTACAAACGCAGACCAGCACAGTTGCATTGGAATAATTCCAAACAAAAGAAAATGCAAATTTTCCTCACATTACAGTAATTGCATTTCTCAAAAATGTAGGAAGATGTGTATATTTAAATTATGCAAAAACACTTTGTGTTTACTTTTATAGCAGCATAAGGTCTTTGCCTCAAATAATTATAAATGTAGTTTTTCACCTAAATAATTGTCTGGTGAGAGATTCAAAAGTCATGCAGAAGGCTGGAGAACTTCTCATTGTGTGGAACTGGTATGAATATTACCCACTAAAAAGCTGGTAGCATCTTCCAATCATTTCAAACCCAAGCTAAGGAGTAGTACAGCCTCCACTGAAAACCATTGATTCATACAGGAGCTTTCCAAAATACTAATACTAACACTAATACTTTGTGTGTGTGTGCAGTCATTTTTGTGGAAAACCCACAACAACAAATAAACCATTATGAACTGTATTAGTTTCCTAGTGCTGCCATAATAAATTACCACAAACTCAAGGGCTTAAAACAGCACAAATTTATTCTCTTACAGTTCTAGAGTCGAGAAGTTAAAAGCAAGGTGTTGGCAGAGGTAGTTCCCCCTGCAGGATCTGCCAGGGAATCAGTCCTATGCCCCTCTTCTAGGTTCTGGTGGCTGCAGGCAATGCTTAGTGCTCCTTGACTTACAGATGCATCACTCCAATCTCTGCCCCATCTTTCCACGGCCTGTTCTGTGACTTCTTTTTCCTCTTTTACAAGGGCACCTGACATTGGATTTAGGGTCCGCCTTAATACAGGATGATCTCGTCTCAAGATCCTCACCTTAACTATATCTGCAAAGACCCTCATTCCAAATAAGGCTACATTCAGAGGTTTGGGGTAGACATGAATTTTGTGGGGATGCTATTTAACCCATTATATATACATGTCCATAGATATATAAAGATATTAAAAAGTGAGGAAGAATATGCAGTCAACTGTCATATGGTTACTACTAGGAAAAATTTTTTGACTATGGAAAAGGAAACGAAGGGACTTTCACTTTTTATACTCTGCACTTCTGAATTTAATTTAAAAATTTAAATATATTAGAAAACTAATACTGTTAGCTTATTAATAGTTTTATATTAATTTATTAATTTTAAATTTAAGAAATCTCTCTCCTTTGCCATAAGTGAAGGATAAATGAGTTGTAAGCAGCTGTACTACCGCAAGAGTCTTTTTCTCAGCTAATGCCTACTAGGAGAACTACATAATAAGAATTAATCTGGGGGCTGGGCGTGGGGGCTCATGCCTGTAATCCCAGCACTTTGGCTGAGGCGGGCAGCTCACCTGAGGTCAGGAGTTTGAGACCAGCCTGACCAACATGGCAAAACCCCGTCTCTACTAAAAATACAAAAAAATTAGCTGGGCGTGGTAGTGTGAACCTGTAATCCCAGCTGCTTGGGAGGTTGAGGCAAGAGAACCCAGCAGACGGAGGTTGCAGTGAGCCGAAATCGTGCCATTGCACTCCAGCCTGGGCAACAAGAGCGAAACTCTGTCTCAAAAAAAAAAAAAAAAAAAAAAAAGAATTAATCTGAGGTGCAGAGCGTTTTTTTTTTTTTATTGTGTGTTTGTTTGATTGGGAAAATATCTTTGACATGCTGAGGACAACATGTTGTTTCAACCAAGGGGAAGAAAACAAAACTCTGACTTTTAAAGAGGCATCCATGATTGAGTCAAGGGCCAGCTGGCATTGTCAATCAAAGAGCATCCCATCTTCCTGCCGCATGATTAGAGCTGCAGTTGCTGGGGCATCCCAGCAGAGAACACTTCTGAAAATGAGTTTTTTCTTAGGAAGTTGTAGGTAAGAGCGAATTCTTTGTGCTAACTAGTACAAGTAAAGGATAGGCTGGTTCAAAACTGTGGCAATTGTGTGACATCATTTGGAAGAGAGGAAATTTTAATTAGAAAAGGGACAAATATGCACTGCTGAGGCCATTACTCTTTGAGTTTTGGAATGAATCGATTTTTCTTCCAGGGCTCATTTCCTGCTTATCTGTATGTTGCAGCACATGCCTTGTCCTATCAAAAGTGACTTCAAAACAAACACATACAAGGGCAATTTCAGAATCAAAGTTACAGGTATAAGGTGATGTTAAAAGGCCAATATCTATTCTGGGGAATCTTGATTTGCTTTCAATTCTCCATGCTTTGGTACATGAATAAAGTCAGGTTATTTAAAAGTTATTTCCAAAGAGTCTTTTAAAAATATTCAAGCTACAGAGAGTTCAAAGTGCATATACCATTTAATTCTGCTAAAATAAACCATACCCATATGAACTAGAAAAGATCTAGACTTTTATTTTGAGGTTGATTATTTACTGATAAGTCAAATAGTGATCTCTTTAATCAAAGGACATTTGCTTCAAATTGCTTCCATCCATTGTCCTTACCATGAAAGACTGATTGTGCTTTGAACTAGGATCTTACTTTTTTTTTTATTATGGGGGAGATAAAGACAAATCCCAATAAAAGAACCTACACATCAAAGAATTAGCTCTCCGAAAATATTTTCCATTTATACATGTTGGCTGCATGCCTACATCTGTTCATAAATTGATATGGAGTCTTTTTAATGTACCTTTGCCATTATTAAATGTTATCTATCTTCAAAGAAAATACCAATAGATTGGAAAATAAACTTGAGATGAGGAATTGCATGGAAAAGCCAATGATTTATGGCTATTTGCTTTCTTATACCTTTGAATTAGGTCCATCATAACCTTCTGTTTAATCTGAGACTGAGTTTTCAACAATTTATTAACAAATAAAAATATAATGAGTAGCTAAAATCAAGATATGACAAGGCACCAGAAGTCCAGGTTGACTCCCATGTTTAATATAAATACCTTGATTATCCTTTTTTTTGTTATGTCAAATTATACTTCAGATCTTCATCTTAGAAAATTTGTCCACAAGATAATATAGGAATGCAAAAGAGTAGAATATTGATTTATTTTCCTTCCTAACAACCCAGAAGAATTTTGAGAATTGAGACCGAGGTCAGAAATGGATGGGAGAAAGCTCTTGGGGAGAGGGTGGCAGAAAACCTAGTTGAAGATTTTGTGTGGCAGAGAAAGGCCAGGGGACCTGAAACATGATGATATCTAAAATGAAAATCCAAGGGCTTCATTTATCTCCCTAGGAATTTTTTTCATTATCACCAAATCTTTAATATGTCTGATAATTACCATAGCAGAGTGATGGTGCTGCTTTAGGGAATAAAGTGGAGATCTTTCTTGAAATTTGGGGCATTGTCTGATATGGTTTGGCTCTTTGTCCCTACTCAAATCTCATCCTGCAGCTCCTGTAATTGCCACATGTTGTAGGAGGTACCCGGTAGGAGATAATTGAATCATGGGAGTGGGTCTTTCCCATTCTGTTCTTGTGATAGTGAATAAGTCTCACGAGATCTGATGATTTTAAAAACAGGAGTTTCCCTGCACAAGCTCTCTTCTCTTGTCTGCTGCCATGTAAGACGTGACTTTCACCTTCCACCATCATTGTGAGGCCTCCCCAGCCACATAGAACTGTAAGTCCATTAAATCTCTTTCTTTTGTAAATTGCCCAGTCTTGGGTATGTCTTTATCAGCATCATAAAAACTGACTAATGCATTGTCTTAGTCCATTCTGGCTGCTACAACAAAATACCGTAAACTAGGTAGCTTATAAATAAAAGAAACTTATTTCTCATAGTTATGGAGTCTAGGAAATCCAAGACCAAGGTGCCAGAAAATTGGATGTCTGGTGAGGGGCCACTTTCGTCTTCACAGAATGGTGCCTTCTTGCTATGTTCACACGTGGTGGAAGTGGCAAGGTGGCTCTCTGGGGCCTTTTTTATAAGGGCACTAATCCCATTCATAAGGGATCTGCCTTTGTTAACTAATCACCTCCCAAAGGCCCCTTCTCCTAATACTATCATATTGGGAGTTGGTTTTCAACATATGAATTTGGCAGGGAACACTAACATTCAGACCACATCAGGCTAGAAGCCCAGAGGGTACTGAGACAGCCAGTAGAGGTGTTGTTAAGATCACTAGAAGAGATCTAGTATTTTAATAGAAGTAGGAATTCAAAACAAAAGAAGACATTTGAATGCAAACACTCTAGCCTGGCAATCCTCAAAAACACTGGGGAAGACACATGTGGCAGTGATAAAATTACACTCATATCATCATTCAGCAGAAACTGCTGTGGGTTACAGTTGACTGACAGCGTCCACCTGACTCACCTGGGAGCCACAATGGTGCTCACATCCAAGCCATGCTTCCCTGAGCTGCTCTCGGCCAATGATTGAGCACAGTGTGGTTACTTAAACTGGGCTGTGCCTATCTGACATTGGATTCTTCTAACAGCAACCTCTTGGGGTTGCTCTTGGGGTCTCCTCATCAGCCTGGCCATGACTTTCTTGGAACTGCACTGAAGTCTGAGGCTCTTCTTACCCCTTACTTTCTATCATCTGTCTTTACCCACGTGTCAGAGCTGCAGTGCAATCTGGAAGCTCTTCCTACCTGTCTGTTTCTTGGAGAACCTGAACTGACACAAGAGGTACCAAGAGTAGGATCTGAGAAAACTGATAATAAGATGGAGTTTGGGACTGGCTCACTCACTGACTAGCTGGCATAAAGCCCTCTGGAATGTGGAAGGCGTAGTACAGTCTATAGCACAAAGTGAGAGCCCAGTGAAGAATTCCTCTATGGTGACTATATTAGTCCATTTTCACACTGCTATAAAGAACTACCTGAGACTGGGTAATTTATGAAGAAAAGAGGTTTAATTGACTCACAGTTCTGCATGGCTGGAGAGACCTCAGGAGACTTACAATCATGGAGGAAGGTGAAGGGGAAGCAAGGCATGTTCTTACATGGTGGCAGAAGAGAGTGAGTGAAGAACACCACACACTTTTAAACCATCAGATCTTACGAAAACTCACTATCATGAGAACAGCGTGGGGGAAACCTCCCAATGATCCAATCACCTCCCACCAGTTCCCTCACCTAATTTGTGAGATTTGGATGGGGACACAGAGCCAAACCATATCAGTGACTTCGGACAATGCCCAGTCGATAGAAATGGTCTTGACAGTGCAATGATTCTGGCATGTGAAAGATATTGGAGAGTTACATCTCCATGCAGTAGAGTTCCCTTGATATTAATAAGCTGTATCAACACTCTATGATGAAATGAGAACCAGAAGGCAGTTAACAAACCATTAAAGGCTGAGTATGAGAGCCACAGGGCCTTTCTAACAGCTTAAGAAGAGCTCTTTCTCTTCTGAAATGGAAGAATAAAAACAGCTGAGCAACAAACTAAAGATATAATAGAGTCACAGAGCTCCAGAGTTGTTTAAATCCTCAACTGAAGTAGTATCCTAGTTGGGAAAACCTGGAACCCTGGAATATGGGATGGTAATATTTGGGTGGATAACCTTGTGGAAGTTGGCCCTGCAGAGTCCCCTAAAGCCTCTGGACTTGCACAGGTTGCCCACCCTTCACTAATAGGCAACCATCACTCCTCCTAACACAAGCTGCGGCAGAGACCTATCTCTTGCAACAGATACACCGCTCAGGAGTTGCTCCCACTTCTTCTCTTGACTGCCAGAATGATAACTAGGGTTAAATCTCCACATGACCTGGCTAAGAACGTGCCATACCTGATAAGGGAATGTATTAGTTGGAGTTTTCCAGAAAGAAAGAACCAATAGAAGACAGATAGATGGGTGGACAGATAGGTAGGTAGATGGGTAGATAGACAGATGGATAGATAGAGAGAGAGACAGAGAGAGAGTGGGGATTTCTTAGGGGAATGAGTCCACATGATTATAGCAGCTGAGAAGTCCCACTATAGCCCATCTGCAAGTTGGAGATCCAAGGATGCTAGTAGCATGGCTCAGTCTAAGTCCAAAAGCCTTAGAACCAGGGAAGCCAATGGTGTAACTCTGTTCAAAGTTGAAAACCTGAAAACCCAAGAGAACACTGGTACAGTTCCTAGAGTCCAAAGGTCAGATAACCTGGAGTTCTGATGTCAAAGGACTGAAGAAGGGTTTCCCACCTCCAAGAGAACTAACACTTTCACCTTTCCCCTGCCTGGACCTGCAGCTGATCAGATGGCTCTCACCCACATTGAGGGTGGATTTCCCTGGCTTAATCTGCCAACTCTCATACCAATCTTCTCTGGAAACACCCTCTCAGACACACCCAGAAATAATGCTTTATGAGCTATCTAGGTATCCTTTAATCCAGTCAAGTTTACACCTAAAATTTAACATTACAGGGAGAGTAGAAATTATACCCTGAAAGAGTAATAACAATTAGCTAGCATGTGCCATTCAAAATAAGATTACCCCTGGAGTTGGATTTTGAAGATATTTGATCAAGAGAGTTGGTACAAAAAGAATGTTTAAGCAAGAGTTTATTGACTTTAGGGCTCTATCTCAGGATATACAATTTAATGCCCTAGTTAAGGCCCTAGGGGATCATGCAAACTCACTGTTAAGAGTGGCTCCTAGAAGGCTAGAGAATGTGATGATTGACCCCTAGTTTAGTGGAAAGGCCTGAGTTACTTTGGCAAGCAACAGAGATGAGATGAGAAAAACAAAATATAGAGGCTGGTAGAAGTGGGCATACTGAAATAGATGTATCCCATGAAGCCAGAACACCCACCAGAAGATATGTTTAACCTGCTGCACCTTCAGATTTGTCTACTTACACTGAGACCACACTTCCCCTGGACTGTTCCCAGCCAATGGCTAAGTATAGTGTGGGTACTAGATCTGGGTCTGCCCAATGATGAATTCTTCTAACAGGAAACCTTTGCTCAGAGATTTCTCATTGGCCTAGCCAAGACTTTCTCAGAACTGCACTGAAGTTTAGTGTCTTCCTACCTAATCCTTCCTTTTTGCTCTCATTGCATAGATCTTAGGCCTAGATTTCGCTTTGAAGTATCTCTCTACCTATTTCTGCTCCCTTTTCACTTCATTCTTCACAAGCATTTTCCTCAATGAGTATCTTGCATGTTTAATCCTGTCTTGGTCTGCTTCTCAGAGGATGTGAGTTGCCAAAGCACATAACTCAGTTGCATATGATGAGGGAATCAAATTACAATTTTGATATTTAAGGACACTAGAAGGCTGGTGGATTTAAGGATTATCAGATCACATTAATTATGGTATCTTTCACAGCCACAATATCTTTTGCATTTTTAAAGTCATAAAGTTTTAGGGCTAGATTAGGATGATGGAAAGGTCAAAATGCTAATCCTGCTTCTGTTGGTAGCAACCTTAAAACACACTGAATGAATAAAAAGATTTTAGGAATACTGCCATTGATTATGTCCTTTTCCTGTATTCCCAACTCCTCTCACACACAGTACCTTACACATTATATATGTTGGTATTATTTGTAATCAACATGTAGTTGGTTCTTGCTTTTTATCAAATCTGTCACTGCCTTTTTGATGGGGTGTTTAGATTATTTCCATTTAATGTATTTATTAATATATTTAGATTTACATTTGCTATTTGTTTTTCATATATTACTCATTTTTTGGTTCTTCCATCCCTCCTTGACTTTTGTGTTAAATAATTTTTTAATTTACCATTTTAATTTCCTTGCTTTTTAAAGTTTATATTTTTAATTTATTTTCTTAGTGGTTAGTCTTGTGATTAAAATATGCATCTTACCTTACCGCATGTACTTTAGATTAATACTAATTTAATTCCAAGAAAATACAGAAACTTTGCTTCCATATCACCCTATTCCCTACTCACTCCTTTGTGATATCATTGTCATATCTTACATATATGTAATACATTCAAAATGCAATGTTAAAATTATTTCTTTATGCTATCCTGTGTATTCTAAGCAAATTAAAAGATGATATGAGAACATATATATTTATGGAATCTCTTATATTAACCCACATTTCGCCACTTCTGGTGTTCTTTTTTTTCTGTGGATTTGAGTCACCATCTGGAATCATTTTCTTTCAGTCTAAATAATTTTCTTTGATGTTTTTTGTATTTCCTTATAAGACATTGGTTGTTGGCAGTCAATTCCCTCAATCTTTGTCTTAGAATGTCTCAATTTCACACTCATTTCTAAAGCATAGATTTGCTGAATATAGAATTATTGGTCAAGAGGGTTTTTTTTTCCCTCTCTTTCTGCATTTTGTTATTGCACTACACTCTGGCCCCCATCGTTTCAGAAAAGAAGTCAGTTGCTATTATTGTGGTTTTCTTGTACATGAATCACCTTTTTCTCACTGTTTTCATGATTTTATCTTTGTCTTTGGCCTTTAATAGTCTGTCTAGGATATAACTAGGTATGGGTATCTTATCTTGCTTAGGCTTTATTGAGCTTCTTGGATGTGTAAACTAATGTTTTTCATCCAGTTTGGGAAGTTTTAAGCCTTTGTTTTCTTAAATGTTTTTGTGTTTGTTTCTATCCCCTCCTTCTTGGACTCTCCTTACACATATGTTGGTATGCTAGGTGTTGTCCATATTTATTAGGCTTTGTTCATTTTTCTTCAGTAATTCTTTTATCTCTTTTCTTCAGATTTGATCATTTATATTGATTTATCTTAAAATTCATTGATTCTTTCTTTTGCCATATCAAATTTCATGTTGAATACTTGTAGTGAGTTTTTCAACCTGGTTACTGTGCTTCCAACACTAAAATTTCCACACAAAAAAATTCCTGTCTTATGATTGAGAATCTCCATTTGTTTGTTCATTGTTGTCATATGTTAAACATGGTTTTCTCTATTTCTGTAAGCATTTATATTAGCTGCTTTGAAGTCTTTTCTGCTAAATCCAATACCCGGGAACACTTGGAGTTTTTATTGACTGCTATATTTCCTGATTATTGGTCACATTTTCCTGTTTCTTCTTGTGTCTCATTGTTTTTGTTGAAATCTGGACATTTTATATAATATGTTGAAGCAGCTCTGGATTCTGATTTTTATTCTCCCTGCAGCCTGTTTTTGAGAGTTTTTGTTTGTTTCTTTGTTGAGTAACTTACCTAGGCTACATCTATGGAATCTGTTTGCTTTGTGATTTGTGACTGCTGATATCTCTGCTTAATGTTTTCTTTGTTTCATTTCATTTCATATTTTAGTTTTTTTTTAAACTTGCTTCCTTGGAGCTGTCCCTGTGTCTATGTTGCTTTGATTAGACATTGGTTGGATAGAAGTTGTCCTCATCCACTTCAAGCCGATAAATTTGTGTGTGAGCAAAGGAAGGATCAGCTAAAGTTTATGCCATTTTCAAGTATGCCTAGGCTTTTACTCTGCTGGACCCTTTTGCGTCTTCTATATACATGTGTTCAGCTTCAGGGTTGGCCAGGCATGTGTAGTTAGTTCGAGTTTTCTCCATTATCTTCTGCACATGAACACAATTAAGCAAAGAATATGCCTTCTCCGACCATGACTACAACTCCAGGCTTGTACGACAGTGGGCCTTCCCTAGTCCGCCACTGTATGGGATTTTCATTTGTACTGACATCACTGATGAGTGTGGGCTTTTCTCACTACACCAAATGGAGTGAGCCCCTCACCAGTCAGAAAAATTATTGTCCTTCATGACCTGCCCTGCCCTGAAAAATCTCCTTGTTGGCTGAGTGTGGGAAGATATGGGAGTAGCCCAAGTTCAGAACACCAGAGATTTCCAGTGTTCATAACCAAAGTTAAGTAGATTTTCAGATATAAATGCTTCTCAGATTGCTCCACACCTTTGTTCGTTTCCAGATTGCTAAAATAATTATTTTTGCCAATTTTGTCCAGCTTTATAGTTTCTTTCTAGGGAGAGGATTTACCAGTCTCTTCACTTGGCAATAGCTGGGAGCCTCATCTCTACAAGAGCTTTTTAATTGCTATTTATGATCCTAGTCTTTCTCTTCTCGGAACTCCATACTGACATCTAAATAATCACTAATATTATACAAATCTGATTGTCTCTCTCTTATAACTTAAATCCTTCAATGGCTTTCCATTTTCCACAGAATAAACTCCTTATAAGACCCAGAATAATCTGGATCCTGCTTGCTTCTCTTTTTCGTCACTACCCTCTAAAACCCTTTGCTCTGACCAGACTGAACATCACTCATGCCATACTTTCTTTTATCCCTGGAACTCAGCATGTATTCCTTCTCCTTGCAATGCTCACAGCCTAACTCAAACTCCTTCTTTCCTCCTAGGTCTTATTTTCCTGGCTGACTCCTATTGACCCTTCATATTTCAGTTTAGATATCATTTTCTGCCAGGATCACCTTTACCATACCCCACTTCATTCTATAGTTTGTGTTCCTATAATCTGCTATATTTTCCTGATTCTAGACTTGATTACACTGTTGTTGCCATTGCTGTCTAATTGTCTCCTCCACTAGAATACCAACTCCATGGGTGCAGAAACTGCAGCTTTATGTTTATTGTATTATTATTATTATTATTATTATTATTATTATTATTATTATTATTGTTATTTGAGATGGAGTCTTGCTCTGTAACCTAGGCTGGAGTGCAATGGCGCAATCTCTGCTCACTGCAACTTCTGCCTCCCGGGCTCAAGCTATTCTCCTGCCTCAGCCTCCCAAGTAGCTGGGATTACAGGCACACACCACCACATCCAGCTAATTTTTGTATTTTCAGTACAGACAGGGTTTCACTATGTTGGCCAGGCTGGTCTCAAACTCCTGACCTCAGGTGATTCTCCCGCCTCAGCCTCCTAAAGTGGTGGTGCTGGGATTATAGGCATGAGGAACTGTGCCCCGCCCCATCGTTGTATTCTTAGCACTGAGACCAATGTCTGTTAGACTCTGCAAACACTTTTTAATTGATAACAAATGATTGAAAGCCTGATTAGATCACAGGCCAGAAAACCTTTTCTGTAAAGGTCCCCAGTAGTAAATATTTTAGGCTTTGCGGACCACAAAAATCCCATTATAAGTATTTCACTTCTGCTATTAAAGTATAAATGCAGCCATAGAAAATATGTAAATGAATAAGCATGGCTTTGTTCCAGTAAGACTTTATTTATAAAAGCCAACATCTGGCCTGCAGGCTGTAGTCTGCAAATACCTGGATTAAATGAATGAAGGAAACAATGATAGGTGATTTTAAAATGTTTGAATTAATTGAAATAAACTCTGGCTTGTAGTTCTTCTGTAAATAATGAAAACCTATTTTCTTTACCTTTGGTCTAATCAAGAAAAAAGTCATTAGCATTTTCTACATAACAATCCACTATCAGAAATAACAATTATGTCATTTTATATTTTAGTATTCACAAAACACTGTCACTTGGGTCACAGAGGATGTTGAGTTCTTTGTCTCTCTACATTTAGTCTTCTGTCTTTTCTTACTTTTTATTATATCACATAATCCATGTCACAAAATTAGCCAAAGAAATTGATATGGCTTGGCTCTGGGTCCCTACCCAAATCTCATGTTGAATTGCAATTCCCAATGTTGGGGGAAGGACCTGGTGGGAGGTGATTGGATCATGGGCGTGGATTTCCCCCATGCTGTTCTCATGATAGTGAGTGAGTTCTCATGCAATCTGATGGTTTAAAAGTGTGTGGCACTTTCCCCTTCACACTCGCTCTCTCCTGCCACTGTGTGAAGAGGTGCTTGTTTCCCCTTTTCCTTCCACCATGATTGTAAGTTTCCTGAGGCCTCTTCAGCCATGCCTCCTGTACAGCCTATTGAACTGTAAGTCAATTAAACCTATTTTCTTTATAAACTACCCAGCATTAGGTAGTTCTTTATAGCAATATTAGAATAGACTAATAGAGAAAACTGGTACCAGAGAAGAGGGGAATTCTTATAAAGATACTTGAAAATATGGAAGCAACTTTGAAACTGGCAGAGATTGTAACAGTTTGGTGAGCTCAGAAGAAAATGGAAAGATGAGAACTTTATACAGACTTGTTGAATGATTGTAACCAAAATGGTGATAGTGTTATGGACAGTGAAGTCCAGGCTGAGGAGGTCTTAGATGGAGATGAGGAACTTATTGGGAACTGCAGTAAAGGTCACTCTTGCTATGCTTGCAGAGAGACTGGCAGCATTGTGCCTCTGCTCTAGAGATCTGTGGAACTTTGAACTTGAGACAGATGATTTTGGGTATCTGGAAAAAGAAATTTCTAAGAGCAAAGCATTAAAGATATGACCTGGCTGCTTCTAACAAAATACACTCATATGCATTTGCAAGAAGATGTTCTGAAATTGGAACTTATATTTAAAAGGCAAGCAAAGCATGAAAGTTTAGAAAATTTGCAACCTGGCCATGGGGTAGGAAAGAAAAACCTATTTTCTGGGAAGAAATTTAAGCCAGCTGTAGAAGGTTGCTTCAGTAAAGAGGAGCCTAATGTTAATACTCAAGACAATGGGGGAAATGCCTCCAGGGCATTTCAAAGACCTTCACAGCAGCCCCTCCTATCACAAGCCTAGGGGCCTAGGAGGGAAAAATGGTTTCATGGGCCAGGCCCAGGGACCTGCTACTGTGCAGCTTTGGGACATGGCAGTCTGCATTGTGGCCACTCAAGCTCCAGCCATTGTTAAGATGGGCCAAAGTACAGCTCAGGCCATTGCTTCAGAGGGTTCAAGCCCCAAGCCTTAGTGGTTTCCATGTTGTGTTGGGCCTGTGGGTATGCAGAAGGCTAGAGTTGAGGTTTGGGAGCATCTGCCTAGATTTCAGAGGATGTGTGGAAACACCTGGATGTCCAGGCAAAGTTTGCTGCAGGGGTGGGGTCCTCATGGAGAACCTCTACTAGGGCAGTGCAGAGGGGGAAATGTGGGGTTGGAGCCCCCGCAAAAAATACCCACTGGAGCACTACTTAATAAAAGCTGTGAGAAGAGGGCCACCATCCTCCAGACTCCAGAAGGGTAGATCTATTGACAGCTTGCATTGTGTGCCTGGAAAAGCCATAAACATTCAATGCCAGGCCATGAAAACAGTTGCAGGTTTTGTGCCTTGCAGAGCCACAGGGGCAGACCAGCCCAAGGCCTTGGAAGCCCACCCCTTCCATCAGTGTGCCCTGGATGTGAGACATAGAGTCAAAGGAGATTATTTTGGAGCTTCAAGATTAAATGACTGCCCTGCTGGGTTTTGGACTTGCATGGGGCTGCAGGCCCCTTTGTTTTGGCCAATTTCTTCCATTGGAATGGGAGCATTTGCTCAATGCCTGTACCCACATTGTATCTTGGAAGGACTACCTTGTTTTTTATTTTTCAGGCTCATAGGCATAAGGGACTTGCCTTTTCTTGGATATGACTTTAGACTTCGAGTTTTGGGTTAATGCTAGAATGAGTTAAGACTCTGGAGGACTATTGGGAAGGCATGATTGGTTTTGAAATGTGAAAAGGACATGAGGTTTGGGTGGAGCCAGGGGTGGAATGATATGGTTTGGCTGTGTCCCCACCCAAATCTCATTTTGAACTGTAATCCCCACCTGTTGAGGGAGGGACCTGGTGGAAGGTGATTGGATCATGGGGGATGTTTACCCCATGCTTTTCTCATGATAGTGAGTTTTCATGAGATCTGATGGCTTAAAAGTCTGTGGCATGTCCCTCTTTGCTGTCTTTCCTGCTGCCATGTGAAGACATGCTTGCTTCCCCTTCTCCCTTCTGCCATGGCTATAAGTTTCCTGAGGGCTTCTAGCCATGCTTCCTGTACAGCTATAAAACTGTGAATCAATTAAACCTCTTTTCTGCATAAATTGCTCAGTCTCAGGTAGTTCTTTATAGCAGTGTGAGAATGGACTAATATGGAAATCAAGATAGTTATTGTATATGGCTAAAGGACAGTGTATCCAGTACACTGAGTTTAGTAGTCAAGAATTATGAAGAAATATGCCAATTTAAAAATAAAAACTTAGTATATTGAGTCTTTGTCTATCTGCCATATCATATTTTATATTTGGTACTGTTTCTTTTTCTTGATTTTGACTGCTTCATAATACCATATTTTACATTCATGTATTTACTTTTCAAACAATGCAGTTAATAAAATAAATAAGAATTGGTGCATTATTAGATGATACCTGCATTTTAACAATCATTGTATTCTGTTATATGAATTGACATGTATAATTATAAAGAAATCCTACTTTAGTTAAGAAATATTTTTATAATTACTAGCAATTATGTAGTATTGTGGAGACTACTCATTATATTTTTTATAAAACTGGATTAGCATTTCCACTTTTGATCAGGTGTTGGTCTTGTGCCCTAAATGTACATGCAAAAGGAAGCAGAATATTGAAATTAATAAGAAACATCTGAATACACTTAAATTCATATTATTTATGGACTTTAAAAATTAGCCTTCTCTGATTTCACATCCAAGAAGTGTTTAGTCACTTAAGAAATAAGATGTCTTATTCAGCGTTATTATTAAACATATTTTTTATGAAACAAAAAGTTTTCTTAACTATTTTGTAGAATTTTTCAAATTATTTAGTTGCAATTTTTTCTTTTTTTTTTTTTTTGAGACAGAGTCTCTCTCTGTCACCCAGGCTGGAGTGCAGTGGCGCGATCTCCACTCACTGCAAGCTCCGCCTCCCAGGTTCATGCCATTCTCCTGCCTCAGCCACCTGAGTAGCTGGGACTACAGGCGCCTGCCACCATGCCTGGCTACTTTTTTTATTTTGTATTTTTAGTAGAGACGGGGTTTCACCATGTTAGCCAGGATGGTCTCGATTTCCTGACCTCGTGATCCGCCCACCTCAGCCTCCCAAAGTGCTGGGATTACAGGCATGAGCCACCGTGCCCAGCCTAGATGCAATCCTTTACCTGTAAAGAAACATATATTGACAGTTAATGTAACTGGAATTTTATTATTGGTGTCAAGAAAAATCTGATGCCATATGTGAACTCACCTTTTACTTTTGGGGAAATGTCATGAAAAACTGAAGGGGAGCAAGGGTTGATTACCTGGATAATCTTGCCTCTAGCAATCTTGGGCAAAAGGCCAATGATCTTGCATTTACATCAGGTACTTCACGATCAACTGATTCATGATGGGTAGCTGAATTGATGATTTGTTTTATCTTAGTGGTTCATTTAATTCTACTCATTAGAGTTTAGTGGAAGGCTTTTCTAAAAACACAGCAATTAGTCCTGGAAAATAGTGTAAATAAAAAATATTTATCTCAACATGAGATTTAATAAATATTGCATTTTGGAATGAAGAGCTTCTAATTAAAAGGGAGGCCACATGTCTTCATCTGCACACAAAAGTATCTGAGAACCAACTGGAACTCTATCTGTATAAATTCACCAGCATATACAACAGTACAAACAGGCTGCTTCTTCCAAATGAATTTGTATGCACACAAATTGAGATAATGTTCCCTATCTTACAATGGCATTTCTGAAATCTCTATTTTAATAGTTATCACTCACAAAAAGAGTTTTATGGTCAATTACATTGTGATATCCTCAGATAAACAGAATAAGGTAGTTGGCTTTCTTTCTAACTATTTTTCAGATCCATCTACTTTCTTTCCAACTGCTTCTTAGTGGAACTTCCCAGATTCATGAATATGCCAAAATGTACAGTGGACTGTCAAGAGAGGTGCATAGTGTATATTTTATAACTTATTTGGCCATGGAACACCATTTTCCTCTAAATACCCATTATCACGATGAGTGATTATTCCTTTAAAAAATAAGATGGGAAGACTCTTTCATAACATAACTTTCTAATAACTGCTTATGATCACTTATATCCTATTGTCTTATTGTTTTTGTGGCATCTTAAAAATAATTTTGGACTTAGAGTAAAGTTGCAATAATCATACAAAACAATCTTGTTTACTCTTTGCCCAGATTTCTCAATTGTTAACATTTTGTCACATTATTTTTTCCTTCTCCTCTCTCTTTTCCTCACCTGCCCCTCTCTATCCTGTCCCTCATGAACCATTTGAATGTAGTATCTTGCTACTCCAGTGACCAGCATGGTGCCCAAAACATGATAGGAACTTATTAAACAATTGATGATTAGTGAATAACATCTTTCAAAATTATATCTAAACAAAGTTAAATTATAAGAGGCTACCCTGGAACAATATTTAAGTGTGAAGTTTTTATCTATTATGAAAGGCCAGCAAATTGATTTTAAAAGTGAGAAATATTGGCTGGGCGCTGTGGCTCATACCAGTAATCCCAGCACTTTGGGAGGCTGAGGCGGGCGGATCACGAGGTCAGGAGATTGAGACCATCCTGGCTAACATGGTGAAACCCTGTCTCTATTAAAATACAAAAAAATTAGCCAGGTGTGGTGGCGGGTGCCTGTAGTCCCAGCTACTTGGGAGGCTGAGGCAGGAGAATGGTGTGAACCCGGGAGGCAGAGCTTGCAGTGAGCCAAGATCGCGCCACTGCACTCCAGCCTGTGTGACAGAGTGAGACTCTATCTCAAAAAAAAAAAAAAAAAAAAAAAAAAGGAGAAATATCATCTTACTATTTCTTAACAATTTTAGTTTTTGAAAATTTCCAAACCAAGAATCAGAACAAACCCATGATTGTATATATATATATTTTTCTGACTTATGGATGTGCTTATGTAGTGATCCAAAGCCAGATACCTTGTCTGGAAGGAAGAAGGTATGTTCAGCCCTGTGGTTTCAAGCTAGCTGGTACACTTACTTATTGATTGAATTAAAAGCTGCATGACTCTCTGTAAGAGTTATTGAATTCTGTCAGTTTGTTCTTTTCTGTGATCCTTTTTTCTGCGCGAACTGTGCTTTCTCACTTTCTCCTTCAGTTTATGTTTTTCCATCCAGAATAAATTTTATACTAGTATTAGTACATTTAAAGCTGAGAATGACTTGTTTATTTGTCCCAGAAAAAAAACCGACAATGTTTAATGGTCACGTCCAACCAGTTATGGTTTAAAATAAATCTATCTCTAATCAGCCTGGAGAATAAGAACAATGTTGATTGTGCAAAGTAGAGGTTATAGACTCCCATAAAATGTGACTTATTTGATTTCAAGAAGGGTATATGTTTTCATTTATATGAAATACCCAGAATAGTCAAATTCATAGATACAAATAGAATGGTAGTTGCTGGGACTGGA
The DNA here is from genome assembly GCF_000001405.40 of Homo sapiens. NCBI lineage: Eukaryota > Metazoa > Chordata > Mammalia > Primates > Hominidae > Homo > Homo sapiens. Next base: position 59,003,179 of record NC_000014.9, read on the forward strand.
GAAAGGGGAAAATAGGGTTTTATTGTTTAATGGACATAGAGTTTCTGTTTGAGAAGATGAAAAATAATCTGGAGATGGATGGTGGTGATGGTTGCAAAACAGTGTGAATGTATCTAATGCTACTGAACTGTGCACTTAAAAATGGTTACAATGGTAAATTTTATGTTATGTGTATTTTACCACAATTTTAAAAAAACGAATACTAAATGCTATCAAAATTGCCTATTTACTTACAGAACTAGAAGTTTCCTTATGGTTTTTGAATCCATACAATTATGGTTATATTTTGCCCACATAAAATCAAATTTTATATTTAATATTTTAACTTTTTAATGATATATTCACTTGATACCTTTTCCACTTACAAAAACAGATTTGATTGGAGGGGTGGGAGGTGAGCTATATTTGAAACTTTGAGAGTCTGATGTGTGACCTGCAGTTGGGGGACCCATTGTACTCGTGGCTGGCTCATACCTGGGAAAGACAAAGCAGCCTGGGGAACAGCTAGGCAAGGCAGGCATTTCCCATGGAGTGGATTTGGATCCCACAGGAGAGAGCTGGCCTGGAGTCACATAAAGTGAGGGACTCCAACAGCAAAAATCTCCAGTCTCCATGAGGCCAAAGAGTTTTTACCCACAACACTTCTGACACCAAATGTGTAGGTTTTGCCACACCAACAATCAGTTCTCAAACTCTCTGGACACTAACTGGGTGTCCTATAATGCAGTTCAATTCTGATGTTAACTATCCACAGTTAGGCTGAAACTCCACATGTTTAAGAGCTTAGTCCCAAAAGGCTGCCAGACACAGATGCAAGCTCTAGTTCCAAGCTGTACTTCTGACAAGCGCCAGCTACAAATTAGGGGTTCCCATGGCCCCCTCCTCAGTTTCAATAATTTGCTAGAATGGCTCACAGAACTCAAAAAAGCACTTTACTTACATTCATTGATTTATTATAAAGGATACAGCTCAGGAACAACAAATGGAAGAGATAGATGCATAGGGAAAAGAATGGGGCATGGCAGATAGAGCTTCTATGCCCTCTCTAGGCAAGCCACTCTCCCAGCACCTCAATGTGTTTAACAATCTGGAAGCTCTCTGAATCCAGTTGTTTAGGTATTCTATGGAGGTTTCATTACATAGGCATGATTGATTAAATCCTTAACCATTGGTGATTAACTCAATCTCCAGCTCCTCTCTCCTCCCTGGATTTGCGGAGTGGGGCTGAAGGTTCCAAGCTTCTAATCAAGGTTTGATATTCCTGGTCACCAGTCCCCATCCTGAAGCTATCTAGGGATCCCCAACCACCAGTCATCTCATTAGCACAGAAAAGACATTCTAGAGTTTTGAAGGGTTTTAGGACCTATGTATCAGGAACTGGGGACAAAGACCAAATATTTATTTTTTATTATATGACAGTGAGGAATAGAATGTTATTTGTACTCTTTTTGTTGTTGTTGTTGTTTGTTTGTTTGAGAGGGAGTTTCGCTCTTGTTGGCCAGTCTGGAGTTCAATGGCATGATCTCAGCTCACTGCAACCTCCACCTCCCAGGTTCACGCGATTCCCCTGCCTCAGCCTCCTGAGTAGCCAGGATTACAGGCATGCGCCACCATGCCCGGCTAATTTCTTGTTTTTTTTTTAGTAGAAACAGGTTTCATCATGTTGGTCAGGCTGGTCTCAAACTCCTGACCTCAGGTGATCTGCCCATCTTGGCCTCCCAAAGTGCTGGGATTACAGGTGTGAGCCACCACGCCAGGCCTTGTACTCATTTTGAGATCATGAACTATTTATGTTCCTTTCCTCCTCTCCACCTATATCCAAATATTTATGGACAGGTCCAATATCAGTACTTTTCTTTAAGAAGTACTAATTTCATGTTAGAGAACAGTGTAGGGAACAAGCAAGGGGCATGATGAACTGCCTGAAGCTTTGCTTTGGGTTTGCTTTAAATGCCACGTCATAAATTCTGCAGTTTCCTTTCCTTGAGAGTATGACCCTCTCAGTTTTTGCTATTTGAGAGCGAGGATCTGTGGCCACAGATTTTCTACACTGTGCTATCCTCCCTCTTTTTCTTACTTCATCTCAACAATTTCTGGCGACAGATTTTCTATGCCATTGCCACTCTCCCTCTTTTTCTTTCCCTATCTCATAATCTCTAGCCTTTATAGAATAATAATTATATATTAGACGTATGGAAATAGAATATCAGTGCAGCTACTTTTTCAGCTGCAATCACCTTCTCTGCTATTCTCATTCTAAGCAAAGGAACATAATATGTCTGTATTAGTTTGTTCTCATGCTGCTAATAAAGACATACCCAAGACTGGGTAATTTATAAAGAAAAGAGGTTTAATTGACTCATAGTTCCACAAGGCTGGGGACCTCACCATCATGGTAGAAGGCAAATGAGGAGCAAAGTCACATCTTACATGGTGGCAGGCAAGAGAGCTTGTGTAGGGGAACTCCCCTTTAT